>NC_000007.14:70385566-70688597 GCF_000001405.40 Homo sapiens
AGGACTTTATAAAGTATAAGGACCAAGGAGGGCCAGGTGTGCACCTGCAGTCCCAGCTACTTTGGGGGCTAAGGTGGGAAGATCGCTTGAGCCCAGGAGTTGGAGGCTGCAGTGAGCAATGCTGGCACCACTGCACTCCAGCCTGGGCAACACTGTCTCTAAAAATAGAAAATAAAATAAAATTTTCCGGACCAAAGAGAAGACTGTTATGATGTGAACAGTAGCAGTCAATATTTAGAAAAGTTGTGTTCCTGGTAGTCTGGCACAGAATGGTGATTATGAGAGATATGGGCTGTATCACACCGCAGCAGTGGCCCAGCTACCACTCCACCAGTTTCACCACTTTCTTGTTTCTACTCAACAGTATGGTTACTTACAACACAGAGATTTGCCAGCCCAGGTTTCATAGAAACATAGACGTTGGTCCTCTGTCCCCAGATATTCTAGTTATAAGGCCTATACGGGAGCCTGGGATTATACTTTGAAAATGCTTTTCAGGTGGCTTAGATGCAGCCAGTCTGTGGACTCTGGTTTGGGAAGCACTGATTAGAAGCATACAATACTGAGAAGCCCAGTAGTTCCCTCAGTCTTTCCACTGCCATGTGCCCTCTATATGTCTTCCCTGGGCCATCTGTCTAAAAATGCCTGATGTCTTAGACAGAGGCTCTGAGGAGCCTTAAGAGCTCCTTGCAAGACATAAAACCAAGACGCTTTTTGGTATGGAAGGGAAATATCATTTAGCACATCTCCATGTCCATCATCAGTTCTACTTCTGAAATATTATTTAAAAACACATTTATTGAAATACGATTCACTTATGAAGTTCATCCTCATAAAGTATACAATTTATTGATTTTTGGTATATTGACAGCCATTTAGTAAATTGTACAACCATCACCACTATCTAATTCTAGAACATTTTCATCAACTAAAAAGAATCCCCAGGCTCATTCCCTCCTACCCAGACCCTGGCAATCACTAATCTACTATCTCTGTGGATTTGCCTATTCTGAACATTTCATCTCTGAAATATCCTAAAGTGACTGAACGTAAGTCCAGTTATATCTGCAAGTGTCTCTAAAAATGTTTTTTTCTAATATTCCATTGGGGGTTGCTGGTTCTTACATCTTTTATAGTCAGAAAGGCTTCACTTATCTCTAACTTTTACCTACATTACCCTTCTATAACATTAACTCATATTCCCTTGTCTTCTCTGCCTCTCTCTCATCATTTCACCAACACTCAAATTCTTTATAAATTCAAACATCATTATCAAGTCACCTCCCGACTTTTCTGTAGGATGAATGATCTGAACAGTCCTATGCCCCTTCCCAGATTTACCCAATATTTCCTCCTATTTCTTCTTATTTAAATAACCAAGTGTTCACCCTTTTCTCTAAGGTGGATGCCTTCATTTGTGCCCTCTTTTTTATTCTCTTTCTCCTGTTCTAGAACCTGGCTTTGGACTGCATCTTCATTTTCTTTCTTCAACCTACAGTAATACTCCACGTTCACACTTTTTAAAAAATACCTCTATCCTGCTGCCTCCTCAAGCTACCATTCTCTTTTTCTCATTCTCTTCACTGCCAAACCTTTTGAAAGCACAGTTTGCTCTCTCTGTTGGTGCTTCTTTTCCACTCACTCCCACTTCACTTCTTGCAGCCATGACTCTGCTCCCGTTACTTTACAGAAATGTCTCTCCTTGTAGTTCATGGCATCAAGCCCAGTACCCTTCCCTGACCCCATTCCCTGAGACCTCTAGGTAACCTGGAGCTCAGTTGACTATTCCTCCATCGTGAAGCACTCTTTTTCCTTTGGCTTCTCTGGCACTCCACATTATCCGGCTACTTTTGGCTCCAGTGTTTAGTGCCTTCCCAAATATGGGTGCCCACTCTTTTATCTGTCTATTTTCTCCCTTTCCAGCCTCATAACACCATCTGGCTCCTAACTATGTGGATAACTTCCAAAACTATCTTCACCACTTGGATGTCCTGCCAGCTCTTTAGACTCATTGCTCAAAACAGAACTCAAACCCTGACAGGCTTTCCGTCTTTCCTAATGTTGGCCATAATGTGACCCAAGGTTGCAAATTTGACTTTTTTCTTTCTGTCTCTATCACCTCCTTGGTTGCCAAGATGACAAGCCATCATGTATATAATAGCTTTTTTATTCTATTGAAGCTGTATTTCTTCATCCATCGTCTCTACTTCTCAATGTCATTGCCCAGGTCCAGGCTTTCATTGGCTCTCATTTGGACTATCACCAGACCATTCGATCTCTGCTCATTCCATCTTCTACGTTACGGCCAGATAGCAGTCCTCCTTCAACACATATGTCATATCCCTAGGCAGCAATCTTTCAAATTCTTCTAAGCCTACTGAATACATCCTAAACGCCTTATCCTAAATTACAAGGCCTTCTATATTATTTTCCATTCCTTCATATTCTGTATGTTCTGTCCTAAGCAAAGCACTGATCATTCTTTCACCTCCACAATTTCTCATTTACAGGACCTTTCTTGTCCTGTATTCTTTTATCTAAAATGATGTCCTTTATTTCTGCCAACATGATTCTATGTGTTGAAATCCTCTCATCCTTCAAATTCTTTCTCTTCCATGAAATCTTAGAACAGTATTTCTCTCTCCTTTGATTTTCCAAAATTGTATGAGGTGGCGGGGGTGTGGAGGGTAGGAAAGGACATTTAGCACTTTGTCTTGTATTTCCATTATTTATGTGCTTGTCTTATCCAGTCCCGCCTTGGATTTTCATTGTTATAACTCCTGTGACTGCTGATAAAGTATCTTAAATATAGTATATCCTGAATAAATGTTTCTTCAGTGAATGAATTTTTTAACTTCTATAAAATATAGAAGATGTAAAAAACTAAACTTGTAGATGACAGGCTTTATGTCAGTGTCAAGAGAGTTCTCAGTAGTTTCCACACTATTATTATTTTCAGTCAATCTAGGTACAAGGCTGAGGTGAAAGAAGCTTGAGAGAATTGTAGCAAACCTGCCATCATCTTCATATTGTAATGCCTTTGCATTTGCATAATATTTTATACCATTATAAGATACTTTCACATCTTATCTGACCCTCTCTATACTTATTTTAGGTTAGAAAGAGATAGTTATCCTAATATCCATTTCATAATGAGGAAAGTGTATTCTGGGCAGTTTTAATGACTTAATTAACTAACGTCAGGTTATTGATTAGGGGCAGACCTGGACAAGGGGACCTGTTGGCTGTCTTTAAATATTTGAAGAACTATCATGTCAAAGAAAATTAAATCTTTTTTTTTATTCTTTATTTCCTCAGAGGACTAGAACAAACACAAGTGAATTCAAACTCAATGAGGAGATAAATAGTTTAACTATCAGATCCACTTCAAGATGATATTGGCTGCCTCTGTTGTTCAAGAGGAGCTCAGGGAGAGCAAGCTGGCCAACCAGGTAGAGGACAGTTTGTTGGAAAGAGCCTCCCAAAAAGTATAGGTTAACCAAGCTCCCTTCTAATTTTGCAATTTTGACTTTCTTTTTAGGTCAGCACTGTGTTACTACCCTGCATAATCTAAGTTTTGATTTCTGTCTTTTTTTTAGAACTCAACCTTAAGCAAATTTAGCCACAGTGTGGTCCAGGTCCTAGATTTTTTATGAGATGGCCACTCCACCTTATCCTACCTACTCCTTGCAACTGATATTGGACCACCTACAGGTGGGAATCTAAAAGAATGTATTTCCACCCAATCCTTCAGTGCCTAGAGCTGCCAGCCCAATGGGGAAAAAAAACACGAAGTTTTCAGAAAATCTCACAGGTGCCATCATCACATGTAGCCGGCCCAATCTGGCAACTCCAGAAACCTGTCTGGTATTATGGCCATGGTAGGCAAGCCTAGTGTTCTCTCAGAATGCCACTCTCTCATTCTGTTGGAAGGAGGTGGGTGACTCTAATGAGCTCCAAACTTTTCCTTGAAATGGGGAGTTGCCTAAAAAGGCAACTGCCTCCAAACAGCCAAATGGAAATTATGATATTTCACTGAACTCAGAACCAAATCTGCCTTTTTTTTTTCTTTATAGAAACATTTTATGTGCCATGTGCCTTGGGAGCCAAAAAGAAATCATACTTTGGCTCCCTGTTCCACTTTGCTAAGCTCAGATACTGTAAATACCCTCCTCTCCTCTCATAACGTTAAATTTTTCATGAATTCATCATAAAGGAGCCACTTTGTAGATTTGGCTGGTACCAGTGAAAGACTTCATTTTCTATTTCACAGGAACTTTTCAGTGCAAAAAAAATTACGGGTGCAATGTTGAAAGACTAGAATTATTCATCAAGTCTTCACTGCCTGCAAATGAAGAGAATTTTTCTAAAGCCTATCTGGGAGAATGCAGACACAGACATGCATATTTTAGATGGTGCTTCATCTTCACCGTAGCCACCTTATCTTTCTCAGAAGAGTCAGGAGTAAGAGAGGATATGTGCTTTCTTATTGTTTTGTGGATTCATTCAAGAGTTCACAACAGCTCACACATTTCCCCCTTACCTTCCAGTGTACCTGGAACTCACCAATGCACCGAAGAAGAGAATATTTCCTTGAATTACGCATTGATAGAAGTACCAATAGCTTTGTATGATAAAATGCAGTGGTTCTCAGACTTTGACATGCATCCGAATCCTCTGGTGGGCTTATTCAAACACATGCAAGGCCTCATGCCAAGATTTTCTGATTCAGTAGATGTGGGTTGAGGCCCGGGAATGTGTCTTTTTAGAAAGGTGATGGTGCTAATGCTGCCTGTACAAGGACAACACTCTGAGGAACACTAACATAATGAAAAGAATTTAGAAATCAGGAAACCTTGGTTTTAGTCCTGAGTCATCTACCAATGATGGATCTGTGGCCAAGTCCCTGGGCCTCAAGAGTAGTGACTCCTGCACTATGTGAACTAGTGTTACTTTGAGAATAAAACCTGAGGGTGTGCAAAAGAACACTCAGCACTCAGGGCTCTAGAGGGACTTGAAATGTTATAATTACAGGCATGAGGAGAGTTGAAGGAAAACAAATGGAAGAAGTTTTAAGATGCATTCATTCTGTCAAGTCCAAGCAGAGAATGGCCGGCACTCAACTGCTATGCTAAGAAGGGGCCAGCGAAGATGGGAAGAGTTAGGTAGTTCCCCCATTCTGTGACCTGGCTCTGAAAAAGTCAGATACTCTGCTTTATTCATGTTCTATATGATATAGCCAGGCCGTGTTAGAGCAGTGGTCCTCAAACTTTCCTGTGATTCAGAATTAACCTGGGACATTAGGTAAATACACAAAGGCCCAAGCTCTTTCCTACTTCAAGGAGCCTGGGCCTTGGGGTGATTCTGATACACTCCAAAGTTTGAGAATGACCGAATCTGTGCTGATAACTGTAAAACCATATCCTGATAACCTGTGAAGGAACTGAATGCCCTAGACAGTTTTCTCAGCCTTGTCTGCACATTGGAATCCCCTGCAGAGCTTTTAAATCCCACACGTACAGGCCACCATCCAGTCCTGTTGTATCTGAATCTCTGGGGGTGAGGCCCTGGTATCAGTACCTTCTTACAGCGCCTCAGTAATTCACATTTGCAGCCAAGGCTGAGAAGCAAGCACTGATTTAGAAAGAGTCCCCTGTCACTGTCCTCAGCAAATATGTTTTGTTTGTGTTTTGTTGGCTTGTCTCTTTCCCATATCATGTGGTGAGAATATTGAGGCCATTTCTTTGTGCCCAGAAACCAACACAGTGCCTCACTCTGTGTTTTAGATGCTCAGAACATGTTGGTTATTTGAATGAATATTTCAAGGTATTTGAATGTTGAATTAATGAATATGCAAATAAAATACAACAAAACTCACCGCAGAAGTCCCCTACATTGAACTGTTTTGTGTAAGCACAACCCGTTGTGGAGTTCAGGCCCTCACAATAAGAGAGTATTTATTGAATAATTTGCAGAATCACAATCACGGAGTATCTGTTGAATAATCTGTAAAACTGTTATCAACCCCAACTATAACTTACTCTTCCAGGTGAGATGAGGAGTCGGGGAAACATTTGCCTGGCAGAGTGTTAAGAATGCTAAAAAATAATAACAATAAAAATAAAAAAATAAAAAGCAGCAAATTAAGACATATTTGACACCTACTACGTGGCATACATTTTCATTTGTTCTCACTGAATCTTCACAGCAAACTTGCATTCTCTCTGTTTTTTTCTGAGGGAAGAAATGGCAAAAGCAAATCGCCTGTGTTGGGAAGCACAGGGGAGTTTGTTGGACCCCAGAGCTTGAGTTCTTTTCCAGTATTTATTTTGCTGCCATTCAGAGCTTCCCTAGCCACCCCTGCTGCTTCCCTGACCTGCTCCTGCATGGCTCACCAATGGATCCTAGTCACACCAGCCCCCACAGAGTGCTTCCTGACTTCTCCAGTGAAGTTTCCCCCGGGAAATTCTCACTGGCCCATGATTTGATTGCCTGACCACCTTCAAAACGGGTTAGATAACTCATAGTATGCTATGCTAACCATGTTAAAAAGCTTATTCTCATAGCTTTGCAATGGCTTCTTTGTATGACTGTTCCTCGCCCTAGACAGAAGGCTTCTTGAGGGCAAGAATGGTTTCTTGCCTATCTTTATATTCCCTTTGCCTAGTGTACTTCCTAGCCCATTGGAGAGACTCAGTTTTTTCTAAGGAATGAATGACAGCAGAAACTCATCCATGATGAGCAAGGACCTCCTGAAACATTTCAGCATGTGTGCATGTGTTGTGCTTCAGAATATTTTAGAAACATTTTCCAGATTTAATTGAGGCTTCTGGGAAGCCTTGCTGTGTTCTTCCTTGCAAAAAATAGAAGGTCGTTACCAGGAAGTCTCAGTGTACCATATTTATCTGGTGAGTTTTGAAAATACTGAGTAATGGGACTAATGACTCAACATAGTATTTTCCAAACTGTGAGGTAATCTTTGGACTTTGCAAGATTATTATATTAAGTGTACTTTTTAGTCTGTCAGTAAAAAATAAAAAGCCTGTATTTTCACATTAGAATTCAAAGAACATCTGCTGCGTATTGTAAATAACATATTTTGAAAACCAACTGATGCATACTCAGCCTGCCTCCGCTTGCTAACTATAGCAGGTCCTTAAGATAAGATTCAGTTTGCCATTGGTACCGCTCTTGCTTTGACATTCCACTGTTTGGTGAACCACCGTTTTCCAGAAATCTTTAGACACCATTCAACCCTCTAAACAAACTGAGTACAGTGAGGTTTTCAGCTTCCTGTTTTCTAGTGGGATTAGAAAGGGACCCTATTCCTAGATGATGATGTGTTTTTCAAGGAGTTAAACTTAGAGAGGTTTTCTACTGGGGCCATTTCTTACCCCCAAGGACATGCATCCTCTGGCTGGAAGCTCAGCTCTTACTGCCTTGCAGAGAGCCACCAGTTGCCACAGGCAACCGACTGCTCCCGACAGGAAGGGTAGTATTGATTTTGCTGGTCTGCCTGTAGGGGAGCGGGCCAAAGAGGAATGCTCAGAGGGGCTCCTCTGTCTGGGGTGTGCATTTGCACAGCAGCCCCATTCATGTCCTCCAGCCTGTATCTCACCTCCTCGGGAGACTGAAAAACTCAATCAGCTTTTCCCTTGTTCCTTCTCAGTTTGTCTTGTTAGCACTCTTTCTTAGCAAGTAAGCACCATATGTCTTCTATGGGAACTTGTTTTCAGGAGATTCCCAGCGCATGTGTGCTGGCTGGGAAGAGAGGAATTGGTGTTTTACTAACCAGCAGCGCTTGCCAGAGTGCCCGCTTTTGAGTCCTGCCCTTCCTGCTCATCTGCCCCATGGTCTAGTTTGTCCTGGACACAGTATTTCACTGGATCTTACTGGGGTCGCAGAAAATTGCCTGGCTTGTGAGGGATTTTTCTGAACCAAAGAGAGAGCCTGTGTGGATGCCTCTCTGTGGTTCCTCATTATCCTGGGTAGTCTGTGTCTCACAAGCACCTGTTCATTGATCTGGTCCTCTGTCCTTGCGAAGACGATAGCACATACTGATTATAGGGGCTCTATGTGATGTTATTGGGCTTCCTTGCTCTTAGCCAGCCACCCATGCCAAAGCATGCAGCTGATATGTTCTGCTTTTGAAATAATTTGGTTTCTGTAACACGAAGCCCACCACCCCCCTTTCAACCTTTAATACCTGTCTTCTTTGAAAGCCAGCTTGTTGAGCATCCAATTTGTCTCTTTTCTTCTTCACTTTCCCCCAGTTTCCTTGCACTCAGGCTGTCTTTTATCAAAAACAGAGAGTGAGCCAATGACACCTCATGGCAAGCAGCAGCATGAAGCATTTTCTTCTTTCACCTTGACATCTTTTCGGCAAAGAAAAAGCAAGGGTTGGGAACCTGCTCTATTCACTTTGGCTTCTACAGCTACCTCTTTTAAAACTGCTGGTTGTTATTGCCTGGTAGCTGTCTCCCTGAAGGTTTTACCAGTTGTTTTGGAAGGCTGGCTATTTTCTATTCCCTTGGGAATTCACCTTACACAGTCATAGATGCATGTGTTATGTGTATTTGTGTTCATATGCTATCAATTAGTAATGAAAAATCAGGCCAAGCCTCTTTGGTACTTTTTTTTCCCCTACAGATGAGTAGTCAGTGTTCATAATAACTGCCAAAACTTATCTTGAGTTTCCTGAGTGCCATGGTCTCATGTCATTCTTACAACAACTTTTTGAAGTAGTCCCCATTTTACAGATGAGAACACTGATGCTTGACAGGTTATGCACCATAGTGGAGCTAAGACTTGAATGCAAAGATTCTGCCTTGAAAGCCCAGGCTATTCAAAGATTAACTGGATTGCCTGGGCCTGATACGGTATCTCTCAGTCACTCATTTGAACTTTGCCAACCATAGTCCTAAATGCCCAATGCTTATCCTTGGAAAGGCTAGATATCAGCAAACATGAGATGAGTTGAAAATAATCTTTGTTCTGAAGTTCTAAGGGATAAGACGCATTGCTACCAACATATGTGGCCTATTAAATGATGATTCTCAGTGGCACAGAGGAGATTGACCACTGTGGTGGGGAAGGTGGGGCAAGGACTGAGAGAGAGTGGGGGACAGTTCTGTTATAGCCCAAGGTGATAAAGGAGTTGTGATAATCACTGGATTGATAATCACTATTCTAGAACCATAGTGTTCCCCTAATCATAAAAGCTACTATTAGCCACGTGTTGTGGCTCACGCCTGTAATCCCAATGCTTTGGGAGGCCAAAGTGAGAGGATCGCCTGCAGCCAGGAGTTTGAGACCAACCTGGACAATATAACAAGACCCTGTCTCTTAAAAAATGTAAATAAATAAATAAATGTTTAAAAGCCACTAGTAAGTGAACACATACTATATTTCTGGCATTGAACTATATGCTTTCATTTAATCATTCTCATTACCCTATAAGAAGATACTGTTATCTCATTTTTTCTCTGTAAAATGAGATTTCTCTGTAAAATGATTCTTAGTGGCATAGAGGAGATTGACCACTGTGGTGGGGAAGGTGGGGCAAGGACTGAGAGAGAGTGGGGGACAGTTCTGTTATAGCCTAAGGTGACAAAGGAGTTGTGATAATCACTGGATTGATAATCACTATTCTAGAACCATAGTGTTCCCCTAATCATAAAAGCTACTATTAGCCAGGTGTTGTGGCTCACACCTGTAATCCCAATGCTTTGGGAGGACAAGGTGAGAGGATCGCCTCTCACCAAGTTTCAGAGAGGTTATCCTGGCTCAAACTTGCCACATCTTAAGTGAAAAAAAACTTAGACTTGAACCCAAATGTGTTTGTCTTCAAAGCCTATGCTCTATTCTTTCCTAATTATCAGCGTCTTTTTGCCCATTGTGATATTTAATCAGAATCATTATCATTAATAGCTCATCCAACTGATAAAGGAAGGAAATAAATGAATTTTGTATTTGTGGACCAGAGTATGTGATTGAGCTGAGTATGCAAAGATTTGGTCCCCTGGTCTACTGGATGATCTTTTCACAAGTGATCTCAGTTAGCTGCCATGTGCTTAACATAGGTTGAAAGTTAGTTGACAGCTTTGCTTCACTGAGGATTGTTTCCAGAATTATCAGTGCTTAGTGACTTTGAAGATAAACATGGATTACAGGTTCAAGGAGCCTACGAGAGTCAGAAGAGTTGGGAATGTGTTCCCAACTCTTTAACTAGCTGTACAGATCTGGGAACTGCACTTAACTCTATTCAACCTCAGCTTTTCTATCTGAACATCATGTTAGGTAATTCCAAGATATGTTTTAGCTCTGAATGATAATTGCTGTTTACCGTCAAGCCTGTTTGTTTTACACATACAGAAAAACACTCTTAACCCATGAAGTATGTAGTTAATTGAGAAAGTTAAAGGAAAAAGTCATAAAGAAGAAAATATGCTATCTACACTTAATTTTTAAAAGCAGCTTTATTGTGGTGTAATTGACATATGATAAGCTATGTATATTTAAAGTGTACAATTTAATAAGTTTTGATCAAAGTACCCACTCATGACACCATCACCACAGTCAAGATAATGAGCATCTTCATTCATTACTCCACAGGTCCCCATCTCCTTTGTGGTCCCTTCCTCCTGCCCATTCACCCAGCCCCTGCCACATATACAAAAAAACAACTGCTAAGCTACCTGATATACCTTCTGTCACTATGGATTACTATTCATGTTTAGAGTATTATATAACTGTAATCTTATAGCGTGTATACTTTTTTGTGCTCTCACATTCTGTATAATTATTTTGAGATTTTTTTTTTTTTTTGGAAACAAAGTCTCTTTCTGTCACCCAGGCTGGAGTACAGTGGCACGATCTCAGCTCACTGCAACCTCTACCTCCCGGGTTCAAGCCATCCCCCTGCCTCAGTCTTCAGAGTAGCTGGGATTACAGGTGTATACCACCACACCCGGCTAATGTTTGTATCTTTAGTAGAGATGGGGTTTTGCCATGTTGGCCAGGCTGTTCTCGAATTCCTGACTTCAAGTGATCCACCCACCTCAGATGCCCAAAGTGTTGGGACTACAGGTGTGAGCCACTGCACCTGGCCTATTTTGAGATTCATCTATATGGCTGCATGCATTGAGGCCATTTCTTTCTTTCGCTGAGTAGTGTATGGATATACCATAATTATTTACCTTTTCACCTACTGATGGACGTCTGGGTTGTTTACAATTTTTGGTTATTACAAATAAAGCTGCTGTGAACATTCACATACAAGTCTTTGTATGGACATATATGTATTTGAATCTTAAGGAAGTATCTAGGAGTAGAATGGCTGGAACTGGTAGGTATATGTTTAATGTTTTACAAAAATGTCAAACTGTTTTCCAGAGTGGTTGTACCGTCTTACATTTCCACCAACCGTGTATAAGAGTTCCACCTCCTCACATCTTCACCAACACTTTGTATGTCTTTTCATTTTAGCCATTCTTTTATTATTTTTTTTTTTTTGAGATGGAATTTTGCTATTGTTGCCCAAGCTGGAGCTCAATGGCACGATCTCGGCTCACTGCAACCTTCACCTCCCAGGTTCAAGCGATTCTTCTGCCTCAGCCTCCCGAGTAGCTGGGATTACAGAGGTGTGCCACCATGTCTGGCTAATTTTTTGTATTTTTAGTAGAAACAGGGTTTCACCATGTTAGCCAGACTGGTCTCGAACTCCTGACCTCAGGTGATCCACCTGCCTCGGCCTCCCAAAGTGCTGGGATTACAGGCATGAGCCACCGAGCCCAGCCTCATTTTAGCCATTCTAATACACATGCACTAGTGTCTACTTGTGGTTTTAATTTTTGTTTTTCTAATGACTACTGATATTGAGCATATTTTCATGTGTTTGTTTTCCATATGTATATCTTTTTGGGTAAACTTTCTATATAAATCTTTTGCCCATTTTTAACTTAAATTCTTTGTTTTCTTATTGTGAGTTTGAGATTATATATGAAAAAATATTGTTTAAGAAATAATCTAAAATAAAAATAAATATATTCTTTTATTTATTTACATATGTATACAACTCCTTACATGTATGTACACACACACACACACACACACATTCTGCAAAGATTTGCTCCTAGTTTGTGGGTTCTTTTCATTTACTTAACAGTATCTTTCAAGGAGTAGAAATTTTTAATTTTGATGAAGCCCAATTAATTAATTTATTCTTTTATGTGTTGTGTTTTTGGTATTATAGTTTTGCCTAACTCAAGGTTAAAAGATTTTCTCCTATGTTTTCTTATAGAAGTTGCACAATTTTAGTGTTTAAATTTCAGTCTCCAATTTCTGAGTTCATTTTTGTATATGATGTGAGTTCATTTTTGTATATGATGTGACTTCAATTTTGTATATGGTATGAGGTATAGATTCAAGTTTGTTTGTTTGTTTGCTTATGGATATTAAAGTGTTCCCGCACTGCTTATTGAAAAGGTTATGCATTCTCTACTGCATTGCCTTTGCACTTTTGTTCAAATTCTGTTGTTCACATGTATGTGTTTATTTCCTCACCCTTTACTCAGTTCCACTGATGTAATTTTCTGTCTTTATGCCAATACCACATCATTTGGTTACTACAGCTTTATGATATGCTTGAAATCAGGGAATGTTAGCCTTCCAACTTCTTTTCCAAATTGTTTTGGTTATTGTAGGTTTATATATTTCCATATGAATTTTAGAATCAGCTTGTCAACTTGTATGGAATCTATAGCTCACTCTGAGGAGAATTAATACCTTATTGAGTCAAACCATGAACAAAGTATTTTTTCATTTATTTAGATCTTCTTTCATTTCTCTTAGCAATATTTTGTATTTTTTAATGCACAGGTCTTTCACATATTTTTTGTGTGATCCCTAGTTTTTTATATTTTTTGATGTTATTGTAAATGATAACATTTTTAAAATTTAAATTTTTGATTGTTGCTAGTACAGTTTATTTTTGTATATTGATGTTATATTAAATTATGATAAATGCACATACTATTATAGTTCTAGTAGCTTTTTTATAGATTCTCTTTGATCTTTCTACATAGATAGTTATTATGCCTGCAAATAAAGACAGTTTAACTCTTCCTTTTCAATCTGGATTACTATCTCTTTTCCTTGTTGATTCACTTTTAGAACCTCCAAAACAATATTTAATAGAGGTGAGAGTGGATATTTCTGTTCTTAGGGCAAAAGCATTCAGTTGTTCACCATAAGTATGATGTTTCCTTTGGGATTTTCATATATAGCCATTTTCCGTTTGAAAAAGTTCTTTTCTAATCCTGGTTTTCTGATTTTATCAGGAATGAATGTTTGATTTTTGTGTGTGTTTTTTGATGCTTTTTCTGCAACTATGAAGAAAATCATATGGTCTTTCTTTTTTTTTTTTTTTTTTCTTTTTGAGACAGGGTCTTGCTCTGCCACCCAGGCTGGAATGCAGTGGTGCGATCATAGCTCACTGCCTCCTTGAACTCCTGGGCTCAAGTGATTCTCCTACCTCAGCCTCTCAAATAGTTGGGACCACAGGCATGCACCACTATGCCTGGCTGATTTTTTTTTCTTTTTTTGTAGGAACAGGTTCTCCCTAGGTTGCCCAGGCTGGTCTCAAACCCCTGGATTCAAGCGATCCTCCTACCTTAGCTTCTCAAAGTGCTGGGATTATAGGCATGAGCCACCACACCCAGCCAGGTCTTCCTTTTTTAGTGTGTGACTATGGTGAATTATATTCATAGATTTCCAATATTACGCCATTCTATGTACATTGTACATACATTGCTAAGGTCTTTTTTTTTGCTTATGGGTTTGCTTTTTAGAGCTCTGTATCATCTTTCTTATATAAATTCTCATCCATAATGCATTCTCTACATTCTCAGTTTCAGTTTAAGTGGAGGCAGATCTTGGACACTTGTCAAGTTTTCAAGTCCTCTAGGTTTAAGATTTGTTTTGTTTTGCCAGTCTTTTATAATTTCCTTGTCCACACCTAAGTGGATAGCAGTTTATCTTTAAGTTTCTCACCTTTAGTGAGTGTCTAAAACACTCTTGTTTGGTTTGAGAGAAGCAACAATTATATGTCCATATTCATAGTTCAGCAATGAAGGTAATTATTAATTAAACGATATAATTGTAATACCCAGCACAACTGGGTAAAAAAATAAAATAAAATAAAATAAAATAAAAATAAATAAAAACTTGGGATGGATTACAGCTGAGTGTTGGTAAGCATACAGCCCAGTGGAGGAGAGCAGAAGTGTGTAGACTAGAGAATAGCCAACTAGACTCAGATTTAGTGTGCGGTGGTAAGCTATTCAGAGAGTGGAAACAATTAGTTACTCCAGGGAATTACAGAAATGGAAACTAATAGAGCTTCTGTAATTCTCTTTCATTCCTATAAACAGTATTCCCTTCCTTCAGCAACCAGTGGGCAAAGGTCCAGAGGTCACCTTCTATACGAGGAACACAAACTAGTCAGCACTGAATTATCCTCACAATTAGAAAAACACCTGTGACCAAGTGTGGATCCTTGCAATGGGCTTTAACTATACCTGTAGCAAATATATGGAAGAACCCTGGATTTAGAGTCAAGTGAGCCTGGGTTTGAATAGCAATGACTGTCTCTGTGTTGTTGAGCAGCCTTGGGAAAATTAGTACCTCAGAGGGTCATCTCAAGGAATAAGTGATAGAACATGTATGAGACAGACACAGAGTTGTAGGTATGCCTTGTGTGTGGTTTGGATCCTTGTTGCAAGATGTTTACACTATCTAGAGTGGTGTGTTCTACCCAACCATATGATCCTCCTGCCCAAAAAGTTCCCTAGCTCTAGCCTGTCGCAACATTTGATGCAAATGGAGAAGGAAGGACATTGAAGGCAGAGAAAACAGTTTGACCGAGGTTAGGTGGCAAGGAAGGAGAAAGCATACATGGGAAGATGTGAGCAGTCAGGATTGGGCACAAGGTTCATGCTGAGGTAGGGGGGCAGACAAGCTGAAAAGTCGCCTGATGTGCGACCATGCCAAGCCGTGAAGATTGGCTGGATTCTCTCACCTCTCCCCTCACACCTTATATAGGAGGTTGGTAAGCAAGGAGAGTCACTGAAACTTTTCTTTTTAAGGGAACGCCATGGTGAGAGCTGTGCCAGGGATTCTCAAACCTTGACTGTATCAGAATCACCTGGGAGCTTGTTAAAAAATACATATACCTTGGGCCCCACCCAGACTTACTCAATCCTAATCTATAGGTTTGGGTCAAGGCATCTGTATTTTTAACAAGCTCCCTAGGCAATTCTAATGCACGCCAAAGTTGAGAAACCACTGCTTTAGAAGGTTAATCTGGCAGCAGCGTACAAGATGGATTGGAGCTGAGAGAGCCTGGAGGTTCAGAGACCTGCTTGCAACAACAATCCCGGCAGGAGATAATGAGGTTAGGGGCTGTGGGAATGGAAAGGAAGAATCAGATATGGGAGGTATTTTTGAGAGGCAGTCAGCAAGGACTGGGCAACGAATTTGATGGGGAATGTGAGGGAGAAATGGGACTTAACAAATAATGTCAAGGTTTAGAGAAGCTGCTCTCCATGGCATGAAGGGAGAGGTAACAGAATCCCCTGGGGACCTTAGTCAAATTGCACACACCTGCTCCCCTTTCTGTGCTCATCCTCCACATCTTCCTCCTTCCCTGCAAGTTCCCTGAGATGTGTGCCAGGATGGGGCATATCAGCTCCTCCTGGGGAAGCCTGCATGTGTAGTTTGAGGGGGAAACTTTTCCAGGTGACACTTCTGTTGCAAGCCACTTGTTAGGCATCTTTGAGCCTGTGAGAATAGTGGTGTGGTGAGATTAGGAGGAAGGAGGGACCAAGCTGGAGCTGACCACAGGACATGAAATAACCTTTGGAGGCTGTGGAAATGTGAGTTCAGAGCTGTGGAGCAAGAAGTGGGCTGTGATATAAATTCAAAAGGCCACTGCATGGAGGTCATGGTGAAGACAGATGAGACCGTGGAGAGTAGAGAGGAAAGGATCCAGAATGAAGCTTGAAGAAGGCCTACGGTTAGGAGTCATATGCAGATGAAGGGTCAAAGAAGAGCAGGCTGCAGAGGTGGGAGGAGACTGCTTCTGCTTCAAGGCCAAGGCATGAGGCAGACATCTAGAAAGATCTGCAAACAGGAGGGCAGAACTCTAGCTCCTCTGCCATCCTTCCACCAGCGTGATTTTGTGCAGGAAGCAGTCCAGTCCCCCAGGAGTATGTGGCACAGTCATGTAAAGGGGTTAACGCTGTATAGGACCACACATTTGAAAATTTTCTTTACAAAATCCAGTGTCTTTTGAGCTGATGTACCAGAGACTGACAGGCTGTAACTTCTTACACTATTCCCCCCAGGTTTCTGATCAACTCATAACCTTCTATACACATTTTTGGCCCAGCACAGCCAAATGTAAGGTATTAAAAATCATTATAGTGCTTTGGGGTCCTTGCTCCCCGCAAAGTTCCAGACATGCTGCCTGTATTTTGTGATGTCACACTGTGAAAATAGGATGTTGTGTTTTGGAGGCACCTCCAGGGTGCCCAGCAATTGGCACATCTTAAGTGAAAGAAAACAAATTGAGTGAGCAACAGTAGAAAAGAAGGACATTTGTATCAACCCAGGAAATAAAGAATTACGCAGAGATGCTATTTATGCTGCTATGAAGCTGTGACTTGATAGGGACAGCATAAAGGTTGCCCACTCCTGACATTGGCAAGACTTCAGGCTGACCAGAGCCACTCCACTGAAGTGGGGTCAGCTGTCTCAGAAGGTGCTCTGTGAAGCTGACGCAGAATCACAGTTTGCTGTAAAAAGGGCTTACACATGTAAAACCTTGTATTTTGTCTTAGAAGTATCCTGGAAGCTATCGCATTTTCTTAGTAGAGACACAGAGGCATCAAGTAATAAAGAAACGATTCCAAGGTTCCAGACTCCTGGGTAGTTGGGCAGGAGACTCAACCTAGAGTTCTGGTTTGTAGGGTACAGAGAGAAAGGCTTGCATGCGGGAAGAGCACATTTAAGAATCACTTGGGGATGGGCGTGGGTTAGATTCCAGTCTGTTGCTTCTTAACTGTGTGACCTGGGGCCATTCATTTGACCTTTCTGAGCTTCAGTCTCCAATTGTAAAGGGCAGAAAATCATATTTACCTCCTGAGAGTAGTTTCAAGAATTAAGGATGAAGGCACCATTACAGCGCTTGGCATGAAGTTGATCCCCCCAAATCGATGCCCATCATCATAATTACTGGGTTTTTCCCCAGTCGTCTGAACACTCATGTACTCCCCTGGATGCACGCAAAGAGACACTGCTGTTTTCCTTTGGCATCCCTAGTTTGGATTTTAAATGCTTTTTTCCTCATTAAAATAATGTTATAGCTGGAAGGAGCTTAGGTGCAGTTGAAATAATACTGTTACGAAGGTCTGTCCTTCAAGGCATTTATAAACTGAATGGGACTTTTTGAGTGGGCCTGGACACCAGGATTTTACGGGAAAGGTACCCTAGCCCCCTTTTTTACAAGTGAACTTTTATTAAGCCACCAGCTCTCAGAACTTGCAGAATTGCTGGAAAATTGCCTTGGGCAGGGTATGTAATCACAAAATGAATAAAAGACAACAGGATGTGAGTCTTTCCAAAGCATGGGAATAGCACACTGCAACTTCTTGCCATCCCTACCCTGGGCAAAGATGCAGCTAACCAGCTACATTGATACTTGGAATTAAGTCAGGAGGCTTGGCCAGGGGCCCCCACCATTCCACACCTTGGGCCTGACTGCCACTCTCAGTACAGGTTGCTAATTTAAATGCCATCTCCTGGCACTGCATGTTGAAACAAACTGGAAAATAGCAGGGCCTTTCCTTCATCAGATCATCAATGTCTGCCTGGCGTCTGCCTGCCTACTGTGGCCAACAACCTGCCTTCCTGTGAGCATCCTCCAATGTACAAATACCTCAAGGACTCCTGACCTCTGGGATTTCATGGCTCCTGTCCATTCTTCTCTCATTCTCTTAGCAAAAGAAATTACTTAAGAATGGGTGAGGGATGGAGACATCTCTCAGCTCCCTATGGGGTCTTCTTTCCTGAACAAACTGAGCAGAGCCGCAAAAGAATACATAAGGAAGGCTTGGCAGAATGTTTTGATACAAAATTCATTACAGGTTTGTTTATGTGCTGGGCAGTTTGGGTCCTCTTACACGTGTGTAGACACTGCATTCCTTCTGGTTCAAGTTTTGTGTTTAGAGAGAGGTTTTGGAAGGAGATCAAAGATGTCAGATTGCTGGCCTAATTCTTAAAAGAACTGATTTGGGGAAAGGCTTGAAAACATTCATACCCAGGTTTGAAAACAAGAAGTAGCAATGAGTCCAGAAAGCTTGGTGACATGGATAACAGTATATTTTTAAGAAAAAGAGAATTTGAATGTCTTCTGCACACCTTATCCGTCCCTAATCTCCATATCTTCCATATGTATTTTTCTTGTTTTATAACACTGTCTAAGACTCGAGTGTAAAATCCATCATCCATCACCCAACCCTCACTTTTGAGTGGGCAGAGGGTGTTGTGGAGGTGACTGGAATTCATTGGGGTCATATCTAAGCATGAGTTAAGAGATCTATCTGGGACTTTGTCTTCTTTCATGTTTTTTCTTCCTTCTTTACAGTACACCGTCAATAGAGATTGCTGGCTTGTCATCCAGTTTCCTAAATTTCCTGACTTCTGCCTTGTCTGGCCTTTATTCCTGTCTATATCTCTCTGGCTTCAAGGTGATAAAAATGCTCACATTTTCTTAGGAAATATTCAGTTGTATTCTCTTTGTTGTGAAGGCTCCTTTGTCCACTCCGTCTCCTCCATTTAGGGGAGGTTTTCAGGGATAATTAGTGAACTCAGAGGGATATGATGTACCTTTTCAAATCAGGGTCTACTTCCAGTTTTTCAGGTTTGTTTTAAAGTGTGTGGCTCAGGCATAGAGAGCAGCGGTTATTTGGACACCTGGAGTTACTTGGCTTTGCTACCCACTACCTTTTAATGTGAAGATACCTCATTGCATTGCTCTGCATATGTGCAGAGGAAATTTGGGGGGACCCTGTTCACCTTTGGCATATCTTGATAGTTGTATGTGCCTGCTTGTTGTTGTTGTATATTGCTACAGCAATATGGCTCATCATCTTTCTACCTAAGAAGATACAGGGGAAAAGAAAACACTGCCATAATCAAAACTACAGAAATGGGTTTCATAAGCATTTTCTCTAACTACTGCGTCTACCCAGATCCAATAGGAATGGGAGGGCATTGGCATCGTTAGAAACCGGGGCAAAAGTTCCTGCTGCAATATAAAATCTATAGATTACGCTTGGAATCAGTGGAAACCATTGCCCTTTATGCCAGCTGCTTCCTGAAGGAGCCAAGAAAAGTGTATAGTTCAGGGGAAATGCAAATATAAGCTCCCTCCTACCTATAGCAGGAAATTAGAAACCTCTTTGGTTAGCACAAACAGATTATGATTTTTTTGCAAGAGAGAACAGGAGAGAGGAAAGATACTTGAGGTGGCATTGTATACCATAAAGCTATATTTATGTGCTAAGACAAGCAATTGATGTTGTTCTATAAAATATAGTAAACACCTCCTCCCTGCCCTTTTGAATGTCAGTCAGAATTCAGAATCATGAAATTTTATAGTATTACTGGTTAGAAGGGCTTCCCACTGGGAGCAGATGCCATCTCTGTCTTCATAGACTCAGAGAAAGTCCTGACATGTTTCATGGCGTTCGTACGTGGAAGTCTGTGAAATGGAAAGGAAAACAGCTTTTTCTGTCAACCTGTCACTGATACAAGCTTTTACATTCCATCAGAATGACTAAACTTTAAAGCTGTTTTCTTCAGTGCTGAGTATCTCTCAGAACTCCCAAGTGTTATCAGATTGATAGAGTCCCAGCATATGATAGAAGACCAAAGCATTTTGTGGCATGATATTAAAAATTCATTCAAATACTCGATAAAGCGTGGTTGACAAAAGTGTGAAATGGAATAAGGTAGAGTGAATTTCTTCATGGTTTATTGCCCTTGATTTCTCTCCACAAAATAAATAGACAGAATGGACTAAAATCTCTTCTTTATGAAGGTGGGATCCTGGCAGCTGAAGGCCTGCTCATAAAAATCCTCTCCGTGCCACATACCCTTGCAATGTTCAAAGTTGGAAGCAATGGAAATTTATTGCTGTTATATGTATTCATGTTTCAGACTGAGTGAATAGGTAGGGGATGCTTTTATGAGGTTGCTGAGACCCTGTGAAGAATAGAGAAATAAAACACACTTGTTTTTCCCTTGAAGCTTGTTTTTTTCTAGGGGGGATTGGTGATTTTAGTAATTATAGTGGTATTGGCAATTCATGGTGGTGGTGGCGGCCTGGTGGCAGTCCTCCCCCTGAAGGTATTTAAAAGAAAACACTCTTTTCACGGTCTCCCCTTCCTGCCTGCCATCTTGTTTTGAAAGAGAAGCATAAAATAGCAAATCTTTAAAGCCACTGCAAGCCAAGCCTGTGTTTTCATCTGTCTCCCTCCCTTGCCAGGCCTCCCTCTGCCTTTCTGACCTGCCACCCCCTTCCTTCCTTCTGTCCCTCCCTCCTCTCAGAGGACATGGGGAGTGAGAGGCTTCCCCCTGTTTCCCTGCAATGGTGGGACAGAATGCCTCATTGGTTTCAGATATTAACTTCTGTGCTGAAAACCCGGTTGGAGCTGGTGTGACAAATGGATTGTACCTGCTGCTGGAAAACACAGCCCTGTCCCACCCGCCTGCACACACAAGCCCTCTTCCCCATCTTGCAGAGCCCAACCTAGGGAGCAGGGAACAGAGAGCTGCCCCGCGGCACCATCTGTTTCTGCCAGCATCTATGTTGGGCCCCGCCGGTTACATCTGTTGAGAAGAACAGTGTACTTGATGAGTTGTTGGAAAGAAATGTTTAGTCTCCCCCATCATCTCTGTTAGCCATTACGAGGCTGCTGGGCTCACGTGGGTGTATCTATGTGTGCTTCCTCTCAGGCCTCATCTGTATCAATTGGAAATCAGTCACTGGGAGTTAGTTGCAGTCAGCAGGGACCCAAGGCATTTCCCAGTGACATCAATTCGTCTTCTCTTGCAGAAATTCAGGAAACAATTAAAATTCTGATGCGTTCCAGGGAGGATTTCAAATAAATCAGCCGATAGCTGATATCTTGTAACTCTTGGTAGCAAAGCAAAATTAACAACCCAGCCGCATCTGTGTACAGTATGCTAAAATAAAGAAATTAACCATGCATCACCTCCAATAGAGGAAGCAGCTGGCCTGTTCTCAACCTTCCCATAAGTACCCAAAACCTACTGATTTGTTAAGTTGTCATTCTCCTTATGGACATCAAGGACTTCCTGCATATGCCAAAAACTGAGCTGGCCAAATAATCGGTAAGTTGCGGAAAATCCAGGCACCGATTAAGCTCAGTTATAACTCCCATGTTATGCAGAGGAAAGCTGACATTTTGAGGCGGACCCAGTTGATAGCTGCTGAGGAGGTAATACAGGATGCAAGTAGGTTTGGCAGCAGGTTTAGCCAGAATTTTGTCAGAATTTGAAGATTTTGGAATCATAATCAGATAGCCAGTATTTTCTCTCTCCCCTCAAACCAAATGCATTGTGCAAGAACTTGTGTTAATTATCCCTGTTAATTACAGTGATACCACCTCAGCTTTTCCAGGCTCTTTTTTGCAGCTGTCTTTGTGGTGATTTCTTGTCTTACCACTTGCTGACCAATGGAACTCACCATTCTTGCTAGGTTCTCTTAAAAAGCAGCATAACAAGAACCGGTCGGGAGTATGTTCCCTTGAAAAATAAAAATCTCAGCATCACACCCAAGTAAAAGCCATGTGCCTTATTGAAGTTCTAAGTCTATAGTGTGTTTGTGTACATGCCCGTCACATAAAGTGATTGTTTATTAGTTTCAGTGGATTTTTTTCCTAGAAAGATGCATAAAATTTTAAAGTAAAAAGAATATAGTGAGCCAGGTGGGGTGGCCCACACCTGTAATCCCAGCACTTTGGGAGGCTAAGGTAGGAGGATTGCTTGAGCCCAGGAGTTCAAGACCGACCTGGGCAACAAAATGAGACCTCGTCTCTACAGAAAAGTCAAAAAATGGGCCGGGCGTGATGGCTCATGCCTGTAATCCTAGCACTTTGGGAGGCCAAGGCGGGCGGATCATGGGGTCAGGAGATCGAGACCATCCTGGCTAACACGGTGAAACCCCGTCTCTACTAAAAATACAAAAAATTAGCCAGGCGTGGTGGCAGGCGCCTGTAGTCCCAGCTACTCGGGAGGCTGAGATAGGAGAATGGCGTGAACCCGGGCGGCAGAGCTTGCAGTGGGCCGAGATCGCGCCACTGCACTCCAGCCTGGGCGACAGAGCGAGACTCCATCTCAAAAAAAAAAAAAAAAAAGTCAGAAAATGAGATGGGAGGATCGCTTGAGCCCAGGGTGTTGAGGCTACAGTGAATTGTAATCGCACCACTGCACTCCCACCTGGGTGACAGAGCGAGACCCTGTGGAAAAAAAAAAAAAAGAATACAGTGGCTGGAAAACAAAACATCACTTGAAAATTTTCCCACCTTTTAAATTCCCAGCACTGGGAAGGAAGGGGTCTGGTATGGTAGTGATCGTAGGGTCAGCTCAGGAAATGGTTCATAGGGTGAGCTCAGTGAGAATCACATTAGGATGAGAGGAAACTCTTAAGCAGAACCACAGTGGGGACATTCAAGAGTGGTGGAGAATGAATGCCATTCCTCTGCCTGTAAGAGGGCACATTATGAGAAAGGTCAAAGAAGTAAGGAATGGAGGAAGATAGGGAGGTCTAATCAGGGCAGAGAGAACAGGAAAGGGTCCACTTAACCCCTTAAAAACAGCAACTGTTGTCACCCATCTAGTGCTTACAGCACCTGGTGCATTCTGGGTGCTCAGCATACAATCCCTGATAATCATCACACTTTTGCCGACAAAGTACAGCCATAAATTACTTCCCCCACCACCTCCCCAGTCAGCAGGGAGCTGCTTGCTACAAATGAGTGAAAATATTCAGGTACTCTTACACCTAGAGATCATGGAGAGAAGTAGTTAGGAGCTGTGTACTATTGAGATAGGAAGCTCTTCCACACACCTTGCTGTGGGCTTCCTTTGCACGCTGCACTGGTTACATCAGACATGCTTTGTGCTCTGCAGCCTTCCTATTTAAACATTTGCCCTCAAAAACTTCACGACAAGCATATGAATTAGCAGTTTTTCCAACCTAAAGAGAATTATCTACTGTCTCTAGATGATTCTCAAAATATGCTGATAGCAATTTGAAGCATTATAAATCTATCCAGGTTGGTTCTGACCATGTTGTAGAAGTAATTTCAACTGGCACGTCACATGAAGGAACAGATTTGAAAACAGTGGTATGCATGCCCCTGAAGGTTTCATCTTGGCTAATGGTCTCACCACCTTATGGCACTACTTTGGATTGTGACAACGGTACCAAAGAAAATGTCTATAGTCTGGAAAAGATTTATCACTAAGTATGACTGTCTATCACTCTGGATGTACCCCCTTGTTATAAATCTCCAGCAAGACTGATCACTTGGTATACGTAAGCATGTAGGTACATGCATGTACAAGTCAGGAGTGTGCTGTGTACTTGTCTAGTATCACTTGGTGTATTAGTATATATATATATATGTGTGTGTGTGTATTTATGTATGTATAATAACTCATAGCAAATGTGTGGACATAGATGAGAATATAGGTTATTAGTTTGGAGAAAGACTTACCAGTTTGTGGACATTGTATATACAGAAATTCTCAAGATTTCTCACATGATGTGTGTGCATGTGGGCTTGTACATGTGTGTAGGTGTGCATTCCGACAGTGTCTTCCATGAGCGATGTAGGGTATTATTGACTTGAGGAAGCAATCACTGCTTACATGAGGAGGCGTGTCATCTTGACCAGCATTTAATGGGAGGGGAAAGCCTAACTCCGTAAAAACGCAACTGTTAAATCTTAACTGCCTTAGCCTTTCATTCTGAGCTGAGACGTTATACTAAAATTTCTAAAGCAGAGACATTGTTATTTTTCACGTATTATGCTAATAAAAATAGTGACTGGTGTGACTTAGTGATTGGAGAAAAGGGGCTTAGGACTGTAAATATTGGTAGACTTTCCTTTCGGTACACCTTTATAAGTTATCCATTTAATCTTAAAGGAAATTCAAATGCCAATTCAACTGGGAAATCAAACTCTGATGCAGGCAACTCAGGGACCTGTTCTCTGACCCACGCACTTGAACAGTGTTCACAGTGAGAACAGTTGAGTGCATTTAGAAGCTAGATCCACTTCAAGAAGTTAGCAGTAGGAAGCATTTCTTTTCCTGTTGGCTGGGATGTAGAGGGGTGTTAGAACTTTTTCCCTCTACTTTTGCAAGTATGTTTTAGGGAACTTTATAATTAGCTTTTGTGCATATTTTAATTATTTTTGCCCATCATCAGGTGGGATTAATTTTGACTGAGAGCAACAGTGTAGTGGTTGGTTTGTCTCATGTAAAAGGAAGGCTGGGCCTAGGCTGCAGCTCAGTGATGCTACTAGGAACTGAAGCACTTCCTATTACTGCTCTACCTCTTCCCCATGTAGAATGCAGTCATTACTTATGTTGCCTCACAGTCATAAGTTGAACTTCAGATTTCATATCTTAAATCTGGAAAGTACAAAAGGCTCTGTCTTAGGAGGGTTTGTCTTTTATTTATTTATTTATTTATTTATTTATTTATTTATTTATTTATTTCAAACAGAGTCTCTATCGCCCAGGCTGGAGTGCAGCAGTGCAATCACGGCTCACTGCACCCTTGATCTTCTGGGCTTGATTGAGCCTCCCACATCTGCCTCCAGAGTAGCTGAAACTATAGGCATGCACCACCACACCCGGCTAATTTTTGTATGCTTTGTAGAGACGGGTTTCGCCATGTCTCTCAGGCTGGTCTGAAACTCAGGCTCAAGTGATCCGCCCTCCTCAGCCTCCAAAAGTGCCAGGATTACAAGCGTGAGCCACTGCGCCTGGCTGGGTTTACCTTTTTATTCAGGTAAGGACAGTCTCTTCTGGGATTTGTAGCAATCATTGGCCAGAACTATATCAAATAGTCATCCCCTACATATGAAGGAACTAAGGAAATAAATTATTATTATTATTATTGTTATTATTATTATTATTATTATTATGTTTGAGATGGAGTTTCACTCTTGTCACCCAGGCTGGAGTGCAGTGGTGCGATCTTGGCTCACTGCAACCTCTGCCTCCCAGGTTCAAGTGATTTTCCTGCCTCAGCCTCCCAAGTAGCTGGGATTATAGGCACCCACCACCATGCCTGGCTAATTTTTTGTATTTTTAGTAGAAATGGGGTTTCACCATGTTGGGCAGGCTGGTCTCGAACTCCTGACCTCAGGTGATCCGCCCGCCTTGGCCTCCCAGAGTGCTGGGATTACAGGCACGAGCCACCGCACCCAGCCAGAAATCAATTATTTTTAATTAAACATATCACTGCCCTGAAAAAAAAATGGGATTCTCCTTAAAAAGGAAGAAGGGAGACGTGTACCTGTAAAAGAGCACTGCTGGATGATATATTCCCCTGGCCTCTGAAAATGCACAGTGGTCAGGCCAACCGGCTCATTTCTATTGCATGATATGCACAAATCACCATTGAACTTCAAAAAAATCCTAAAAGAGCAAGTCTCAAGACAGGTAAATCCACAGCCACAATTACTACTAAATGAGAACTTTTAGTTTGGAAACAAGCACCTAGAGAATGCCAAAAAGTCAATGTTCCTGCAGATACTAGAAGGGCACAGCATAGGTAAACACACTTTATCAAGTACTGTGATACTGGGATGTTGAAGCTTGCCTGGTCACATTTAAAAAAAAAAGTGTCATTTTAATCAGAAAAGTTTTAACATAACATACAGTCAACTTATAAAATTCATTACACCAAAAATAATATAGATACTACATATAATTAGAGTCAGATATTTTCACAGTGTTAATGGATGATTCCAATCCTCAGTCAACAGACAGTTATTGGGAACCTACTATGTGCTCACAGACCATAGGGGAATATAGACTATCTGAACAGATAACTATGACAACATGGCAGGTACTAAACTGGGATATGAACGAGGTGGTTTTGGGAAACAGGACAAAACAGCCAACGCTGCCAAGGATTGTTGATGAAGGAGTTTAAACTCTTTCCTTTTTTTTTTCCTTTTTTCTTTTTTTTTTTTTTTTGAGACAGTCTTGCTCTGTGAGCGATCTCAGCTCACTGCACCTCCACCTCGTGGGTTCAAGCAATTCTTCTGCCTTAGCCTCCCAAGTAGCTGGTATCACAGGCACCCACTACCATGCCCAGCTAATTTTTGTACTTTCAGTGGAGTTGAGGTTTCACCATGGTGGCCAGACTGGTCTTGAACTCCTGACCTCAAGTGATCCACCTGCCTCGGCCTCCCAAAGTGCTGGGATTACAGGTGTGAGCCACCATGCCCCGCCAAACTCTTTCCTTTGGTGTTTATATCCTAGAAGATAAATTTGGCCTTCAACAAACTATCCCTTGATAACCTTACCAGAATACCTGGGAGCAGACCAGGGTAGAAGTTCTTATATAGTCTTATGTTCTTATTTTTAGCTTCCAGGAAATTCAAGTTTGGGAAAGTAAAGAATGCCTGGATTGATACTAAGAGAATAAGTGAACTCCAGGTCTCAAAATTTTGCTAAGTAAATCCTTGTCAAGGATCTTCGTAGAGCAAGGAATCTAAGATGATTTATGCATCTGTAGAATAACACCATAATGAAGCTGTTAACCTAGCCAAAAGCTTTGGTGGACATGACACCTTAAAGGTGGCCATTATAAAGTGAGAGCCTCTGACAGCTTTTTCATGGTTTTAGATAAGTGGGTGTTTGAAATCATTCTGGCAGCTCACCAAATGTTTCTTTGCATCTTGACTACTGGATGAATCTTGACTACAAGTACAGATTTTATGTATACTTATTAAAATAATATAATTTGGCTGGGCGCAGTGGATCACACTTGTAATCCCAGCACTTTGGGAGGCTGAGGTGGGTGGATCATGGGGTCAGGAGTTCAAGACCAGCCTGAACAACATGGTGAAACCCTATCTCTACTAGAAATACAAAAATTAGCTGGCCATGCTGGCGTGCGCCTGTAATCCCAGCTATTCGGGAGGCTGAGGCGGGAGAATCGCTTGAACCCGGGGGTCAGAGGTCGCAGGAGCCGAGATTGCACCACTGCACTGCAGTCTGGGCGACAGAGTGAGACTCCATCCCAAAAAATTAAAAAATAATAAATAATAATATAATGTATGTCCCAGCCACCCCATGCCCTGTCTGGCACTACTGCCAGCACTGGGGAACTGGGAGGAGAGCTGAGGAACAGCTCCCCTTGTAGGCTCCTTTGTCTTCATTGATTGACATATCCAAGGAGTCCTGTTCCCAGCAGTGGTTCCAATATGAGCAAAAGCAAATCTTTGCTCATCTTCAAATAGCCTTGTGTATTTAAGTAACCAGAATGTTCCACATTTCTGAAATGACTATCTCACCTATCTAGAATATAAGTTATTCTAGGCAGGTGGCACCTGTGTCTTATTCCTCTATCCTAAAACAGAGGAGGGATTCAGTAAATGATTGCTGAAGGGGTCTACATTAGAGCCAAAGGTGGTCTGAGCAATCCAGCCTGTTTTAGGGACCTGGGTGAAAAGTCCTGGGGAGTCAGAAGCTCTGTGAAAACAAGTAGAGGGAAACAGAAAAGACAACAAAGGGGTGACAATGTTTCCTACTTTCCATTTGACAAAGAACCTGGGTGTATTGTAGTTAATATCCCTGGGGGGTTATCCTGAGAGATGACATAGAAGCTTGTTGTTTTTGGTATAAACCCGCAATGTCTTCTTATCTTCATTCCCCTTTCTCATTCCTCCTTAGAGTTACCTAAGCACAATTTCTTTTCTTGTTTTGTTTTGTTTTGTTTTGTTTTTTTGAGACAGGGTCTCACTTTGTCACCCAGGCTGGAGGGCAGTGGCGTGATCTCAGTTTACTGCAGCCTCTACCTCCTGAGCTCAAGCAATCCTCCTACTCAGCCTCAAGTAGCTGGGACTACAGGTATATACCACCATGCCCAGCTAATTTTTGTGTTTTTTGTAGAGACGGGATTTCACCATGTTGCCCAGGCTGGTCTTGAACTCCTAGGCTCAAGCAATATGCCCGCCTCGGCCTCCCAAAGCGCTGGGATTACAGGCATGAGCCACCATGCCTGGCCTCTCTTTAAACACTTTTTGCTTACACACTGCTTTTGGAATGAAAAGAACAAGGAGACTTCAGTCATATCCTCCTGGATTTGAATGCTAAGGAGCTGCGTAACATTTCTGAAATCTTCCCATGTTTATTAATAAGAGAATAATTCTACCTACCTTGTAGGGTTAAAGGTTGAGTACGATAGCATGGAAGAATTTGCCCAGCACCTAGTAGGCTGTCAGCGCCTGTTACCTTTCCTTTCCCCAATGCTCCCTAAAGCTAAGTTCATTGGCCCATCATGTAGAGTAATGGGTCCACAGGCGGTGAATTACTTGTGATGCTCTTCCAAGGACTGAATGAGGAGAGACATTTTAATCAAAGCACCAGCAAAGCTTTTGTAGCGATGAACATACAATTAGTGACCTTCTCCTATCAGGGATAATCAGCAGTGGGACTGGCAGAATTGGAATTTTTTTACATGGGTGATCTGGGCACAGATACTCAGTCAGCTCTGTGTCGCTTAGAACTGGGAGGCAGGAGGCATTTGCAGGTTGGTCACAAACTGGGTATCAGACATATTAAGCCTGCATTCATCTGACAGGCCTCCAGAACGTGATGTCAGGAGAGACGTTTAGCAGTGGGGAGACAATTATGAGACTCTCAGAGGTGAGAAAGAGGATTCTGCTCACTGCCTAGAAAGAGAGAATATGGCATTGGAAAGGGGGTGGTAAAATATGTTGCCTGACACACACCGAAAAGGCCTGTCAGTTACTGAGGTCCCATCGCCGTCTCAGGCTTAGACTGCATGAGAGGATCTATTTAGGGGAAAAAATGTATAGCTTAGCCCCAGTGGCTGCTGGGGTGAATCTCCAGGGCTCAAAGCACGAGTTACAGTTTGTCTTTAGTTTACTTAATAAGCTTCCTGGACTGTCTGATTTCTTTACAGCCTGGAACAGAGGGTAACAAGTCTCCCAGTGCAGTGGATCCAAAGTTGGTGGGCTTCAGTTTGGGAGCAAAGAGCTCACTGTTTGGGACTGGGTTGATGTCATCATTTTATGACAGCATATTAACACAGAGTAAATAGTTTATTCCCCAGGGTACTCACCCATTCCCTCAGAGGTGAGTGTCAACTCCTTCGAGAGAGGTCTGCTCACCTAACCTGCCAATTCTCAAAGAGCCCCACCTCAGGCATTCTCATAGCCTTTCTCTGGCCTTCGTAGGTCTTTGTCCCATTCCCCGATGATAATGCCTTCATGACAAAGATGAAATGAAGGTTGGGGGCAGCCTAGGCTGTAGTCCTGGTGCTGCACCACTAGCCGTAGAGCCTTGGCCAAGTCATGCCCCTCTCTGATTTTTTCATTATGTCAACTGGAAAATATAGTCAGACTGCCTGCCCTGCTTGCCTAACAGCACAGTCTGAAGCATGAGCTGATGGAATACATGTGTAAGCATATTGCATAGTTTGAGGAAGTATTCATGTATACAGTGGTGATATTAGACTTAAGATTTTCATTTTTTCATGAAATTGAAACTAGACCATCTGAAGTCATTGAAATAGGAAAAACACATACAGTATTTTAAATTAGTTCTACTCATGCAGACAAAAAAAAAGTGTCCTGGTACATCGTTGTTTAAGATCTGGTGATCTGTAGTGTTTGTCTACCAAGTGGCTACCGTAAGTGGCCTCCACTTGATAAGTTGTAACAAGATCACAGCAACCCCAACATCTCTGCCACTTTCTCTTTCTCTCTTCTGTTTTGGGTGGAGAGACATCTATATTGTGGCTGTCTCAGAGTTACGGGGAGAGCAAGTCAACGGTAACAGGGAAAAACAAGCCTTGTGTGGGTTGGACCAGACCATTTGTAAGGCTCTTGGGGCATTTGTGTGCACGCACACACAGACGTTAACCAGTCCAGAAATGAGTGTCATTCTCCTCACACAGCGCCGACAGCTGAGTTCTTCCCTGATATTTGCAGACCTCTCTGAAGCTTGACTTTGAAATCCTCTTTTCCTTGAACCCTACGTGTGAGAGAGAAGCCCTTCTTTGCCACTCAAGAGTGGTTCTGTGGTAACAGTGGCTCTGTGGATCTTTTGTCCCTGGCTGGCTCCTTCATATGTTATTGTAAGGTTTTAGTTTGTGCTGGCATGCAGGTGTGTTTTTTTCTCACTCAGATTTTCTCTTAGATGCTGTAATACAATCTATAATTTTTGGTACAGGAGCAAGTTTTTACAAAGGAAGATATGTGCAATTTGTCATTTTCCAGCCTGATGACATATAATTAAACCTTCAATAGTCTATGCCTTCAATAGCATAACTACAACAACCCATCACACTTTGGAAATAAATTTGTTTCATATTTTATATTATCTGGACTCTCTTTGTCCAGTGTGTAACAGGCCCCCAGGAAACAGGAAGTCCCCCACTAGTGAGCACCCCTAATGTGAATGACTGCACACTCAGCCTATTTTGGTGAGAACAGGCAGCTTGCTTTCGGTGGGCTCTTTTGAATGGGCCTTGCCCAAGCTCAATGCTCTCTCTCTCCTCTTGGCTTGTGGCACCTGGCCACAGTAGCAGGCATTGCCTGCTTGAAAAGAGGCTGTCCTTGGATTTTCCTGCCTCTTGGAACACAGAGCTTAATTCAGTTCCCTAACTCCGGGAAGAAGCAATGATCTTCAGCCCTATGAACCTGTCCGGCAACCCACAGCGGCCCACAAAATATGTTCTCTCGCCTACAACCTCATCCCAGCTGCTACCACAGCCCTGCCGACGCAGCGCCTGCTGCGGTCACGGTCCACTCCCAAGGGACACTGCCTTATGTCAGCAGGCCCTGTCTTGATTCCCAGGTGCTGGGAAGACATGATTGCAGCCTCCTGCACCCCTGCTCCCCTCCTCTGACACACACACTCTGAGCCTGCAAGGTACAGCAGCCCACTAAAGCTCTAGTTAAAAGTACCAAGTTGCTGGAATGCCCAGGGAAGTGAGAATGAGCGGGTCTCACACAGGGATGATTTGAAACAAGCCTTGTGGCTTTTTAATAATGTGCCAAAGCGGTCTCAGTGGTGGGCCAGCAGGGCCCCCAGTCTATCTTCTGTGAAAGGAGAAAGCCCAGCAGGCCCTGCCGAATGCAGACAGCCCCTCCACTCTGCTGGAGGAGACAGACTCCGAGATGGCAATCAAGGCTTGATTTGCCAACACATTTCCAATGATTAAAATGTAATTAGCACAACTGAGTGCCTCCTCCCCAGCTAATTTTAATACATGCTGTGACAGGCAGGCAGCCGGCTGTGCCTTTAGCCCAGCAGCAGATGGAGGCAGAGGCAGCGGGAGAGGAAAACCATTTTGCAATGTGACTATTCGCATCACAAAACCATCAGGGCGCTCAGCTCTTAGAAGGCCCTTGATGGCAGCACATCAAATTGGCGCTGTCATAGCTGACCGTGGCAATGGCAGTCATCCTTCATACTGTCCCAGAAGCACAGCGAGGCAATTTCCAGGCGTAACCCTTTAAGATCTAGAAGGGGAGAGAGAGACTTGGAGAGCACACTTGTCGTCTTGCAGTGACAGGCGAGAGCTTTGCAATGTGCGCTGTGAAACCCACGCTCTTGGCAGCTTGCAAACCGTTACTTACATGTTCCTTTTCCAAGGCACAGTGGAGTGTGGTTCAGAAGCTTTGGAAATAGCTGTTTCTCCAAATGGGAGACAGGCGTGAGCTGCCTTCTGTGTGCATTATCTGAACTGGGAAGGATGAGCTTTTCAGCCTGAGATGGTATGGCAGGTTGGAGGTTTCCTCTTCTATTCCATTCATCCCATAGAAGCCTTTGAGCCTGGGGCCTCTCATCATGACCATCTGCTTTTCTCCTATCCTGAAGGGCATGTCAGACAAGCTGCAAAGTCCAGAAGACCGTTTGCCTATGCTCCTGTTCTCTCACCTCCTGGCAGAAACACTGGGCCCTCACCACTGTTGTTTGGCCTGCCCTCTCCTTCCAAGGCACCACCTGAAAAGGAGGCAAGCTCCTTGGAGGCTAAGGATCATTTGGACCTCCCTGGGATTGGGGTGCACAGGATAATCACAGGGGGCACTTGTGATCTTTGGGATCTGTCACCCAGGCTTGGTGGCTAACTTTCTGTGTGTGTGTGTGTGTGTGTGTGTGTGTGTGTGTGTCTGTGTGTGTAGACGGGGTCTTACCATGTTGCCCCAGCTGATCTTGAACTCCAGGGCTTAAGGGATCCTCCCACCTCGGCCTCTCAAAGTGCTGGGATTACAGGCATGAGCCACTATGCATGGCCTGGTGGCTGACTGTCATAGAACACCAAAGCTAGACAAGCCTAAATAATAACAGTGACGATGCTAAGCATGTATTGGGCATTTACCATGGCTGAGAACTATGTTAAATCTCTTAAATGCATTAATTTTCTCACTTCATACCCACACAAACCTAGGGGCTCCATATTATTATTCCCATTTTACGGATGAGGAAGCAAAGTCACAGTAAGGTGCAGCCACTTTCCCAGCTTCTGCTGTTAAGTGGCAGAACCCAAATCCAAATACGTATCTTTCTAACTTGTGAGTGGGACAAAAAAGTCATAGCTGAGACATGCTGCACCACAGAGATGCTTCACCAGTGGAAGCCTCTGAGCAGAGAAATCCGATCTGAAAACAATGGGATTATTCTTTGCCATCTAATGGCCTCTGAAGATCAGCAGCCATGGGAACCTCCAGAACTCCATCACACGGGTGACGTTTACATGCCGTTGTGCATGTGTATCTTTTTCTCCTCTAACCGAAAAATAATATGTAATCGTTAAAGATCAAAAACGACAGTAAATGTAAAGATGAAAATAAAAGTGACCCAAACTCTTTATCACTCAGAAATAAACAGTGTTTGGTGCATTTTTTTCCAGTGTTTTTTTTTTCTTTCTGTGTGTATGCTTAGCAATTTTAAAGTAATATTGTATATATAACTCTATGTATCTTGTTTCCTTCATTGTAGTAGTAATAATAAAAGTAGCAGTTTTTAATGTATTTTCTCCTTACTGCTACCTTGAGAGGTAGTTACTATCACCCCCGTTTTATTGATTAAAAAAAGAAATTGAACCTGTGGGAGGGTATGTGACTCACCCAAGGTCACTTCAGTTAGGTTGGTGAAAAGTAATTCCAGTTTTTGCCATTACTTTTGCACCAACCTAATATGATTTTTTTTAAACTTCCCTATGACTGTGATCACTTTTCCATTTCAGCAAAATTCTTTATGAACTTTAATTTAATGAGTGAACACAACCCTGGCACCTTGACCTGTTCCCCAATTTGGTAACATTTAGGTTTATGAAGTCTGTGTACTAGGTTAGTGCAGAGAGTTAGAAACACCAGGATTCAAATGCCTGGATCTTCCTCTTATAGATTTATGACTCTTGACAAGTTGCTTCATGTCTTTAAGACTCCTTCTTTCACTGTAAAATTGGAAAACTAAAACCTACACACTGGGGGCTGGGGGGTGGGGGGAGTTTGCTGTAAGGTTAAAAACGTGAATATATGAAGAGTCTATCTTAGCAGATTTCGTGGCCCTTGCTATGTGCTGACAGTAGCCATATAAATAATGTATTATTGGGTCATTTCCTAATTCCATAATGAAATTTTTAAACAAATTATTATAGACATTTTTGTTCCTTTTTGAGACTAGTTGAGCTAGACAGTATGGAAAATATGAAGGCTCTTGATGCATGCTTCTCTTCTTCTGATGCAAATTGCAAAATTATTTTCCAAATAGAAATTGACATTCCTCCAGAAGTATATGAGTGTCTGCCTCACGACAGCCTTGCCAACACTGCATATCAGCATTTACATGTTTTTTTCTAATTTGATTGATGAAGAGAAATATATCTCTTTTTAATCTGCATTTCTTTGATTACTAGTGAGGTGGAACATTTTTTTCGTATGTTTATTAGCCATTTATATTTCCTCTTCCGTGAATTGACCTCTTTGCTTTTGAAAGGAAGGATGAGTCTCCAAGGGCTAGCTAGAGAAAAGATGCTCCAGTGATAATTATCTCAGAGCCCTGGGGTGAGGAGTTGCAGGGGAGAGAATTAAAGGTCTCCTGGGGCTATGAGGCGGCTACTAAGTGAGCGGCTTTCTACACCAGAGCGAGGCTTTCTACACAGTCAGCTTGAAATCAGTATTTGTTCTCTACCTTTGTATTTGTTCTGTTAAGAAATATTTTGGATTTTTTAGTGGGACTCTTCACATTCTACTCAAGCCAGCGCTTATAATTCTTTCAGGGCAGACAACGAGCATGCCTGTTCAGTTTGGGTTTTTTGCTCTGAAAGTCCCATTGGTTTACAGTGAAGTTGCTGTAGGTCTTGCTTGAGTCTTTTATGATCCCTGCCATCCAGCCAGGAGCTGTGACTGCTCTGTAACCTTCTTAGATTTAAATCTGTTGCTTGTGTTCTCCTCATAGTGTTACAGAGCAGCAGAGGCCATCCATACTGATGTCTTAATATCATTCTCTCCTTAGATTTATAGGGTAAAATAAACCCTCTGCCATAGAAGTGCTTATTGATTACTGAAGTACATAATAAAGCCTAAGAATAAAGTAAGACCAAGTAATCGGTTCTGTTCCTGGGGGATGACAATAAACTCTGGCCGAGGCAGCCTCTGAAGGTTGCCTTTTGCCTTGGAGCTAGGAGGCTCCTTTTTAATTGGTTGTCAAAATAGTAAGCAGTGACTGATAGAAATCAGACAAAAAGAGTACATACTGTATGGTTCCATTTATGTAAAATTTTTAAAAATACCTACTAATCTGTAGTGACAGAAGGCACATCAGTGATACGGTAAGGGACCTGAGAGAGGGATAGAAGCTTTGGGGAGGGATGGACAGGTTCACTGTCTTGATCGTGGTGATGGCTTCACAGGTGTGTACACATATATGAAAAGCTATCAAATTGTGCATTTCAAATACGTGCCTTTTACCAATGTCAGTTATATCTCAATAAAGCCACAAAAAAATAGTGAACAGTATCCCATAAAGAGACAATCCATGGCTCACTCTGTGCTAGAAAAATTTTCTCTTTTCTTAGAAAGCTATATTTTGACAAACATTCAGGGGGAATTGTGAGACTACATTTCACCTTCACCTTTAGCTAAATAGGGGTTTTAGAAGACTGAAAGATGCCACCGGAAATTAAAAAAGAAAAAGGCATAAGAAGGTAGGATAGCCCTCTTTCTTCATTCCTTTTTCTTTCCTACATCTGAACCTTAAAGGTGCCTTTTAACATAATTTTTTAGTAAAACAAAAAAAGGTATTTAGAAAATATTAATTCTTTTCTCTCATCCCCCCCAACCCTTCTGCTATTACATTTCCCCCACCCAGAAAAGAGATTCTACAGTGCAGAGTAAAAACTACTCCAAAATGTTGGCAGTCTAAAAGTGGACAGGCATTTTCAACACAAAGAGATGTTTGTTTTCCTTGCATTTTAACTCTTAATTTTTGACACAGTAGGGAACTCCAGCATGGCTGCCATTTAAAATGTAACAATGCCATGCAGCTCTGATTGCCTCTGTCACAGGGGTGTTGTGACTGAAGGCCAGGAGACAAAGCAAATGAGGCCAGAGACAGTGCCTGCTGCTGAAGTGCTGGTCCATTTCTCCACCCGCATTTGAATTTGTCTTTTCTCTGGCTAACTGCTTTTCTGCCCTGATGAGGAGTCACTCGGGGAGACTGAAGCTGGAATTTGTACAACCTCTTTCAGTCCCCTTGATTTTAATCAGAAATACACAATTATTCTTTTCCTCCAAATAGAGAAACTCAATCCCCATTTTAAATTCAATTATTGTAATTGCAGCATTCAGAAAAATAGCACATTCATTTTCTAATAAGAGATTGTGGATACCAAATTACTGCATATAGTATGTCAAAACAGGAAACTTGAGACTGGCAAACCAGTGGGTGTTTTTATCTTGGCAATTTGTATTTTCTTGCAGACAATTTATAGTAATCCTACCCTTCCTTGTTTATGATATAGAAGACTAGGTTTTAAAGCCATCCTAAAATAAAGACTGTTTTTGTTGGGTACAGTTTAATTGAAAATCTGTTATGAGTATGAGGAATTCTACAAAGGGCAAAAGTGAAGGCAGATACCCAATAAAGGGAAGAAAAAAAAGGAATCACTTTAGGATCCTATGTGACGGTAGCCTAAGATGTCTTTGGATCTTCTTGAACCATTCTCATTATCTCAAGCCATATTTATATTCCTTTAGCCAAGTTTCTCACTATCTTGCATTTGTAAAAAAACAAAAAAAGAAATCTGGTTGGTGAGAAGTTGATAATGTGGCCATTATGTCTTAGCAATATGAGAGCACCATTGTCCCTCTTCCTGCTCAATTCCAGTTGCTCTAGTTGGCTTGAAGTGAATCAAATGTGAAAAGAAATACAGTTTTTTTATTTTGAGTTTCCTGATTTTCATAAAAGAGTAACCTTAAGATGTGATTTCTTCAAGTGCATGCTGTTATTTTCTTAGGATTTACTGTCACCTCAAAATTATATCCATGTCAGCCAGGCATAGTGGCTCATGCCTGTAATCCCAGCACTTTGGGAGGCTGAGGTGGGTGGATCACCTGAGGTCAGGCGTTTGAGACCAGCCTGGCCAACCTGGTGAAACCCTGTCTGTACTAAAAACACAAAACATTAGCCAGGCATGGTGGCGCATACCTATAGTCCCACTTATGGGAAGCTGAGGCAGGTGAATCGCTTGAACCCAGGAGGCGGAAGTTGCAGTGAGCCAAGATCGCGCCACTGTGCTCCAGCCTGGGCAACAGAGTGAGACTCTGTCTCAAGAAAAAAAAAATTATACCCATCTTTTTCATAGACACATTCAGACACCTACCACACTTTCAGATCTTTTAGTGTTCATGCCGCCAACCACTGTCTCTCTCTTGATCTCTTCACTCAGACACTCTCCATGCTACCTTCCCTCAGGTATTTTGCTACTGTAATTTATTAATTCTTTCACATATATGTATTGAGCACCTTCTAGGTACCAGCTTCAAGTGGAGCAAGATATGAGCAAACTCTGAGATACTGTCAAGGAAACTAGCCAACAGTGTTGGAGGTGCTAGAAACCAACAGTTAAGGTACAGCCAGTGAAGTCAGAGCCCTGGAAAGCTTCCATATGGAAGAAGGAACAGTCATTTCCATGTGTCCTGAAAGGGTGGTGGTCTGTTGGATCCTTGAGTGCCTACTAAGTGCCAGGTACTTTAGTTATATTCTCTCAGCAAATCCCCATTTTTGCAGTTACCTCTGGGAATTTTTATCTCTGTCAAGATTACTCTCCTGGTTGATTTTGGTAAATCAGTCCTTAAATCAATCTTGAATATAAATAATCTGTGAGTAGGGCTATCAAAACTATCTCCTAATTCTGACTGGTCAGAATCGCTAGACAAAGTTTAAAATATGTAGCTTCCTACTTGTACCAGTAATCACCTAGTGTTTTTAATATCCATTCTATTTATCTGTGTATTTATTTTTCCAACTTAACTTTGAACATTTTAATAATGTCAAAGCCCATATGCACTATGCATAGCATAACTTACAAATTTAAACTCCAAATCTTGTACCTATGCATTTTACTTTAGTCCCTGTGTGCAGGTTACTGACTATTTGAAGAATAAGTCCAAGCTACTTCCATCCCAAAAAAAAATGTTCATCAAGAACCTAAAGAAACACTTCAAAATTTCAGCTCTAAGGTGTCTTTCCTTTTTGGTTTTTTATCAGTGAAATAAAACTATTAGTTACCTGGAAGATTCTTCTTGTTGCTCACTTCGTTGAGAGGGAATGATGGTTTCTGGTTTTGTTTGTCTGGGTGGTTGTTTCTGTTTTCGTGTAGCATAGTATTGAGTCTTTAAACACGTCCTGAGCAGAAATCCTTGCAGAATGTGACTTCCCCTCTGGCAATAAAACGGTACAAAAATTCAACCCAACATTTAAATAATTAGTAAGTTACCCTGTTGTTGTGTGTGATATAACATATCTTTCATGGAAATAACTGGAAAAATGAAACTATTGGTATGTCTTTCTGGCTGCTTTCACATACCTGAACTGATTTAATTCTCACAAAAATCCGGTGGGGTGTGTATCATCGCCATTCACTGGTTAAGAAAGGTAGACTCCAAGAATTAAGTTCCTTTCCAAACACAGCATGATTATTAAGTGGAGGGGGTCAGAATTTGAACCTACGTCAGCCTCAGACTGAATGAGCACTTCCTGTGAGCCAGGGACTGTGCTCAGTCCCTCTTAAGGGAGAGCTGTCTTCTGTGGAGCAGAAATACGGCTATATGGCTGCATTCACTGCTGCTTGTAGGCGCTGCAATCTCTTTTCGGTTTCAGCTTGCCTCTGTACTTTGCCAAGCAATCAATCAGGAAAATATTTTGAAGTAGTTTCTTTGTATAGCCTGAGAGAGAGAGTGAGATGGTACGTTATACTGGCTAAGAACATGAACTTTGAAGGACATAACTGGGTTCAAGTGCCATCTCTGTCACTGGAAGCCTTACTTACCTTCTCATCTCTAAAATGGAAGGGTGGTAGTATAATACTTTCTTCTAGAGCTGTTGTCAGGATTCTTGGTGTTTTTTGTTTGTTTGTTTGTTTCTTTGTTTGTTTGTTTTGGACAGGGTCTCTCTCTGTCACCCAGGCTAGAGCACAATGACATGATCAGAGCTAACTGCAGCCTTGACCTTCCGGGCTCAAGCAATCCTCTCACATCAGCCTCCCAGGTAGCTGGGACCACAGGCATGCATGACCATACCTGCTAATTTTAAAATTTTTTGCAGGGACAGGGGTCTCGCTATGTTGCCCAGGCTGGTCTTGAACTTCTGGGCTCAAGAGATCATCCCGCCTCAGTCTTCCAAAGTTCTGGGATTAAAGGCATGAGGCATTGCACCTGGCCTCAGGATTCTTTTTTGATGAATGCCAGCCAACAGCTGGCATTTCTAGAGGAAAACATGCTCTGCCGTTGTTCCTGTGGAGGAACCCTGCAAGATGTGAAATGCACTTCAACAACCAGGCTTTTCCAAAATAGAGAGCTCAGGGCTGCCCTGCCATCATGGACACCCCATCTCTCCTTTAGCTTGAGATGGACATTGACCCTTTGGCTGGGAATTGAATCATGTTGGTGATACTTAGCATGGAAAGCCGTAGCTACATTCAGTGTCTCACAACCTTAGTGGTGGAAGGAAGAATGGTTGCAGCAGCTTCATTACCTGGGGAAAAAGAACTTGGAATTCCAAGCACTTTAAGAAAGATGCTTTTACTTTGAGTGTTGGAGAAAATAGAGCAATTACCTATTGAAGACAAAGTGGATGAAAAAACACCTCTGTTCATGCTACCCTGATCATGTAATCTATTCATATTCATTCTGCCTTCCTGAAGGTGATTCAAGCCAGACTGGCTGTTCCTGCTGGCTGTGCCTTTCCTTCCCCAGGATACACAGGGCACATGGTGATCACCTGAGATTCCCAGCTAAACTCAGACATTTTCTACTCCAAGAGGAGATTCCTCAAAGGGCTATAGCACACAGGCAGCATCAGATAATGTGGAATGAGTGGAAGGAGGGAGGGAGGAGGAATCCATAAATCATCAAATTGTTGTTGAGCATCTTTGAGGGTCCTCAAGAATACACTAGACCCTGTGATGATTCCAGGGACAACCAGCCTGCACTTTCTGAGGAGTTCACTGCCTGCCTGGGGAGCAAGACTTGTATATGTTAAATTAGCAAAGAATTTATGCAAGACGTATGTGAAATCAGTGAAGAATTCTATTCTATCTAGACTAGAGCCAGGGAGATTTCCAACACCTGGCTCATGTATGCTTTTTAAAAAAAGATATTCAGTCTTACTGAAGATGAATAGATGGATGGATGGATGGTTTCTAACATCTATTGATTGCTTCCTATGTATCAGGCAGTGTTCTAGACATTTTTATGTTTATTACATATGTACTTATACAAATTATATGTTTATTAACTCAATTAACGTTCTTAGCAACACTATGAGGTACATACTGTCAATAGCCCCATTTAATAGATGAGGAAACTGAAGCACAGAGAGGTTAAGTTCCTTGCTAGAGGTTTCACAGATGGTGTACAGTACAGGCAGGCTTTGCACCCAGGCAGTCTGGCTCCATAGTTATATATGAAGGATAACGATGTGGTCTTTTCAAGAGCTGTTGGCATCTTGGTTCACACTGAAAGCTACCAGGCTTTGTTATCTGTTCCTCTGGCTTTGGCTTCCTGAGTCTTAAGCACCCTTCTCTTTTCTAGAACATAGACCAGCTTGAACCAACCCTCTGTGATTCCACCCCGCCTCTCCCCTGGCTGCACCAGGCCTCTCATTTGTAGTTTCTCTTACTGAGCACATTTCTAAACGAGGACGGTTGCTCCACTTTAAGGACATACAAATGGCTTGCCCTCACCTGTCAAGCATGATCCTTGTATTTTACCAGGCCCATTATGAACGCAATCTTTCTGTTGAAAATTTGCATACCTCCTTTCTTGAAAAGTAATGACAGCAATTTCTTTCCCTCCGCTCACTTTCTGAGTGTCTCATTTAACGGCACCTGTGAAACCGACAGGCACAGAGATGAGAAGTGAAAGAGAGCAGTTGATTAAATCATCATCAAGTCGGGCCTCAGAAAGTCAATTCTGCTTGCCGTCTGCAATGATATCCTTTTATCTTAAAGTAATGAGCTATGGCACTTTTGCATCGGGTAATGCGATAAGTTCTATTAGCATGTTCCATTTGCCTCACAAGCAAGGGCAAGTCATTTTAGCTAGCTCATATCACTGCAATCAAAGCAATTGGCTTCCCAGGCAGAGAAGAAAGGGAAAAGGCTCAGGGTGATTTCTATGGATCACAACACAGCGGAAAAAATAGACTCTTGTATTATTTTAACCCATAACATACTTTTCCTTTTTACTCATCAGCAAATTTGGGTTTTATTAGCTTACACAGGACTCCAAAAAGAACCCAGCATCAGTTGAAGCAAACCTGGGGGTGGGGGCTCAGACCCCACCCAAAGCACCAAGAAACTATATATGGGAAGGGAAAATCGCCCCATTACAGAGGGGTCACAAATAGAATTCTGCCAAAGCACACAGGCAAAGATGTCTTCCTGATAGTAACACTGTGGTCTCATAATAAACTCTTGCTTCACACCATCTTCAAAGTCATTTGTAATAGGTCCCCAGGCAAGTACGGATTAATGCTATTGATGACTTAGAATCAGTAAATCAATGACAGAGAAGCAAAGGATCTGTTCCTTAAGCTTAAAAGAGATCATTTACAAATCACCGGGCCCCAGACTGTCAGTTTTACCTTTGGACAAGATACTTATTTTTCTGAGTTTGGCAACCACTGAGGTTTGTGGACTCTGGGTTTTAAGTAAATTTCATCTTTGGGGTTTATGTATATTTATACTTGGCAAAATGTGACTTCCTTTCTTAGAGGAAAACAAGCTGAACTCCCCAAAGATTTGTGAAATATTCACTTCCAACCCCACTTCCAATAACTCAACAATACTTTAATGATCTGTGGAAATTTACAACATACAGATTGTTTTATGAAATACACTTGGATTTCAAAGTGACAAAAAGGAAAAAAAATATTAGAATTTAATTTATGAGCTTTAAAACTTCAAGTTTGGACAACCTGATTTCTGTCAATATATTTGCACTTCTAATGGGTGGTAGAATGAACCTAGCACATAGTAGTTACCTGAACATTGTTGGTTGAATGAGTGTGTTATTATCTGAGACACTGGAGGGGGAATAAGAAGTGTTCCCTTAGCCCCCTCAGATCACATTGGTTATTTGAGCTCTGGCCAGTTCAAACTGAGAACTTGCAAAAATGTCAGATTCTGAGAACTCCCCATTCAGAAATGCTAGGTTATCAGTACCGAATTCCAGAGGCTTCTGAGAGTTGATTCTCTTGTATCTCCTGAACAATTGAAGATTGGTGGACCTCATATTATTTTCAAATGGGCTCATTAGTGATTACCAAAAGCTTTATTCTTGTAAACTGTTGTTTGGAACATGAATATTTTAATTAGGCTTTCATTTTATCTGAGCTATTTTATTTGATCAGGCGTAGTTACTGTTAAGATAGAGGGGAAGAGTCGACGACATTATTTCACAGTCAGTAAGAATATGGTCTCAGTAAGAACATTTTCAGGTTTAAAAATTTAAAAATTTCTAGGGCCCCAGTAGCTTTAAATTTCACTTAGTCCAAAACCAATATGAGAGCAATGTAAACAGTGTGAAATTAGGGCTTTGTGGATTGATGAAAAACAGACAACATCAGAGCTGCCATATGTGGCACAAAATGGCGGCCCATTTTTACATGAGCAAAGGATTGGGCAGCTGGGCAGGGGATGGTGAACGTGTTTTTAGTCACCATGCTGCTATCTTACTTCTTTAAATAAGAAAATAAGTGTCATGTTTTCTGCAGGTGGCTTCTTCTGAAATTGCTTTTAGGTGAGGGATGTCTTTAAGGTCTTAGATAAACCGCCTGCCCCAAAGGAGAATCGATTTGTTTTGTCACTGGCAAAGTTAAATTATACTTGATGTTAGATATTGTAGTTTACAAGTTGGGGTTCTCCCTCATTTTCCTCTCATTTCCTTTAGGCAGAAACAAGAATAAAATAACTTTGTTCAGCAGTGGTATTCAGCCCTGACATCTTTGGTGGCAATGATAAATGGATTTGAGATACGAAATAACTGTTCCAGCAAGGTCCATTGAGCAGAATAGAGAGCAATGCCCTCCTCAATGTCATTGTATGTGATATATTCAATGATTGCCACTCTGTGCTTAAGAATGCATTCCATCACAAGGTACCTAGAATTCCATCTTGTTGCTACATTCTGAATGAAACAGAGAGATGTCACAGACCTTGACTGATTTCAATTTGGACCAGAGTCTTAAAACACAGATACCGAGATTCCCAAATGAAAATGAAAAATATTTGCTTTTGAATAAATATAATAAAGTCATAATCACATCTTTTTTCTGAGCCTTTTAATGGAAGATATTTTCTTCTGGGCCCCAACTCTAGGCTCTGCTAACGATTTTAACCTCCCTCAGTATGTTCACACATACATCTCTTTGCGTTAAGCAGTCATATTAGTGTTTCTTGTACTTTCTCTTTGGAATCACCTGCCTTTTAAATCATACTTTGCTTATGCTGCATGGAATCAACCACAGTTTGAACAATACTCAAGAAGAATGAGATTGACTTGTCAGTATAATTGAGCATCTATTGTGTCCCAAGGCCTAGAGATACAAAGATAAGCAAGGCACTGTCCTTACCTACATGGAGCTCATTCTCTGGTTGGAAAGACTGTTGTGGCAAACAACGGCAGTACAGTTTTGTAAGGGATGGAGATAGAAGCAATTAAGTCTTTCTGGAAAAGTATTGGAAGATTCAAAAAAGGAACTGTGTTTTGAAGGTGAATGTCAGGCTTTTAGGTAGAAACTTGGAGGAATAGAATTCCCAGTAGAGGGAATTGTTAAGTGCAGATGGCTGGTGGCATGACTGAGCGTGAGTGGGCGTGGTTGAAGCAAGGTATGTTAGGATAGTGCCACACAATGCGAGGATGCCAACCAGGGCCGGACCACAAGCTGTTTGCAACCAACCTGCTGTGAGATTAGTATGGGGAGTCAAGAGTAAGCATTGGGAAACTTTTAGAGTAACTCAGTAGCATAATTTTGTGTTTCATAAATCTAATAATTTTTTAAATGTATTATATATATTTGTTTTTCTTTTTCATTTTTCAAGAATTTGACTTTTTATTATATTTTACAAAAGTAATTGTCGTAACATATTAGAAATTAAAGAAAGCAAAACAAAAACAAATGGCTCTTCACCACAGAAAGCTTAAGAAGCATTGTGTTGAGAGAGTGGTTGGGATTTGGGAGTTGAGGGGGATTAGAAACAGAATGTGAAGGGTCTTCATAGGCCTTGTGAAGCATCTGCATCAAATAGAAATTTAGGAAATCCACTCTTGTCAATAAGGACTTGGATTAGAAAAGGAAGAGAGCATAGACCTTGGAAAGCAGTCATTATCCTCTTGTAATGACAAAATAAAACCCTGAACTAACGCAGTAGCCATGGCCACAGGGATGGAGAGTTAGAAAGCAGAATCAATAACGTGGGGTGAGAGAGGAAGATAAGTCCGCTCAAGGATGGGGTCAAGGATAAGGCTCTTCACTTACGCAGTTGAGTGATTGCTTGGTGATGCTATTACCAAGGGCAACGTGGGAGAGGGGCAGTTTCAGGTGAGCAAAGATGTTGAGTCCAGATTTAGATGGATACTTGAGTCTGAGTGTTCGCTGCACTTCAACAGGGGGCACATACCCAACGGAAGCTTAATAATACTTAACATTTATCATCTGTACATACTTGGTACCATGCACTAAGTTGTTTACATGTATTAACTCATTCTCCTCTTCTAGCCATATTTTACAGAGAAATATACTAAGGCCCAGAGAGTTTAAATAACTTTTCCAAAGTTACACAGCTGGCAAATGTGGGCATAGAGATTTTTGAGTTTCAGCATATACATGGTAGAAAGGACCAAGGGAATCTTTAAGGTCTCCCTTGAAAGTCACATAGAAACAATAGAACTCCAGATGCAACTCTGGGGAGACAGTGACATTAAAGAATATGCAGAAAAGGAAGGGCCTTGAAAAGACAGTCGCAGACAGCAATATTGGTGAATGGGTGCAAAGGGAAAAATTCTAAAGGATGTGCAATTGAAACAATCTAAATAACCAGCACTGGGGAATTTTTTAATTAGATTATGTTACAATCCACATAGCAGATTGCAGTGTCGCCTTTTTTTTTTTTTTTTTTTTTTTTTGAGACGGAGTCTCGCTCTGTCGCCCAGGCTGGAGTGCAGTGGCGGGATCTCGGCTCACTGCAAGCTCCGCCTCCCGGGTTCGCGCCATTCTCCTGCCTCAGCCTCCCAAGTAGCTGGGACTACAGGCGCCCGCCAGCACGCCCAGCTAATTTTTTTTGTATTTTTAGTAGAGACGGGGTTTCACCGTTTTAGCCGGGATGGTCTCGATCTCCTGACCTCGTGATCCGCCCGCCTCGGCCTCCCAAAGTGCTGGTATTACAGGCGTGAGCCACCGCGCCCGGCCGTGTCGCCATTTTTTAAAGTGATGTTACAGGATAAATTTTACTGATTAAACTGAAATATTTGACGTGTTATGTGAAAATCAAAGCAGGTTCCAAAATGGTAGGAATTCATTTTTATTTCTTAAAATGTATGTTTAAAAGACGAGTGGGATTATATCCTTAAGACTGGAAAGACTTACAAAAATGTATTAACAGTGTTTACCTAAGGATTGTAGATTTATGGGTAATTTTTAAAATGTATCCAGTAAATATGTTTTTTTTGTTTGTTTGTTTGTTTTTGAGACGAAGTCTCGCTCTGTTGCCCAGGGTGGAGTGATCTCAGCTCACTACAACCTCCGTCTCCCTGGCTCAAGCGATTCTCCTGACTCAGCCTCCTGAGTATCTGGGATTACAGGCGCGTGCCACCACGCCCGGCTAATTTTTGCATTTTTAGTAGAGATGGCGTTTCACCATGTTGGTCAGGCTGGTCTCAAACTCCTGACCTCATGATCCACCCGCCTTCAGCCTCCCAAAGTGCTGGGATTACAGGCGTGAGCCCCGTCACCCGGCCGTAAATTTGTATTTTCAAAAGGAGAAAGATTGGGTGGGTTGGTTTGTTGTTTAAGGGGTAAGACTTGTCTGGGAAAGGAAGACTGTGCCTCCAGCAGTTCACTTTTAATTCATGAAACCAGGGGAAGAGACGGTGAAGATGGAAGTTGAGTGGTTTCAGTATTGAGATGGCTGGAAGGACTCAGGTTTAGGAACTAGTCCCTTTCTAACTGTGCATTTGAGGCCTTTGGCCAGGCGTGCACACGTCCTCTTTCTCTCCTTTTGTGTGTGATGGTTTGGGTCATGTCTTTGTCTGAAGGCCGGGTGACCATGAATTCTTATCTGTGATTGCTGTAAGGCCTAGTTGTTTCTTTTTGTCTCTTTTCATTTCTTGCTTTTAAAATGGAGGATATATTTTTAGCTTTTCACAGCGGGCTCTGAAATCTTGTCATGGAGAGTACTTCGTCACCTCAAGCTGGTAGTTAGTGTGCAACCTGTTTGCTAATAAACCAAAGCAGGACCCCGATGTCAAAATGCTTAAAATGGTCAAATCCGCTGGGACGCCGTCTCTGCATCTGACATGCCTTTTCCATTTCCCAGCCTCATGCAGAACATAAACCTGCATCAGGAGGTGGCTCAATGTGAACTCTTATAAATTGGAGTGGGTATCTAGGGATTGAGGAGCAGACACTTCTTCTTTTAACCTTTGAAGACCAAGAATCACTTGGCCAAAAAAATCCACAGTGTATTGAACTTAGGGTGTGAAAGCTATACAGTGTATTAAATGTGAATTTGAGACCATGAATTCTACCCACACTGACTCTATAAAACAGCCTCCCTTTTTCATAAAGCAGGCCCATAAACCGCTGCCAGTGAAGCAGAAAGACTCCTTAGGACTGTGGCTCGCTTTCCGTCTGGGGTTGTCAACAAACCCCCTTTATGAGTGGAATAGACCTCTTGTATGTGTCGAGCTTCTGGCTTTTTACAGAGTGTGTTAGGAGCCAGGCAAGGCAAACGTTAGGCGCTGTTTGCTGAGTGCATTTATTGGCTTTGCATAATTTATGAGCTGGAGGGGTTGACCATCATTCGTCTCTGCCAGGGGCTGGCACTCGAGGCTCCAGAGAGTGGAGCTGTAAATTGGATGGTGCGCTCCTGCTGAGCTCACGGCAAAGTCCTCAGGTCAGTATGGGAATTTAATACCAGAAATGGAACTGTTTTCTCAGCACACCATGTGGACCCCAGTGCAGCAGAGACTGTTTTGGCAGACTCCACGACTGGCCTTGTCGAGGAGCTGTCACTCACCCGGCATGTTGTGTGGGGAGCCTGAGCATTTTTAATCGGCTTGGCATCCGTGCTGCTTCCATAATGGATACCAGTAGGTCTCAGTTCTTCACCATATGCTTAACTCTGGAGACAAGGTGCTTCTGGGTATATCAGTAATTACTTGATGCAGAATTAAGTGGACCTTGAAATTAGAACTGGACTGTTGGAAAGCAGGAAGCTTAACACTTTGATAGAAATAACCATTCCCAGGGACATACTGCCGTTAGGATAGGGGGCACAGTGGTGGTTCTTTCCCAGCTACCCCACTCCTCGTCCTCCCTGCACACCAGATCCTTGGGGAGGTGGGCAAATGCGATGCCACAGCCTTCAGCTGTCATTGATTACCTCACAAGGAGCGCTGTGAACATCTGGGAACATGAGCCTGCCTGGCAAAATAGTCTTCTGCCTTCCACACCCCTCTTGAATTGAGCGTTGTCACTCTTGAAAATGTGCCCAGATCTTAGGAACCTCACAGAGGGCTTAATTAAAGGCAATGGAGAGATCACACAATCAGGACAGTATTGTTCCTCATCCACCTGCGGTTCTAGGCCTTCAAAGTCTTCATCTCATCCAATTTCTTTCTCAACTCATTTGACTTATTACAATAAAGAAACCACTCATCAGGTCAAAGAATGTAAATGTAGACAATCTGAGGTTGGAAGCTGGGTTGGAAATGATGCACCGTACTTGGTTAAATCGCTGTCACTGAATATCTGACTACCCTGTGGCACTGAGGAGCCAATGGGAGAAGTAGAAAATGTTCTAATCCTCCAGTCTATAAGACTGTGATATAAGTTCCTAAATGCTTTTACTACGGAGTGCTTAGTCTGAAAAGAATAAGTAGTCCCCAGGTTGTCTCATAATAGCAAGAAGTCCATTTAGATGGGTGTTCTGTTACTTCCCATTAAAAGCTCTCTAATAGGAGCTTAAACAATAAGGTAACTTAGTGTTTTCTGAATAAAAGTCCTGAGGCAGGCTGCCCTGAGATGGGTTCAGTGGTCCAATTCTGTCAGGCATTTTTTCCCTTGGTCCCACTCTGTTGTTTTTGTACTGAGTCTTTTTGCCTCATTTTTGCAAGATGGCTGCTACGTATCTGGACATCACGTTCTTATACACTCATGTTCAAAGGCCAAAGGCAGGTGGTTCCTTCTTTTCTTTGTTTACTGGGGAGACAAAATTGTTTCTAGAGCCCTCAGCAGATTTCAGAATCTCATTGGCCAAAGATGGGCCTTCAAATAAGCGATTACAATGCCCAGAGGTTTACCTCTTTTCCCATCTTTAGCCTCAAGAAAAATTGAGAAAGAAAATACCTGGCATTTTTAACCTCAAAGTGTCAGGAGAAGGTACAGACTAGGGAGAAGGGAGTTGTGAATGGCTGTGGGGATCTAGCCAGCAGTGGCTGCCCTACAAGCAAATTTATTTCCTGTTTCTGTTCAAAGCTATACCAACTCCCATGTCCAGGTGGCCACACTAAAAAACCTTGGCATCATCCTAGACACATCCCTGTTACTTGCTTCCCATATCCATGTGTTATCAAATCCTGTTGGTTCTACCTTCAGAATTGCTGTGCCATCTGCTTCTGCCTTCCTAAACCATGGCACCACCTTGGGTTAGACAGTGGAATGGCTGCCAAACCACTCTCCCTGTGACCTGATTTTTCCCCACTGTGCACTCTCTCCACGTTCCCACAGAAAGTCATCCTCATGGAAGCAGCTCTGATCATGCCACACCCCTGCTAGTGTTTGTATCCCAGCTTCATGTCTTACTGCTAAACGGAAGGCTCCTTTAGAGCCAGGCCTGTATCTCAGGTGAATTTCAGTCTAGTTTAGCAGTTCCTTATCAAGGGCTGTTGACTGAATGAATAGATATATTTACCTGCTGAGCTTTACTCTAACAAAACACATCCCCCAGTTTTTCATTGAATATTGAATTAACAAAACACTTCATTTTTTTTAAGTTGTGTTCTTTTTTCCCTTGCTTATCATGAGGATCCCAAAGACTGGGGTTAATTATTAATTATCACTCTCTGCTTATCCCAAACCAAACTCAGTGGTTGGAATTTGGGATCTGTTTGATATGGTCTGAGTCTATGGCCCTAAAGCATACTTTTTTGCCCATATTTTTTATTTACTACCCTGACCTCTTGTCTTTGGCATACTTTTTATAGGGAATGTTCCTTCTATTCTCTGGGCCTCTAAACCGGAAAAGGCAGCCATCACAAGTGGTGAGCCTTGGCCATTATGTTCTGTTTCCTTCAAAGTTCAAATGAGTGACTACAACGCCCAGAGGTTTACCTCTTTTCCTGTAGAAAAGCACCGGTAGAGATACAGCCATTCACATTAGCTGAAGATAGAATGTCTTCGTTAAGAAATTGATTTTGCTCTGAATTTCATTGAACAATCTTGATTCACCTTAATCCTGTGGCTGACTCCTAGAGGGGCATCGCCTCTACCCTGCCATGGTGGGAGGGAAGCGCTCACTTGTGTGATTGAGCACCTTGCTGGACTGACCTGAGGAAGAGCCACAGAGTACAGGCATCAGATGAAATCAACAAAATAACTTTTTTGCATCTGGATAGCATTTTGTTTCAGATGCTGTTTACTAGCACTTGAACTGGAGAAACTCTTTCTTTCCAGGAAGACAGCATTTTTTATTTCCTTTACTTATCTTGCACTTTTTTTGTATGGGGGTTGGGGGAGGAGGCATCAAAAGCAAAAACATACTCAGTTCTTGCACTAACCCTTATTCTCTTGTCTTCATTTTCAGTGTGACAGTGACAGTGACCAGGAAGAGAAGGTAAGACCCCCCCTCCCCCATTGTGGGCACAGCACATAACACACTGAACACCAGAGTCCTCCCACACACAGCTGCAGGGTAGGATGCCAGCTTCATGTTGACAGGACCTTTTCTCTTTAGGAAAGATGGGCATTATTCACACAGTGACATTTCCTATGCTATGACACGTTTAATTTGTCAGATCTACCTTTTTTTCATTTAAACAAGACCTTTAATATTGCATATATGTGACACTGAGTTTTTACTTTATGGAAGATGACTCATAGACTCAAAAACATTTTAAAAGACAAAATTATTTATTTTAATAACCATCTGATTTTTAAAAATCCATGATGAGAACGTTAAACTTGCTAGTTTGTGTTTATAATGTCATTTCTGCATTTATTTTACTGACCCATATGCTTTTCTGTACCTATTGGCCTTCTTGATAGAAATGTTAATGGTCTGTGTCTAGGAATCTCATCATGGGGTACGGGTGGGCAAGGGAGGTCAGATGGGAACTGCCCTCTTCCCATCCGGGCGGACCGCCAGGTAGGAGGACAGTTCTTCCAGCAGGTACATGCTCTGTTTCGAGGCTCATGGGCACCAGCCTCTGTGTATCCAGATCAACATGGATCAAGAAAAGGAACTCAGTTTCTGAGGTTCCAGAAGATTGGATCACAACTCGGTAAAGTGAGCTTTCTGCTGCCTGAAGCAAAGGGATTATTTGTCTGTTTGGTCTTTCTTTCTAGCCGTTCCAATCCCCAACCAAAGTTCCTTCCATTTTTACTGCTGCTTTATGTTATTTTGAAAAGAGTTACCTGAATATCACGGTTTCTGTATTGCTTGGTATCAAAAGGATGGACTCGGCCTCCCTTCCCCCGTTTCTGGATCTGTCCTGTGCCCTGTGCTTTGACTTTCACCTCCTACATGCTTGCGGATTTTATTCAGAATGCTGCAGTTAGTATTTAGTGGGATCTTTCCAACAAACCCAGAATTTTTCTCTCCTTCTCTGCTGCCAGCCTCCAAGAGAGATCTAAAGGCTCTTGTTCTGTACTGTCGTTAATTTGAATTCAGCATATGTAGCCTGTTATAAAATGCGAGACATCATCATTTGAGCAGGTCAAGCATATTCAGATGAAGACAAATGGTGCTTATTTGATTTCCTTAAAATCAGGAAATGAAAAAAATGCTCTCTGGAGAAATCATGTTCTGCCTGACTTGGATGATAGACCAATGCATGTCCCCCAGATAAGAACAGGCTCTCGCCTTGAGGTTTTTATCTCTGAAGGACGGCCAGGACTGTCAGCTTGCTGACATGTGCATTATCCATGTCATTTTAAACAAAGTGACCTATGGAAGGGTACGCTGTGCTGTGACATGGTAATGGGCTGTTGGATGACAGTGAAAGTACACACTGGAAAGGGGGCTGTGGATTATTCTTTTGTTTAACTGACAAGTAGGAGCTGCCTTTCTCCAGCCCCCAGGAGCCTTAGCTCCTTGGAAGTAGGACTCCTGGTGTCTCAGGCAGCCAGTGTGTAGTGGGTGCCAGGGACATGTGCACAGCAGTAATGGTTAGTGTTCAAGACACGGTCATTGGCCCCCAAACCCCCGAGGCCACATTCCCACATGGTGGGCATCACTGGTACCCAGGGAGGGACTGGTACCTTCTGGCCATTCCAGATCTATCAGCAATGGTTGATCTCACTTTCTAAGTCTGTGCCACTTTTCCAAAAGGATAAATCTTATTCAGGGTCGTACAACCAAGCTGACATTCTTTCCTTAAAAGGAAATGTGGGGCCAGGCGCAGTGGCTCACGCTTGTGATCCCAGCACTTTGGGAGGCCGAGGTGGGTGGATCACGAGGTCAGGAGATTGAGACCATCCTGGCTAACACTGTGAAACCCCGTCTCAACTAAAAATACAAAAAATTAGCTGGGCATTGTGGCGGGCGCCTGTAGTTCCAGCTACTCGGGAGGCTGAGGCAGGAGAATAGCTTGAACCTGGGAGGCGGAGGTTGCAGTGAGCAGAGATCGCACCACTGTACTCCAGCCTGGGTGACAGAGTGAGATTCCATCAAAAAAAAAAAAAAAAAAAAGGAAATGTGAATTCCAAAACCATCACCAGTCTTCAGCAGTGGTAGAAGGTGGTAAGGATGCCCGGTTTTGTGTTCCTTGTAAATGTCTTCACCAGTGGCCTCAACCTTGACACCCAAATCACCTAGGGAGCTGCTACAAGTTCCAGTGCCTGGGCCTCATCCCAGGTCAATGACCTTGGAGCCTTTGGGGCTGTCTTGAACCATGGGTCTTGATGATCACCTAACTCTGGTAATTTCTAGGAGTAATCTGCCTCTGGTTGTCAGAGGGATCTGGGGGCCAATACTGAGAGCACCCCACCAGGTCCTTTCCCATCACCTGAATTCCTGAGTAGTTATTGCCTGGGTTTCCATCTCTAAGTGCAAGAAGTAAAGTGTCGGAATAATGGGTATTGGGAAGGTAGCTCCCACCTACCACTCTGAGCTTGAGTAGATTTCAGGGTAATAAAGCGGATACATAGTTGTTTATAGGCGAGTCCAAGAGTGGCAATGGCAAGAAGGGAAGGGGTATTAGGAGTGTTCCTCAGATTCATGGCGCACCTCCTGCCCTGCACCCCCAGCCATTCTTCCTTTCTACTGTGGTGATCCTGCAGGTCTTAAGTGGGAGCCACACCATAACCAGTGTTGACATCATCTGCCTCTGTTCTGCCCCATGCCATTTCTCCAGGGGGCTCCCAACAGGAGCCATTGAGACTCTAATTGCCCTCGCACCTGCTTGGCCCTGTTGCAGTTAAGACTGTTAGGCTTCCCCTTTTGGACTGAGATTGTCTGGTGTTTATCGCCAACTTTAACACCATCCTCCAAGACTTCTGCTCTGTCGGAGCCTGGGTCCCTGTCAGCCTCCTCTGTGAAGAAACCTCTTGCCTGTGCCCCCCTCGAAGCCCCAGAGCTAACCAGGGCTGCTTTCATGTGTTGCTTGGAGGATTCGCATTCGAATCTGAATTGCTAATGGTGGAAAAGATGCCACTCAGTGTCCTGGGATACCTTCAGCAAGCCCCACCAGGGATGCTGTTGGAGGCAAAAGTGAAACTTGTCAGGGACCCACTGGGATTTCTCTCTGGAAGACCTGCCATTCTCTTACTCCATAGGGATCTGCAGAACCGGCAGGCTAAAATTAGGGTACTGTGTTTCACACAGCTGACTGAATTAAGATAAACTCTGCTTTCCTCTGATATGAAGCTGTAATTTATAAAATGATACCCTTACTAATTAACGTGGAAGTGACTCCGAAAGGGGCTAAAAAAGCAGAGCTTTCCCTAAATGCAGGAGACACACTTGTGCACAAAAAGGCTTTGATGAGACACTGAGCAAAGTATCTCCCTTATCCTCCCCTCCCAGCCACGTGAATACATTGCACATTAATGTCAGATAACCACAAGGACGTTCATGAAGAGTAGAAATTGGGCTGGGTGCGGTGGCTGATGCCTGTAATCCCAACACTTTGGGAGGCCAAGGCGGGGAGATGACAAGATCAGGAGTTGGAGACCAGCCTGACCAACATAGTGAAACCCCGTCTCTACTAAAAATACAAAAAATTAGCCGGGCGTGGTAGCACGTGCCTGTAGTCGCAGCTACTCGGGAGGCTGAGGCAGGGGAATTGCTTGAACCCGGGAGGCGGAAGTTGCAGTGAGCCGAGATCGCACCATTGCACTCCAGCCTGGGCGACAGGGCGAGACTCCATCTCAAAAAAAAAAAAAAAAAAAAAAAGATAGAAATTGGGTGGGGAATTACAGAAGGCTGTGAACACTGCATCTTAGATGTGGGATTGTTCTTCACTGTAGTGAGAGCTAAGAAAAGAGGCAGCACTTGGCACCCTTAATCACCCAAATTAAGCAATTATTCTGATCCCCCATTCGAAATGAATTGGTATCATGAGAACAAAGAGGCAACATGCAATTGCCAAATATTTGGCCTATATTTTATTGTTTCCTTTCTTTCTCCAGTACTGGCAGCAGCCCATGATGCTAAGAAATATCCCGTTTGGTTATGAAGTTAATGTGGAGATTAAAAGTCATTCCCTGTTCTACCCACACCCTTTTTCTTGTGTATAGCATGTGACTGAGCTGATTGGAAGGCATATAGCCCAGTGGCCAAGCACTTGGGCCTCAGTGTGATGGCTGACACATGTTTCTGACTCTGTCCATTTCTATTTTGTTGTGGACAAGCCTTGGCTTTCTCAGCTGTCAAATGGGGGTGACAACAGCTCTACATATAGTCCTGTAGCAATTAAATGAAAGCATTTAGGGCCAGGCATGGTGGCTTATGGCGGTAATCCCAGCACTTAGGGAGGCCAAGGCAGGACAAAGTGGGCTCTTGTCTTTGAGCCCTAGAGTTTGAGACCAGCCTGGGCAACATAGTGAGGCCCTGTCTCTAAAAAAAAAAAAAAAAAAAAAAATCTTAAAACTTAACCAGGCATGGTGGCATGTGCCTATAGTCCCAGCTAGTCAGGAGGCTGAGGCAGGATGATTGCTTGAGCCTAGGAGTTTCAAGACTGCAGTGAGCTAAGATCATGCCACTACACTGCACTCCAGCCTGAGTGACAGAGTGAGACCCTGTCTCTAAAAAAATAAAAATATATGAAGGCATCTGGCTCAGTGCCTGGTCCATAGTAACTGCTCAATAAATGTTAGCTTTTGTTCATTTTACTTGAGATAAAATGAGAGAGGACGCTTGAAAAAAGAGGAAGACTAGCATCCTCTTTGGAAAGCTGGGGTTCTTCTAGAGAACCTGCTAGAGGGTTTCCCCAGAATCTGAGGCTCAGCCTTTATCCCAAGGGCCCTTCTCCTGGACACAGGCTGAATGGAAGTGTTAAATTTTGAAGGGTTCTGAAACAGTGTCTTTTTAAACCCCTTATCCAAACATCAGGCCTTCCTCTGAGCAGAACCTGGAGCCAAGAGCACGTGTACTGTCCTGGAGGGATCAAATGGTGATTAAGTGAATTGTATAGCTCTTGTCCCTTCAGCAACTGTTCCCAAATGCCAAACACTGTCGGTTCCCAGAAACCCATCACAGGAGAGATGTTCTGGGGTAGGGCCAGAGCATCTGTATTTTTTAAAAAGCTTCCTAGGTAATTTTGGTACACAACTGGTTTTGAGAACTACTGCCTTATAGTAAATGTCAAAGGGAAACATGATTTTTCCCCGTGTTTAATGCTCTTGAAATTTTGACTGCTTAGGAGAAAAACTTGAAAGTTGTGGAGATGTTGCCTGTGTGTGCAGACATGTGCCACCCATGCTTATGTCTGTAGATACCGGGCATAAGTATACATGCAGTACACACATACACAATCTCACAGAAATGAATCCTTCTCCTTTTCCTATCAATCTTTTAACATGACTCCTGATTGCAGTTTTTTCTCTCTGTGCTGTTAGCAGTAGGAACAACCACCTGGAGAAGGTGTTTGTGCTCCTGGGCTTTGCTTTGGTACTGTGTCCTGTACCCAGGACAGCCTACTGGCACAATGGCTAACTGCAAATGCAGTACTACCGATTTTTCACACCTGCTTTCCCTCTTTCCACACACTTTTTGGTGCATTCCCTTTTTTGTTTAGAGACAGGGTCTCGCTCTGTTGCCCAGGCTGGAGTACAATGGCATAATCTTAGCTCACTACAGCCTCGAACTCCTGGACTCAAGCAGTCCTCCCACCTCAGCCTCCCAAGTAGCTGGGACTACAGGTGTGTACCACCATACTCAGATAACTTAAATTTTATTCTGTAGAGATGGAGTCTCACTATGTTGCCCACACTGGTCTCAAACTCTTGGCCTCAAGTGATCCTCCTGCCTTGGCCTCCCAAAGCACTGATATTACAGGCATGAGCAACCATGCCTGGTGTTCATTTTTAAATTCATGCTAAAAGTTGTTGTGTTTGATCATTTTATGTTCACTTGTGTGGGAAGGGGCTTCTAAGAAAAGGAGCAAAGAAAACCAGCAAAGTCTTATGTTCCTAACTCAACACAAACCACATGCCTAACTTGGCTCGTGCAGGAGTCAGAAACTGCTGAGATGTCAAACTGAAGACTGGGCATGTGGTTTGTGCTTACAGTGGAAGAGTCCCATCCCTTGGTTGGCCATGTTTCACACTCGGTAAGGTTTGTGCACCCTCAGCAACATTCCAGAAGCTCAGAAGGCCCTCATTGTTGCTTGTGGAACCCCCAGCCTTAGTTTTCAAATAGGATATATTTTGGTCAGGAGACAGTTTGGAGGTACTGTCCTATTTTGTAGCTAGAAAGGAATATCTCCACCTTTCCAGATTTCATAGCAGCAAAGCAGACAGCCATCACCCAGGGAAAGAGAATGGATCCATGTTCTTGTCTTTATATCCCTAATACTTTGCACAGTGCTTGATATGAATTAGGTGCTCAGTGTTTTGCAAAATTTGCATTTTCTTTCCTGGATACTCATCTCCAAACGGAGGGGATAAGTGAACCAAGTTCAGAAGACTCATACTCAAACCTGATTGCACCTCATACAGTCGCAATGTCTACTTCCTGGACCCCCAAAATGTGTGATCTCTTCCTCAGGCTTCTATATTTCATCTACAGTTTTCTCATACAATATATCTAAGCCATTTATAAGTTTCCTAACTTATAAATAGACAATTTCTTATGGTTCTTGGCTGAGTCTCAGGAGATTTTTAATTTATTTTTGTTTTTTGAAATGGAGTCTCGCTCTGTCACCCAGGCAGAAGTGCAGTGGCGCAGTCTCGGTTCACTGAACCCTCCCACTCCTTGATTCAAGTGATTCTCCTGCCTCAGCCTCCCGAGTAGCTGGGATTACAGGCACCCACCATGCCTGGCTAATTTTTGTATTTTTAGTAGAGACAGGGTTTCACCATGTTGGCCAGGCTGATCTTGAACTCCTGACCTCAGGTGACCGGCCCATATTGGCCTCCCAAAGTGTTGGGATGACAGTCATGAGCCACCGCACCTGGCCTAAGAGCTTTTTATTTTGGATGCGTGATTTCCGTGATGCCCATCTACTCAACCTCTTCTTACCCCTTCAGGATTTTGTCTGGGTTAAAATGACATTTTATTGTTCTTCCAAAATCATCATATTTCCAATTGGCTTAATTACATTGCATACATCCCAAATACACATTGATACTATCCTTGGATTAAATTTCTATGGTAAATTATTTTAAATTCAGAATCTCATTATCTTTTTCATATGATAACATTTTCAGGCAAAACCAAAAATTACTTCACTTATACTGAACATGTATGTACAATAATCTGTTCATTACTACCATGTCATGCACCTGAAAAAGAAGTTATAAATGTACAGATTTTCAATTAAATATAGGTAAGTCAACAGAATAAATACTTGTTATTGGAAATATGTCAGGCATTTTCAGCTAAGGTTTTGTTTCTTGAAATAAACAGTGAGAAGAAAGAACAGGTTCTAGATGTTCTATTGCTCGCAATAGGTGGGTGGTGGAGAAGGGCACTCAGAAGACCCAATTCCTGATTTCTCACTCACCAGCTGTATGGCCTTGGGCAAGTTACCTAATGGTGCCTAGCATTAGTTTTGTCATCTGGAAAATGAGGCAGTATTCAATGATCCAACATTGACTATCCAGATTTTCCAAATAGCTATTTACCTAGGCCCCAACAGCATGGCAGAACCCAGAGGGAAATTAATATGTGATTGTATCTTCCCTTTGCCAATGTGGAAAGAGGATTATATAAGAATTGTCTCCATTCTTTCGTCTCTCTCAGTCTTCCAAGAGAGAATAAACATATAGGGGACATACTCGGGTATATGTGTGTGTACTCTCAAGCAACTGAAGGAAACTTACATACAGACCTGATGTCTAAACAGGGTCCTTATCTGTTTGTTGGTTCAGTCTTTCAGTCATACATATCCACTCATTTTTTCACAAGTGTCTACTGATGAACTGACATGAGAATTATAGTTGCTTAACTCTGATGGAACTGTCACCATGTACCTGTGAGTAAGTAGCAGAGCAGTTCATTTAATCTGTGTTCCTCAACTACTGTAAGTATTTAGGAAAGCATGGGGACTAGGTGGAGAGCTAGCTTACGGAATGTGTTTCAAGAACTCACTTGTTTGGTAATGACCATTACTTGATCTATAAAAGGAATTGTTCCAGAAACATCAAGGTTGAGTGCATGATTCTGTGTTCCCACAGAAAAGTTCCTGCTGCTTCCCCTTGGGTGAATGAGCCATCGCCTTGGGTGTCATGGCTTACCTGAAGGGAAAGTTGTAAAGCCAAGGAGGAGGCTGGGGGAGGTGATGGCTATCAGCCCCATGAAATTGACCATGAGCCCTGAGCCACCTGAATACCAGGAGGGTCATGAGCAGAGGCATTTGTACAGGTGATGTCTTGAACAACATGCTTCATGTTAGTGGCCTCTGATAGAGTGTAACCTGGGAGGCTCTTTGGTTGTCAGAGAATTTGTCTTATACTGTATTAGGGTTGCAGAGTGTTCTGTCTTCAATGAAGATAGAACTTTTTGGTCATGTACGTGTGTGTGTGTGTGTGTGTGTGTGTGTGTGAGAGAGAGAGAGAGAGAGAAAGAGTTAATCCCCCTTGACAACTCCTGGATGGCAAGATAGTTACAGATAAATGCTCCTCAGAACTGTGCCATTCTAGTGTGACAAATATAATCAAATATCTATATTAGGATGTGTTAATAATTATCTAAACTTTATACTTTAAGAAGTCCCCAGATTCAACAAATGAATGGACTTCTGTTTTCTTTTTTAATTAAAGTTACAGCTGGGAAGGTCAAATTGGTTCTCTTTTATACAGGTTAGAGATTTTCCCTATCAGTTTCCATGAGGAGCATGTTGAGAAGTTCTAGCTGTAGACCTGCATGACCTCTTCAGGTACCCGAAGAATAACCCAAAGAAAGCTGGAAGCAGCTTTCTCCCTTGTTGTTCTAAACCAGGCTTGACTCATATACTTACGGAGACAGCCGAATGGGGTCTTTGAAATAAGGAAAGACCAGTAAGCCCTGTGGTGGGTGGTTGTAGTACTCAAGGAGCCCAGTTTGGGCTTCATCTTTTCTTTCTAGTGCTCTTAGTGGTTTTTGAAGTTCCTAATTTCCTGGTCTAAAAATATAGATGCTACTAATGTCTTCGGTCAGTGAAAAACTAAGATTAGGGTCAATAATAGCAACTAAATAGTAATAATAAGCACCACTTCACATGAAAGAGAACATTGCATTATTCAAAACACTTTTAAAAACATCATTTTATAAGATCTGTTTAAGTATTTATTGTAGGGATCTATATATTCTCACATACACCATCGTTGACCATGTGCCAAACTCTCTGTTAGGGCTTTTCAAGGCTTTATCTTCTCAAGCAGGTGTCATTGTTTTACAAATAAGAAAAATGAGGCATAAGTGATGGAGCTGAGATATAAGTTGTGTCTTAGGATTCCAGAATCTGGGCCCTCTTCCCATGCCGTGCTGCTTCCCCGTACGTCAGTGTGAGTTGGGATAAGCCTAGCAGTGCCATTCAGGAGCTCATGCTGTCATCCCCTCTGTGTCTCACCTACTTGTGCTGCAAGAGACCTGGATCCTGTTTATCTATCCACCCTCACCCCCACCCAAACAATTGCACTAACTCCTAAAAATTCAAACATGGCGGTTTCTCAAGAAACATGGAACGAATAAAATTTGGGTCTACTAACAACTTAGATTGTACAGGCTCTTCTGAAGTGGGACTTTTTTCTTATTTTAGCCTGGAATGCAGTTATCCAAGGTGAGAAGGGAAGGGCTATATACAAGGTATATATTTTAACTCTTACAGATGGGTAGCAAAGTCAGCCCATGATTAATTAGGGATGTAGGCTACACCAGTCGGTGGACTTAGCATGAACCATATTTGGACACAGAACTCAGTCTTCCTTTAAGTGTCTGTATATGTGTAAACATTTAATATTTTATTAAATCATAGACTCCCTGAAAGCATCCCATGCCTAGCATGTACTTGACACATACGGCCCTGTAAATATTAGTGTTATACCCAGAAGTTGCTTTATTGGTTATCCAAGTCTCATAAAGGAGAAGGGCCTTGCCTCTGTCACTCAGAAAGCACAGGAAGAGCAGGGCTGGAGCAGAGGAATTTCTTCTGAGCTTCCAGTCCAGAGCCTCATGAACCCCATATGGTCCCTGCAGACCATTTTCTTCCTACGACCCCACACAGGAGAAGGGGCCATGGTTCCATGGTGGCTCCTGCACTGCACCCTCTAAGGTAGTTTTGTTCTGAGTTATAATTCGCCCCCTCAAGAACCCTCTTGTCCATCCCCAGACACTGATTCTCACCCTGACAGAGGTCTGGGTCCATCAGGGCCACAGGGCCTTTTCTTTTTTAACAGCAAATGCTGCGTGGGCTGTTCCTGCAGCCCAAATGATAGTAAATACCTGAAGCAGCCATGTCCATGTTAAAGATTATGTATTTGCCACTAAGGGGAGAATATAGTGTTTATCGGCCGGAGTGCGTGCCGGCTGAGCTGATTACGGCACAACACTCTGTCAGCCAATGATTTGTCCTGTCCTTTATCATCTGTGTCACTCAGCAGTGTGCTGGCGAAGGGAACGGATCACCCCCTTCCCTTTTTTTGTACCCATTTTGTGTAGAAAATTTGTATTTACTTTGGGAGTGTAATTTGTTCCTCATGGATAATGTGACCCTGAGCGGAGCTGGATCATGGGTTAGTTGAAGTGATATTTTCCGCTAATGGTAGTCGTACATCATTGCTGTCAGCTCGGGTTAGGAGGCAAGCACATTACAGCTCCATTTTACCTCTGCAGGCATCTGGGATTATTTGCCATAACCGAGTATGACATGACCGCACTACAGAGTGCATTAAAATTTTACTGGCTTCTCAGGCAAGTTCCCCAGCTCCAGTGTGTGCTTCAGGCAGGCGGTCTGATGGGGAGTCCAAGGGCCCTGACTTCCTGCTCAGAGGTGCTGCGGGCAGTGGCCTAAGCAGGGGCTACTCTCTCCTTGCCCTGAGAAAGAAGCAGGGAAAGACTCTGTGGGGAGCCACCCAGGGGATGTTTATGTCTCTATACGTCCCGGACTGGCAAGTGACTAGCTGCCTTGTGTACATAACCAGGTGCCGCCCACAGTGGCTGCTGCCATCTGCTCTCTCTCCTTGATGACTTCAGCCCCCAGGGTGGATTAGGCAAAAACTCCTTCTCTAAGGAGAGCCCAGGGTAAGTGCAAGTCTCTGCCAAGCCTTGGGCTGATTTGTATTGTTCTTGTCTGCCTACGTTCAGACTGAAGAAAGGAGGCGTAAGTCCTCATTATGGCAGAACCCACGTCCAGCCATGTAGCTGGACTGAGCCTGATAGAGTCTCATCAACCCAGTTAGAAATGTTTGCCAAGGTGTTTTACACATTATCTTATACAGTCCTCACACCAACCCAATGGAGTGTAGGCGTGATTACCTCCATTCTACTTATAAGGAAACTGAGGTTCAAAGGTTCTGTAACTTACATTATACAGCTAATGGTAGCAGAAATAGCCTTCTGACTTCAAATTCTATATGGTTTCTAGTGTTCAGTGCTACAGAGAGATAAAGAAGTAACTATTGTTTAAATAGTGCTTAGATGTGCTATACATATGTTGACTTGTTTAGTCTTCAGTACAATCCTAATAGGTAGGTGCTAATATTATCCCCCATTTACAGAGGTGGGAACTGAATCACAGAGGTATTACCGAACATGCCCAGTCTTGCTCCTGGTTAATGGCAGAGGCAGGTTTCAAACCCAGGTCAGTGTGGCAGTGCTCTTAGCCGCTAAGCTGGACTCTCCCACATGCCACATTCCAATAAGCCTGAGAGCTGATAGGAAAAGACCAGTGAAAACTGTAATACGTTGGAATACAAGGAAATGTTCAAAGAGTATTTTATCACTTTCTGTTGTAACTCTAACATCCAACAAAATATCACTCAAAGAAGATGTTTTGTGATGAGCTTTAATTAATTAATAAGTCCCATTTGCAGTTAGCACATTACTTGCATGCAAATGATGCTTCTAAGGTGCTTGAAAGGTATTTATTTTGATAGGTTAAGACTAAGCAGTCACTCTGGCAAATGCTTTATTCTTTTATATTCTTATTGGAAAGGCTGTAATAAACTTATGTTGAATCATGTTCTTTAAAAGGACAATTTAAGGTTGTCTCCCAGTAATTAGTGGGATATGGATGAGGGCCCATAGGCTGCCATATAGAATAAAATGACTGCAGATTCCATATTGGTGGATTCCGAATGCTGGACACTTGAATGTACTCTCGTGCCTACAGTGTGGACATGACTTTTTGTTCTGACACGGAAATACCCCTTTTTACCTCTCTAGCCGCCTCATCGCTTTCTATTCCAAGCTTGAAATGTTACCCCTCCTGGACAGAATGGACAAGCCATTCTTACCATCACCTGTGTACATGATAGGGTTGTAATTCATGAATTTATTCAATAAGCCAGACATAAAGTGAGTTGTACCTTCAGGGCAGTTTTTTAAATGCTGCAACAGAAGAGCCATAGATAAGCATGGCTTTTCTCACTGAGAAATTTAAAATTAAGTTAGCACACTAAGAATTGTCCTCCCTGCCCCCGCTCCCCTCCTTGGGCTCACAAGCACACACATTGATCTTCCCTGCTAGATTACCATAGGTCCAGGGGATTGACCTTAGTTTCTCCTCTAGCCTTAGATCCAATCACTCAAGTAGTAAAGAATAAGAACAAAAGTATTGATCCAGTCATGGAACAGTAATTATTTCTCTCAGATGGTCGTTTAGAATGCAGCAATAATTTTAAATAATGTATTCCTCAGAGACAGCATGACAACATATGTGGATTATTTAGTTGGTGCGTTTAAGTAAGTTACACTTGCACCCTCACCCCTTTACTGGACGTCCAATGCTGTGCAAGGAGGCCTACTTTAAGAAGAGTAGACATTGAGAAAAATCAGAGTTTACCCAACAAATCAATTACCAAGCAATTGTTCATTATAAAGGGGCTTATCCATTTTCTGTAGCTGGACAAAATAATGGACCTCCACATGCTCACATGCTTACAGTGCAACTCCACCCTTCCGTATGAAGAGACTTCATGAAGTCATTGGATCCTTTTGAAACTCTTAAGTTGTAACAGCTTTGACTGTGTTTATGTTAATAGAGTTACCTTTTAAAGACTCTTTTTGTTTCAAATAACATACATTAAACTAACAAATAATGAAATGTTTAGGCTTTTGGAATTTAAATGTGTTAAAATAACCAAACCATCAGAAGGGCAGAGCCAGGCAACTGGATATCAGAAACAGTGAGCAGAGGGCTAAATGCCCTCCTTGCTTTGTCTCTACTTATTTTTGCCCGTCCACTTGAATCTTGATAATTTCGGAGACTTCGTTTCTCCTTTTGGTAGAAATCATGACCCATCCACTTTTCAGTTTTAGCTACAGGCAGAGAGACTGTCTCTCCTTTTCCACTGCCATTGCTAAGATCCAAGGGAGAGATTCTGACTGGCTGAGATTAGCTCAGGAAAGGATTGTGGGTTGGTGTAACTTAAGCCAGGTGCTTACACCTGGATTGGTCAGTTATGGGTAGAGAGACGGGACCATGTTGTCCAAATGTGCTTCTCTAGAGGTGCCTCTGTACATGGTGCTGGAGTCAGTAGAGAACCCAGAAAGTTAGGAGTTGGGCCTGCAGCAGTGGGTTCTAGGAAGCAAAACCTAATCTTCCTGCCATTTGGATGAGGCACTACTTACAGGCATAAATTCTTGACAGCCATAGAAGCTGCCTGGGTCATCCAAAGTTGACACTTTATAGTGATCACAAAATCTCAAATATGGATACGTATTTACAATTATGTATAATAATTGCCTAAATATTCATAGAGTCATTTTAAGTGCTATTCACAGATTAGTTCTATCTTGCTTAAGCTATTAAAAGCCATAGAAATACACAGGATTTTGTAGAGTGAGAGTTCATGTGTACATGCACTTAGAAAAGTCCAGAATTTATTAATATTTTAAGTACACCTATAGTAGCTAATGAATTACTCCCCTGCCCCACCCAAGTATAAGACAGCCACCTTGAGAGACACAAAGATCTCAAGGAATGTCAATTAGTAAATTACATATCTAGGGTACAAAATGAAACTTCTTTGTCCAAAGGGATTGTGGTCAACCTGGAGAATCCAATTTGCATGCCATGCAGTACTACTTAAACTTCAGCAGGCAGCCTTCCTGAAGTGATGTTCCTAAGACTAGAAAATAGTAACTCACTCATAGCTTCTTTCACTCATGTTTCATTCAACAAATTTAATCCTCACTTGTATGCTAAGCCAAGCACTGTCATGGGAACTAGGGATGGGAAGAAGACAAAGACATAGAAAACCTTCAGGGAAATATGGCCTAATTGAAGGGAAAGCTGAGGTACCTAGATGAATTACAAGACCCCGTAGCGTATGCTGTTTCTGAGGAATGGCATGATGTCTGAATGCAAAAAACTGAGCCATACTCTGTAAGGGAGGAAGCAATTGAGTTAGATCTTGCTGCAGCACATGGAATAGATGTTACTAGGTAGCAAGAATGGGGTAGATCACAGGCAAAGGGGATATCATTTGCAAATAACAGAGTTAGGAAAGGCTTAGCATGTGGAGAGAAGCATGAAAACTTCTGTTTGTTTGGTCAGGGTCCATGGCAGTGTTGGGGGGAAGATGAGACTGTAAACATATGTTGGTATACACAGTTCCATAAAAACAGGCCTTGCACGGCAAGATGAGAGTTTGGACTTGATCCAGATGGAAGCCACTGGGTACCTTATGTAGGTGAATGACACATCAGAATTGACATTTTGGAGGAGGATTCAGGCAGTGGCATGAAGGATGGAGTGAAAGGGGGTGAAAGTTGTCATAATGGGGGATTTGAGAGGTGATAGAGATCTCAACCAAACTAATGTGGAAAGAAGGAGTCTGATTTTAGAGGCATTTCTGAAGTGATGATTTTGTGACCACTGGGAAGGGGGGTCAAGGGAGGAATCGTGGATGACTCAGGTTTCAAGTCAGGCTGACTGGGTCAGTATTGATGATGCCATCAATCACACAGCGAAAGTGGGGGGATGGAGAAAATAGGAGCTCAGGGAGGGGCTTTCAGGACCTTCAGCTGGATGAGGTCAGAAGAGAGTACATATTGATGATGCAGGAGTGATCCCAATTTTAGTTCAGTGTCTGGGAGACAAAACTACCTTAGTAGCAGAGATGGAGCTATAGGGGAATGAGTGGGAGGCCAGCCAGAACACTGGGATTTTGTCTGTGTCTACAGGAATAAATATACGTGGTGATGATAACCATTAAAAACAAAATAAATACTGGGGACTAGTAGAGAGGGAAGGTAGGGAGGAAGGCAAGAGTTGAATAACTATTGGGTACCATGCTCACTACCTGGGTAATGGGATCATTAGAAGCCCAAACCTCAGTATCACTCAATATACCCATGTAACAAACATACACATGTACCCCCGAATCTAAAATAAAAATTGAAATTATTTTTTAAACTACAAAATAACTGTATATTAATCGTAGCACTTGATATTTGTATAGCTTTTTTTTTTACTGTACATATCTTTATTTTTTCATTTGTGGCAAAATACACATAACATAAAATTTACCATCCTAACCATTTTTAAATGTACATTTCAGTAGTAATGGTAAGCACACTCACATGGTTGTGCAACCTATGTAGTTTTTTTATGCCACATGTGTTAAAGTACCATATATAGTTCATTTAAACCTCATAAGAAACACCCTGGATGAAAGGATGTTAAATATTTATTTTAGAAATGAGGAACTTTGAAACGGGATGAACTGAAACAAAGTCGTAATGCTTTGGTGATAATATCCCCATGCCTTCTAGGGTCAGTATTGGGGTTATACCACAGTATCCTTAGTGATGATATTTTAACATCTAACTTCCAGTGGACCAAACAGTAACTCACTTATAGCCTGAGATCCTATTGCTTTCCTTAAGGAAACTGGAATGGAATCAGCCCCACAGCATGAACTGGGCCACCCAGCAGCAGCCAGGTCGCCGCTCTGAGAGGTCTGGTTCTGAGGGGCTCTGTGGGAGTAAGACAGCATGAGGCCATATAGCTTTGGATATAGGAAACGCCTAGAAAGGTAGAGAGATATGATACCACACTTCCAGCTCTAGCAACATAGTGCTGTGTGACTGCGGCCTTGGGCAGTTTACTAATGCTTCTAAGCTTCTGCTTTTGTGTTTTTTTGTTTTTGTTGTTGTTGTTGTTTTTCCTTTTAAAAATCTAGATATAAAATACCTAGAATTATATGGCCCATAATAGTAACTACTCAGGTCAGGCACTGTGACTCACACCTGTAATCCCAGCACTTTGGGAGGCCAAGGTGTAGACCAACCTGAGTAACATGGTGAAACCCCATCTCTACAAAAAAAATAAAAATTAGTCAGATGTGGTGGCAAGTGCCTGTAGTCCCAGCTAATTGGGAGGCTGAGGGAGGAGGATTGCGTGAGCCCGGGAGGCGGAGGTTGCAGTGAGCTGAGATTGCACCACTGCACTCCAGTCTGGGCGACAGAGCAAGATCCTGTCTCAATAATACTACTATTAATAATAATAAGGATTCAGTAAATTTTACATTTCAGTCCCTTCCACCCTGTTTCCTCCTGCTGGTCCCCCACCATTGACCGACTTACCCTGCAAAAAACCATAACACACATTAGCAAGATTCATTTATTACAGCCAAATCAGCACCCCAGGATCAGGCCTTTTAGGAAATGGGATCCAAAACATAAGTGTCTTAAAGAGGTAGAAGATCAGAGGGCTTTGAAACATGGCCATGTCATCAGTCTGAAATTTAGAAAGAAGTTCCCTGTGGCAAGAGAATCCGCAGGAAATCACTAAGCTTTGGAGGCCCAGGATATACCCAGTAAAGCACAGGCGGTGGGCCCCCAAGGGAAGATGGACAGCAAAGACAGCCTTTATAATCTGAGTAGATTTCACCCATGTCCCCCTCCACCTAAGCTCTGGTTTTCCTTTAGAGGAGGCTTTTAACTTAATTCCTGTTGAATTTACTAATGTTGTGTGGTGTGAGATTTTAAGTATCTTCTCCAGCCTCCTGGGCCCCTCTCTCCTCCCCTGTCCCTTCCCCACCTCCCTATCCTGTCTTGAACTTCCAACCCCAAGAGCTCTTCTTTACACTGTTTGCTAAAATGGAGCCTCTTGTGTGATGCATACCCAGGAGGTGAAGCTTTCAGGGGTCCTAATGTGTGCTTCAGGATAAGGGCACCATGGGTCCCCTGCCTGCCAGTGTGCCCCTCAAAGAATGTGGGCTTTGGCAACATGGCATTAATTCACTGCCAATGAAACAATGATGGGAATTTTAATGATAGCGTTGCTGTCTAAAAGATGACGGGGGAGACTTCTCAGCGTCTGTGATCCAGAAAACACACTTTCTAGTAAGTATCTCTTATGGTCAGAAGTGAGAGTGAAATCTCTGTCAGTCCTTCCTAAGCATTACCTTGGCAAGCGCTACAGAGCAATGTAACATAGGATGTGTTCAGTTTAAGTAACAGAATGCCTGATAGTGGCTTTGTCCGTGTATTAGTTTCCTGTGGCTGTTCTAATGAATTATCACAAACTTGGCGGCTTAAAACAGTAGAAATGTATCTTCTTGGCATGCTGGATGCTAGAAGTTAAGCATCAGTTTCACTGGGCCAAAATCAAGGCATCAGCAGGGCCACATTCCTCCCAGACGCTCTAAAGGAGAATTGTTCCTTGCCTTGTCCAGCTTCTGGTTGCCACCAGCATTCCTTGGCTCTGGCAGCATCATTCTCATCTCTGCCTCTGTCTTCATGTGGCCTTTTCCTCTTTCGTGTGTCTCATCTCCGCCTGCCTCTCTCCTATAAGGACACTCGTGGTGGCATTTAGGGCCTATCCAGATAATCCAAGAAAATCTCACTTCGGGATTCTTAATTAGTCCTATCTGCAAAGATACTTTTTCCTTGTAAGGTAACATTTGCGGGCCTTACAAAACACATTCAAGGCAGACAAGGAGACAGGCGGTCATGTGTCCTGTATGTCCCCTTGGCTAGAAGAGTCCATTCCTAAGTGTGAGAGAGAAAGGAAAAGCAAAGATCTGGCAAAGAGGGGCAAGGATTTCCATGACCCATCATGATTGTCCCCTGTGGGTTGGCGTTGTGCTGTCTTCTGTTAGCAAGAAAGAGGCGGAGGACATAGTTTGTGGGTGGTCGAAGAACTATGACTGCCACCAAGGATGCGGGCTTCCACACCCCCAGTGTGTCAGACAAAAAGATCTGAATGGGGGTCTCTCTTTTTTTGGGGAAGGTAACGCTGTTTTTTAACGCTATTAAAAATCTAGATATAAAGGCCAGGTGTGGTGTCTCACGCCTGTAATCCCAACACTTTGGGAGGCCGAGGCGGGTGGATCACCTGAGGTCAGGAGTTCGAGACCAGCCTGGCCAACATGGTGAAACCCCGTCTCTACTAAAAATACAAAAAAATTAGCTGGACGTGGTGGCAGGCACCTGTAATCCCAGCTACTCTGGAGGCTCAGGCAGGAGAATCGCTTGAACCCAGGAGGCAGAGGTTGCAGTAAGCCGAGATCACGCCATTGCACTCCACCCTGGGTAACAAGAGTGAAACAAAAAACTCCATCTCAAAAACAAAAAATAAAAATTTATATATAAAATACCTAGAATGATGTGGCCCGTAATAGTAACTACTCGGGCCGGGCACGGTGACTCACACCTGTAATCCCAGCACTTTGCGACTGAGCGTTTCCCTGCTCAGTCACACTGATAAACCACCATCGCCTTTGAGTTTCTAACTCTGCCTATCTCTGGAATCCACTGAGGAGGAAAGTGGGCTTAAGGTTTGGTCTTGGATTCTGAAGGTGCAGACCTCATCACCACCTGCTGCTGTGCAAAGCACACTACTGGACCTCTCTAGAACCTCAGCAAGAATTCATACCTCCCAAGGCTGTGGCAAAGATGAAATGCAGGCCTCGGGAGTGCTTTGAGCTCTAGACCATTCCACGAGCTGCTGTTCCTGTTGTCACTGGACAGTAGGGCCCACTGCTGCTTCATAGCCTAAAGCCAGGTGGAGGGAGTCCAGTACCCTTGTTGATTCTTTGCTTCCCTTTCCCTTGTCAGCCACACCCACCACACAGACTTCCACATACCCATGTGTTGTTGTTGTTTGTTTGTTTATGTTCGTTTGCCAGTTCTGACTTAGGAGCAAGCCTTTGGTGCTGAAGTTGGTACTGTTCTCACTCCTGAATGTAATGCCCATAATGGATGGAGAATGTCAGGGGAATTGTGGGTAATAGTAAGATTACTGTCATATTCCCAAACCCTGGGGTGGGTGGGAAGAAGCCCCTAACCATGCAGCTTTATTTCCACTGTGCTTGTGGTGGGGCCTGGACCACCTTATTCCTGGTGGCCTTCATCTTGGGTGCTACAGGTGGCAATGGCAAGGACTGAAGTGGGGAGAGTGAAGATGCCCGCAGCATCTGTGCCTGGCCCTGGCTCATTCGTCTGATTGGATTGTTAGCAAGCCAAATATGACCTGGCCTGCAGGGTACAAGAAGACATGGAATACCTGGTAGGCAGCTAGATAGGAACGCGGGACTTCCCAGCAGCTGAGCGTGGAGAGGTGGTTCCCTACCTGGCTACACATCACAGTCACTCAGAGTGCTGTGCTCAGAGAGGCACTTTGGCAATACCCTGGACATTCCGATTCAGAAGTTTCTTAGGCAGGTGTGGTGGCTCATGCCTGTAGTTTCAGCTACTTCAAGAGGCCAAGGTGGGAGGATCACTTGAGGCCAGGAGTTCAAGGCTGCAGTGAGCTGTGATCATGCCACTGCACTTCAGCCTGGGTGACAGAGTGAGACTCTGTCGCTACAATTAAAAAAAAGAAGTTTCCAGGTGAGGTACAGGAATCTATATTTCTAAAAGCAACCCTGGGACTACTGATGCATAGCCTGCCTGGCAAATACACAGTTTTTAGGAGAAAACCATGAGCTTTGGGGTCAGGGAAACCTGTTTTTGGTAACAGCTGTGCTACTTACTAGCCATGTGAGCTTTGTCAGTCACCTACCGGCCTCTAAACTTCAGTATCCTCAGCTTTAAAGCTAGTGTGGTACTAATACCTGCCTCACAGGATTGCTGTGAGGATGTAATAAGATGTTTATGCACAGGTTATATGTATGCACATCATGGTGCTTTAAAAACCCTCAACTTCCCCCTAACCCAGCACGGAAGTTCAAGGGCAGACTGGCCCACTGGCTTTGGCTCTGGTGCCCCCAGCCACTTCCCACCAACTCCATCCATGTAAGATTTACATAGCCATGGCCAAATTGTTACTGCAATTAACAATCACACCTAAAAGCTTTTACTTTTACTTTTACTTTACTTAAAGGGAACTCTTAAAGAGTGTTTACTTCATATCATTAGCAAATCATTGTTAATTCTTGTGATACTCACCGTAATAACATCTATCCAAATGAACATGTTTGCTCTTAATGCGAGTGTCATGTGCAATTTGGGAGAAATTCTGTTGTCATTTAGCATTAATTAATGCCCACTTACTGTAAAGTGTTCAGAGACACCAATATCAGCGAGATTTCCAGACCACATAGACAGGACAGAAGAGCTGGGAAGGGGCCAGAAGCCACTAGCAGGGCTGCACTGTGACTGAAGGCAGTGGCCCTGGGCACACTTCTCTGCTGAGGGCAGGCAGGCCAGCCTTCTGGCTGGAGGATCTAGGTGTCCACCCATAGGTGTTCAGAGCACACAACTGGGCCATCCCAGCCTGGCTCCACTCACTGTGGCTGGAAGGGGTTCTGCCTCTCCATCCCCAGCCCTTCAATCCCACACAACCACCTCTGATGACCTCTCCTCCCAGCTGCAGCCACCTTGGATGTTGATTTTTAACCTGATTTCACCTGGCTGCACATGTCAGCTGGTGGGCCCTGGAGTGTGAAGTGTGACTTGCTTGGGCCCCTGCAGCCTTGCCTCCCTGCAGCGACTTCCTGCAGTTTGACTTTGGGGCAGCGGCTGCCGGAGAAGCCTGAAAGTTGAGCTCAGGAAGTCATCTTCATCTCCACCCCCAAGCAGGTGCTTGATCAGGACTGTTTATTAATGTGTTCTATTTTCTCAAATGCGTCCTCCAAAACAGAGTGTGTGTGAGATACTACTCCTGTGCCTGGGACAGTCAGTGTGACAGTGAACAGTGCTGCTCTAGGTGTGGGGACACAGCCTTACGTTCCCTTTCTTCCAGGCAGCTCAGTGTAGTGGAAACTACAATAACTGACCGGGGCTGTGCCCACCAGCTGTGTGAGGGGGCCTCAGTTTTCCCACCTGTAAACGGGGCTCACTTTACCCACCCCGTGGAATGGTTTAATTAGGTGTGATGAAGTCCTGCATGCCACAGGTGGTGCTTAGTAGCCATCGCCTTATTAAAAATGCCAGTGATCACCGAGGATCATGATTTCCCTCCCCTTGTGTCCACACCTCAGACACGTCCTCTCTCCTTCTGGAGGGGTAGGAACAGAGGAACAGTGCCTCTCACCTGAGGAGGGAACTTCTCTGAATCCACCAGGAAACCCAGTCACAAATCACACAGAAGCAGTGTTCATTTTTTCTGTCCACAACCAATATGACTAAAGTACGGTGGAAAGACAAGTATTTTTTGTCCTGGTGAGGAAAGGTGCCTTGATATGTACTTTTTTTCTGCCTTGTGGATGGACTGCATTGGACAGAGGTGGGGGTGGTGGAGGGAGTGGAATTTACCATGGTGGTACAAATGAGTCAGTCTGCTCAATAGGGATGTGTCCCATACAGAGCCGCAGATGCCTGGTTTAAAAGACTCAGGCTGCAGTTAACTATGCTAAACTCAAATTTTACTGAGTGGAATTTAGTCTTTCTCTGATGATTAAAAGGCCCTTCAGAATCTTCTGAGCCGTTTTGTTGAACAGTGCTTTTTTGTTACTTCCTGGGTGTAGGAAATGGTGGGGAACAGAGGGTTTTGCTGGAACACCCACTGGACTTGTGTGTCCTCCTCTCGGTTTCTAAGGGCCCCTCAGGCCACACGCCTCCCATTTCCAAGAGAGTGAGAGGGGCCTAGAAAAGGCTGAACACAAAGCCCCACAACCGCCAAATTCCCTTTCAAGGGTGTTACTTAGTAAACATGAGCCCTTGAGCCCACATTCTTCCAGACTGTGTCTGCCTCAGGCCACCCCTCCTTCTAGAAGGAGCAGTGGGGGCCCTGGCAGGAGGCTGCCGGCTCAGCCTGGAGTGGCCCACAGCAATGCTCCAATTCACAGTGAAATGATTTCCTCTGCCTCGTATAATTTAACCTGCCCACATTGCTAAACTTCTATATTACACATTTCTGTCAGGATGTCAGAAGAAATGATAAGCCTCCTTGAAACAGCAACCTCTATTACATGCTAAGAGCATTGCGCCTGGCTCCCCCCAGCTCTGGTCCTTCTGGTATGTTTCTGAGATTTTTAGCATGGTCTCTCAAGTATAAAGAATACCCTACTTCATGACCCCAGCCTCTTGTTAGCTGATAGATGAAATCTTTTCTAAAGCTGACTCTCTTGTCTATTATGTTTTCAAAATTCAAGGTTTTAGATTCTTGGATGGCTGCCAAGTGGCCGGGCTTTCTTAGTAGGTGAATTGCTCCTCTCTTTTTTTGATCCTTAAACAGGAAGTAGTTGTTTTTTAGGGTGGAGGGAAGCGGGAGGCATGTTCCACCTCCCTTCTCCCTTTGTTGATGTTTCCAGGCAATTGGTGGGGAATTTTTTCAGGAATTTCTCCTCGGGGACCATACTTTAGGAATAAACCCAAACACGGAAAAGCCATTTCCTTGTCTGGTGGGAGCTTGTGTTTTCTCGCTAGATTGTGTCACCCAGAATTTGTTGTGGAGCTTCTTGACAATTGTGCTGTGCACGTGACTGCAGCATGGACCACTGAGGGGGAATAGCACCAAGCTGCTCCATCCACACGGGAGACACTTGCGAGATCTCAGGGCCATGGACAGTGCAGCTGCCTGTCGCTCCCTGCAACTTACTCCCGACCCGGGCCTCCTCAGAGACAGCCACAATGCAGACAGTCCACACATAGGATGGCTCAGGACTCTCTTCATTATTAGCTGTGGTTGTGTGGTTTCCCCGGGAGAGAGAACTAAGACTGAGTTTCATTTAAACCTAAAAGTGAGGAAGAACAGATGCCATATTCCTACCCTTAGTTGTTAATTTGGATTACAAACACCCATGCTTTTCTTCAGGTCATTAGTCATGTGGCTTTTTTCTTCTTTGTCTCACTAGATTCTGTGGGAACAGATTTCTTTCTGCATAGCATTTAGTGGTGGGAAAATGATGTTTGCTGACCATCCTTGAAATTGAGGCACAATGTAGTTCTTGATTAGGAAGACTCTGGAATAAGCGCCCAGGAGAAATGGAAGGTGTTTGGTTTCCAAAAGTGGTACCTTCAACTCTTTTTGTAAGCTGAGTGTGTTTCTCTCCAAAGTTCCTAGCCCATTAGTGAACTGTCATACACTTCAAGGCCAGCTCACCACTCCGATAGCTAAGCTGTCATACATAGTCCAGGGTCCGTGTGAGCCCCAGCTCTTTTAAAACTCCTGGCTGGCTGTGTCCAGAGAAGACATTCTTATCAGTTTTCTCAGTTACTTTTGGGAAACCATCTCAGAGTGTAACCTAAGTCTAAACTCAGACAAGGCACTGTGTGTTTTACAAAATACACATCCCACTCACCTGGGCTTAATTACCTGTAAAACTGAAGTAATGAAAGCAGTGCCTCAGGCTTCTTTGCAGCTCAAAGGGGATGGGCCAGGGATTGGAATGTAGACCTGGGAGCTTCCTTTGGGTGCCTCCTGGATGAACTGCACTGTAGGTTCAGTGAGACTCCTTCCGGGATAAGCCAAGGACAACAGAGCCAGACTGTGGGGCAGAGGGTCTCATGGTCCTCATGGCAAAGCCAGCCCCAGCCCTCAGTGTGCCCTCATGACTATGAGTCCAGTCTTTACAACAGGAACATAACAATTCTACAGAAGGGTGGAGGATCTAACACTGAACAAGCAAGGCCCCATGGACCAGGCCCCCAATAGACGTTACTTCATTCAGTCATCCCCACAGCCCCGGGAGGTGGAGGCATCACTTTCCATACCGTATAGAGGAGGGAACTCCCCACCAACTAGTGAAGTTTAAAACCAGCATTCCAAGCAGGGCTGCCCAGCTACCCTGCCTACTTTGTCCTGTTGCTGCATCTTCTCTCTGATTCCCCTGAAGTCTGTGCGAAGTGCCACAGGAGGTCGAAGGAGGGACCAGAAAGGTGAGGGTTTCCCGGAAGTAGTGGAAGCGGACCGTGTCCTGAGAGGTCCCCAGCCCGAGAAGGAGGCAGCCAACCTCAGCAAGGACAGCCTGGTCTTTTTTTTTTTTTTTTTTTTTTTTTTTTTGAGATGGAGTTTCGCTTGTGTCACCCAGGCTGGAGTGCAATGGCACGATCTTGGCTCACTGCAAGCTCCACTTCCCAGGTTCAAGTGATTCTCCGGCCTCAGCCTCCTGAGTAGCTGGGATTACAGGCATGTGCCACCATGCCTGGCTAATTTTTATACTTTTAGTAGAGATGGGGTTTCACCATGTTGGCCAGGCTGGTCTCGAACTCCTGACCTCAGGTGATCCACCCGCTTCAACCTCCCAAAGTGCTGGGATTACAAGCCTGAGCCACCCCACCCGCTGAGCCTGGTCTTAGAGTGGGGTCAGCTTCGGCTTCCTATTGTGAGAATCAGGCCTCTGGCACTTATCAGCCCTGAGGCCTGGCTTAATTTACTTCGAATGTCTCTGTCTCCATTTCCTGGTCTGTAAGGTATCACTGGAAGTGTTCTCAACCCTTTAGTATGCTTTAGTGTGAGAAAGCTTGTAAAAATGCCTGCATGGTGCCTTGCTGGTGCCCAGTCAGTCCTGCATTTCTCGGCTCTGCAAAATCACAGACACATGGAATGGGATGGTATGCCCCAGAAGAACTGGGGGATTGGGAGACCTGGCAGGTGTGAGCCCTGGGTTTGGGAAGGGCAGAAGGTAAGTGGTGACAGATAAGTCTAGGAAGGCATTTGGGTGTCAGGTCATAAAGGACCTTGAAAAACCAACCCCTGGGTTAGTTGAAGCTTTGGTTTAGTTTGGTTTCACGGAGGAACAGGATGATGAGATTTTTCTTTAGGGGAAGATGACGGCAGCAATAAGAGTGTTGGAAAAGTCACCCTGAACAACTTTTGTAGGTAACTTAAGGGCAGAAAAAAGGAACTCTTTATTTTTCAAGTGGCATCATGGCTATCACAGCTCATCAGTGCCTGGAACAACACCTTTAATAATGTCAATAGGAACGCTTCGAACTGCTGCAGAAATTCTGCTTCCTGAATGTTTGAACTTACCCTCCCATTTAATCTTTAAACCATCCCTTCAAGAGAGGGAGGACACAAGGGTTTTTCTCAATTATGTACCACTGTGAGCTTGGCTTAGTTACCAAAGGCTGATGATGGGCTCAGCAGTGGGATCCGAGTCCCTGCGTTCCCACCCAGGCTTCCCACCATTTTCCTCTTAGGTGCGCATCCGCTTTGAAGCTGCATTCTCTCTGAGACATGTGGTGGTAATGATAATGTTAATACTAGTAATGATCATAGTAATCGCTAACATTGAGAAAGCATTTACTTATTATATGCCAGGAATACGTTGCTAGTTTTGAATTGTTTTGTGTAATTATCATCTCCTCTTTCCAACTAAGAAAACTGAACGGTAATGAGATAAATTACCCTAGGACACATAACAAGGGTGTGGTAGGATAGAACCACACCCTTCCCAGGTGAGGAGTTGCCTGTCATTTCTCAGGGTCCTCCGTGGCACCTGGGGACAGGTGGAGGTGGGCGTGGGTTGTCAGGACATCAGGGGCCTAACTCTGACTCTGCGTCAATCAGAGAAGCTTGATTTTTATCTGTTTCATTGGCCTTTCTCAAAAGAGTTGATTTGAGAAAGTGTTTTTTAAATAGCTTTTTAAAGCGGAAAGGGGCCGTGTGCGCTGGCTAATGCCTGTAATCCCAGCATATTGGGAGGCTGAGGTAGGCAGATCACCTGAGGTCAGGAGTTTGAGACCAGCCTGGCCAACATGGTGAAACCCCATCTCTATGAGAAATACAAAAATTATCCAGGTGTGGTGGCATGCGTCTGTAGTCCCAGCTACTCAGGAGGCTGAGGCGGGAGAATCACTTGAACCTGGATGGCGGAGGTTGCAGTGAGCCGAGATTGAGTCACTGCACTCCAGCCTGGGTGATAGAGCAAGACTCCGTGTCGAAAAAACAAAAACAAAATAAAAATAATAAAATAAAGTGGATAGGGGTTGATTGGGGTTTTTCTTTTTTGGAAAAAAGCAATTAAAAAGAAGATGGATTGATAGATACATAATGAGCTGGGTAGATGGGGAGACACATGATAAAGCAAGTGTAGTACAGTGTTAATAAAGTCAGTGGTGGGTATATAGGTATTCACTCTAAAATACCACTTTTCTCTATGTTTGAAAATTTTCATAATAAAATGTTGGAGGAGAAACTAGCCAAGTAAATAATTTCTAAGGGCCCTTCCAATTTTTTAAAAAATTTTATTTCCTGCACTTCTCTCTACATCCTATAGTTGTGATCATGTACAACCATGACGTGATCATTAATCTAGATAGATCTCCTAGTCACCACTGGATGTTGCCACTAAAAAAAAATCTAGGCTGGGTGCAGTGGCTCACACCTGTAATCCCAGCACTGTGAGAGGCCAAGGTGAGTGGATCATCTGAGGTCAGGAGTTCGAGACTAGGCAGAACAATATGGTGAAACCCCCTCTCTGCTAAAAATATAAAAATTAGCCAGGTGTGGTGGCAGGTGCCTGTAGTCACAGCTACTCGGGAGGCTGAGGCAGGGAGAATTGCTTGAACCCGGGAAGCGGAGATTGCAGTGACCCGAGATTGCGCCACTGCACTCCAGCCTGGGTGACAGAGCGAGACTCCGTCTCAAAAAAAAAAAAAATCTGCTGGGGAGAACAAAGTCAATCATCACTCATTTGGTTCTCCAACTACCTGAGCCTAAATTTTGATTGGCAAGTTTGGTTGGGTTCAGATACTTTCACTAGAAAGCCGTAGGCCTGTGAGTCTCCAGATGAAAGGTGGGTTTAGATCTACACATCTCCTGTTTCAGGGCAGTGAGCTGTTTTGGACCCATCTCTAGTAGAAGTTTCTTGGAGCTCTCCAGCCACAATAAAGGTACAGTGTTCCTGTTCACTCACTTTGGCAGAGCCTTGAAAAGGAGCACAGAGACGGTCAAATAGTAAAATCTAAAAACCCGTAGAAAACCCTAGCAGAAAGTATTCTTAAAGACCCAGCTGTATTTTTCTGTTCATAAGACCCAGATAAGCATAGTCTTCCCATTTGACATTCTGACTTTAACATGAGAGGGAGTTTCATGCCCCCTTGGTAGGACATTGGAGTACTTGTTGCAGCGTGCAAGAAGTGGACTTTGTCCAGCTTATATTTAGAATAACCTTGCCAGCACATTCCAGGGAGTTGATCAAGGAGTTTTGCCAAACTGTGATAAATCAGCACATTGAGCAGCCTCTGATGGCTGATAAGCTTGGGAGTGCCAGTTAATTGACAAGAACCGCACTTGTCAATCTTTTGAGGTCATGGAAATGGATCTCTTGTCTTTCTGCCCTTCCCCAAGTCTTCACCCGCTTGCTCTTTGGTAGATTGAGCATGGCCTTGCACTGCATGGAGCACACCTCCCACCTTTGTTCTTGTGTGTTTGCTGAGTAATTAATCTCATTGTGCTAGTATGGAAATAGTCTATTAAAACATTCCGGAGGACACCATGGAGAGGGAGGAAGGAGGATGAAGACTGGCGGAGGGAGTAGTTTGCTCTGTTTAATTGGTTCTTTCACCTAATGGTAGTTTGTCAATTAAGGGGATACTTAGAGAAAGTGAAATTAATCCATGTGGGTCAAATGCAGCTATTAATTTTTAATCAAAACACAATGTTCAACAAATCTGTAGCTGTGCTTAGTACAAATGTAAGCATGCCACCAGCCTCTTCCCAAAGGATGTGGGAGCAGGCACAGGAAAGGGGGGCCTGTTAATCTAGCAAATGTTTGCCTCCTCCCACACTCCCTGTGACCCTGAGGTAAGCTCCGCAGAGCTTCGTTCTTGTCTCTTCACCATCTATTGCATTGCCTAACACATGGTAGATGCTCAGTGATATTGCTCTTCTGGAACTCTTTCCATCCCTATTATGTGCACAGCTTTGGAGTACCTCAAATAGGTTTTAGGCATAACAGCTATTCTCTAAGAGCTCCTAGCCTGCTTGAGAAAGCAGAGGAGGCAGTTATGAATGCATCCCCAAGTCACTCAGAGCAACGTACAATCAAGTACAAGAATGTGTGATAAACCGTGGCATTTGTTGAGCACTTGCTATATGCCAGATACTTTTAAGCACTTCACATAAACCAAGTTTTTTAATCTTTGCAACAACACAATAAAATAAGTACCATTTTTATCATCCTATTCATAAATAAGGTCACTGAGGCCCAGAACATTTAGGTAACTTGCCTAGGGTCTCACGGCTAGTACAATTAGTCTGCTAGAGGGTTGCATTCATTACCTAATATTATAAGACCCAGAGTTGTCCCAAGAGAGCTGGCATTGATCAGGGGTTAAGGTATGAGTTTATTTTGGAAAGTGCCAGAATAAGATGCTCCAGGTAGTTGGAATGGTAATCAGCACGGTTTTGTGGAAAAGGAGTGCATTTCTGGTTAACTGGAATATGAGGTTGGTGAGGTTGAGGTAGGTCTAGGTTAATACACTTTCAGGGTCTTGGATACCAGGATGAGAAATTTTCATGTCGGTTATTCTGGGATTTCTTTATTGTTTATGGGTTGTTTCACTTTGGAGGAGCAAGTCCCGTTCCTCTATTTCTGCACTTGGGCATTGTGCCCTCATCATTATCTCTCTTACCTCCTCTGCCTCCCTCCATCTGGCATCTTTCTTCTCATTTATGGCATCCTTAGCTCCTCCTGCTTCCCATTTTTAGAGAGAGGGAGAGAGAAGAGAAAATCAAGAAAGTACACCAGCCGGCCTACTTCTACTGACTTTCAGAGGTTGAATGAAGCTTTTCTCAGCCCTCTGCCCTCACCTCAGTTTGGTCCTGGAACTTTGAGAGGAAAAACACCAGAAGGACTTGGCCTCAGGAAGTTTTCTTCTGCCTCCCCTTACTGAGCAGAAAGCAGGTTGGAGGAACCACTTGGCTCTGTGACATTTATAGTGACATGGTTTGGAGAGGTCAGGAAGGACTGTCCCAGTGGTGTCTCTTCAGGCTGCTCACAACTGCCTGAAACCTCTCAGTAGGAGAGGTTTCTCATGATCCAGTGAAAAATCAGGCTTCAGGTGTACATAGTTTAGGATAGGCTACAGGGTATGTTAAATTCCTTCACATTGGCCAGAAGCTGGAGAAATGTGAGGACAGGTAAAATCCTTGGATATTTTCTTCTTTACTTCCAAGGTAGCTTACAACCTGGCCTCTTGAAGTCATTGGGCTGATGATAACTGGTGGAAATTTGCAGGTAATTGCCAATGACAATGAGGGAGAGAATTGGGGAATAGAGGGGCCCTATGAAGAGGATCCTCTGCCTCGTATTCCATGCAGTCCTATGGGCTGCTGCAGTAAACCTGGGAGGTCATCAGGATTACCACAAAGACTCGTGATTGGGTGGGTGTCCCTCTGGGCAGCCTAGTTTCCCTAGACATACAACACGTGTTCTTCTCCAGCAGTGCAAAGCTGAGAAGGGGCCTGAGTAATCGTTCTGGTCTTGCTCCAGGAGGCAAAGCCACAGCTGTCTGTGTACCCCCATGCAAGTGGGCAGGAGGGGTTCCAGCAAGGCTGCTTGCTGGGGGAGACAGGGTGGAGGGAGGAACAGCGACTCTGGATCATAGAGCAGAGGTCAGGGAAGCACAGTTAGGATGGAAAGTCTCGGGCAGAAGGTGGGTAGAGGTGGATAGGCAGTGTACATGGTGTTTCACCATGTCATCTTGACCAGGAACACGGTGGAGAGAACAGATATAGCTGACTCTGTGTGATCAGTGATTTTAAAATGACACTAGTGTCAGACTCTTAACCAGCAAGGGAACACATCTTGTAAATCTGGGAAAACTAGGTAGCCCAAAGGGACACCCACCCAAACAAGAGTCCTTCATGTTGAAGAAGAAGAAGCACTTCTTGATAAACAATGAAACAAGCTGATATGGAAGAAATTGTTATGTCATGGGAAGGAGGACATTTTTGGTACCTAATGATTAATATGAAATAATAATTATGTAGTGATTATATCCTTGCCTCTCAATCTAAGAATACTCAGAACATTGTCATAGTGAATTTCAGTATCTTCTATGTGAAAAGCAGCTTAGCTAGTGATATCTGTTATTCATGCATTCATTTTTTCTTTCCTTTGCCATATATTTACCAAAACCTAATCTCTGCTAGGTAGTGAATAAGGCTTTTGGGATGCGGCAACAAACAAAATGGGCATGTTCACTGCCCTTAAAATGTAAGGTGAAATACAACCTTTATAGTGTCCACTTTCCTGCGATGGTTAAGGTTTTCTTCGTGGACAAATACATGATCAATTCTATAGCTATTCCATGCACATATAAAGAAAAGTGAATAATACCTGTTCACAATCTCAAAATACCTGTTAAATAAAATGTATCAATTTTAAACATTAGTGTGAGACAAAAACATTAAGTAACAGATTGTGTGCGTGTGTGCAGGCATGTACAGTTAGTCTTGAAAAGATCAATTGGGAGTCAGTGGAGCATTTAAAGCAGGGATAGACATGATCAGATTTGTCATTTAAACGGTAACTTTGGCAGCTGTGTGGAGGACGGATTGAGGGAGGCCAGAGTGAAGATCAGCAGTGAGGAGAGACTGTTACCCAGGTGAGAGAGGATGGTGACTCAGAGTAGGCAATGTGGGGGCTGAGAGAAGAAAAGGAGCTAAATTCTTCTTGGAGATCAAATAAGCAAGATTTGGCAACTGATGGAAGAGAATGTAAAACAATTATCTACTTCCTAGGTTGGTTGTGGGAACTAAATGAGACATTATTCGCTTCATTTTACAAACAAGGAAATAGAGACTCCAAAGTGATTGAGATAAACGTCTGACTTCCACACAGCCTTTGATCTCTCTACTGCACAAGGCATAAAAAGGGTGTAAACAGAGGTAGATTCACCCAGGCTAATGGCTGAAAGCCTCAAGGCCCTTCACTTGCTGGGATCTCATCCAAGGCCTCATACCTAATTTTATATTCATAACTTTGTATTCATTTTCTTAAAAAGCACCCTCCACAAGGGTTTAAGCTTCAGACTCCAGGAAACCTCTATCTACCTCTGGCCAAGTAAGTAACCTCATTGGGTAGGACTGAAACTTGATGGGATGAGACCTAGGATCAAAATCTGACCCAGCAGGCAGAGAAAGTAGTGTGTTTAGGTTGGGATCAACTGGGAGAGAAACAGATGCCATATTGGAGGCATAACAAAAATATAACTGTTAGTGTTTATTGAATACTTCTTGTGTCAAACAGTGTATTTATTGACTTTGATTTTTTGGGGGAAGTTTCTTGTATTATATCACTTAATTCTTATACAACCCAACAGGGTGGTTGCTTTCATTATCCCCATTTTATATGTGAGGAAAGTAAGCCCTGGTAAGAGTAAGTAAATTAACAAAGTATCACAATACTAAGCAGGTGAGCAGCACTGGCATCTTACAGGCCTGACTTTGATGTTTGAGGCTGTCCTTAACCTCCACTGCTAGAGGGACTGTGGTCCGAAGCCAGCACCTCTGATAGATTCTTGACATGTGCTGGGCATTTCCTCTCCTAGAGGTTGGAGGAAGCAAGGTCTAATTCTGTCCTGCTCCTTTCCAAAAAGGAATTGCTTGGTGAAATGTCAGTGGGAGAAAGTAATCACCCCACCTTCAGATACAGAGTTGAGGACTTATCTGACATGTGCCGGAGAAGACAAGAAGATTCTGAGGCTTGAGGCCGAAGGAGGGCATCAAGAGACTCCAGCAGCCTTATTTTGTTATTATGCGGTTGTTATTTTGACTCAACAGTTGGCTCTGGTGAAGGGGAGAGATGGGGCTTATATGCAACAACAAGTGAGGGCGATTTGAGGGAAAACATGTGACCCAGACTAGGAGCATTGTGTCCACATTAACTGAAGCTCACAGAAATCCTAAGGATAAGTAGGGTTTTCAGCGTAATTTTGTTTTTTATGTTCTGATCAAGATTAAGAAAAGGAGGCTTTGTCCTTTGATGGAAGGTGTGGTGTTGATGGATGACCCAGAGAAAGCAGAGAGGTTCACCTCCTGCTCTACCTTCCTGTCCAGAACATGATCTTTAGAAGGAAAGGTATAGAATTTTCTTGGCTTAAAGGGACTTTAGATCCAAGATCAGTAAAGAGATTGCCTTGAAGATTTAAATGAGCTCACGTTTTCCTGACCTGGACAAGTTACCTCCCCACATGCTGAGAGATCTTGTAAATGAAATCACTGACCCCTCCCTGCCAGAGATGTTGGAGAAAGGTGGGACATCAGGAGAGAGGCTGGGAGACTAGAGGGGGGCAAATACATTGCGAAATTTTTAAAGAGAAAGGAGTGTTCTGTAGCCACAGGTCAGTGAGCATCAGGTGCTCTACAGGATCCTAGACCCGGTCAGCATGGAGCAGGCTGGTGAAGAGGAAGCAGGAATCAAAGAGTCGGGTCACTAAGACTGGTCACTGGAGCTTAGCACCTTTTTTTTTTTAACAAGCTTACTAGGCAGTTACCAAAAGTGGAAAGGGCAGTCTTACTCCCTCTTCTCAAGGTCTTCGACAAGGTCTTTTATGAAGCCTTTGTGGATTCGGTGGGAAACTGTGGAGTGGCTGCAGCAAATTGGTGAATTTGTTGAACTGACCAAGTTGATGGTCGCTCTACAGTTTCGTCACGGGACTCTGCCCTATATAAAATAATCGTCAGTAGTTGGGTAATAATTATTCTGCACCAAAGTTGCAGAAGACAGAAAGTTGTGAGGAAAACAGATAGCTTCAGATGGCCAAGTCAGAATTTGAAAAAGAAAACTCATTCATACAGTCAACAAGTATTTGAGTGTCTGTTACATGCCAGTCATATATCCATCACGGAGCAGCTACTTCTGGGTTGATTCTCCTAGTATGGATGGTAAGCAATGAAGAAATGTGTGTGGTGTCTGCATGCAATGTCAGATGATGGTAAAGAATATGGAGGAAAAATTTAAAGTCTTAGGAGATAAGAGCAAGGTGTGAGGGGGGTGCTATTATGATACAGTGATCAGGGGCAGCTTCTCTAAGGAAGGGCCCAAATAAAGAGAAGCTGGTAGATACCCACAAATCTGGGGGAAAACTATACCTGGTATAGGCAACAGCAAGAGCAAAGGCCCTGAGGCTGGAACATGTTTGGCATCTCTAGAAAGCCTGAGTAGCTGGATATCAGTGAGAGCAAGCATGAGAGGTCAGAGCACAGCTTGTCCTTGCAGGCTATGGGGGATATCAGATGTCCTGAGGGAGAGGGAAGCCACTGGAAGCTTTTTTGATATATAATTGATAAGATCCGACTCGTGGTTTGTTTTTGTTTTGTTTTGTTTTCTTTTTAATTGAGTCAGAGTCTTGCTCTGTTGCCCCGCCTGCAGTGCAGAAATGTGGTCTAGGCTCACTGCAACCTCCACCTCCTGGGTTCAAGCGATTCTCCTGCCTCAGCCTCTTGAGTAGCTAGGAATACAGGCACCCGCCACCACGCCCGGCTAATTTTTTATTTTTAGTAGAGATGGGGTTTTGCCAGGTTGGCCAGGCTGGTCTGGAACTCCTGACCTCAGGTGATCCGCCTGCCTTGGCCTCCCAAAGTACTGGGATTACAGGCATGAGCCACCGCGCCCAGCCAGGTTCATGGTTTTAGAGACTCAGTCTGGAGATAAGCTTAGCACAGTGTGATGGGCTGGCTCTTCAAGGATAGCATGACACACATGGCTTAGCAATGGTAGATGCGAGAAAGGCCTAGAAATTTTAGTAAAAATTCACCCTAATATTAGCAACAGTGTTATTTGCCTGAGGAAAAAACTAACAGTATTAAATGGTATTTGGTATTTACAGTGACTGGTAGGGATTGGTTTTTACCCTCCCTCCCCTGCCCAATCTCTGAAGTCTTTTAGGATAAGAACCGATTGGTTAACAAAGCTTCCTGGATGAACTCAGCACCTTATTCAGCTGGCCACTGCCAGCCCCAACCAACAGAGAAAGGAGCATCAGTGAACCAGTTCTGGTGAACCAGTTCACCCCACTGTGAAAACTCAAAACCCAGGAGATGTGGTAGATGGAAATAAGGATGTTTAAGGTAAAGAGAGCCTCATGGTCAAGGTGAATCACTGGATTCAGATGTTTGGAAGTCTGCTCAATAGAGAGAGGAGATTAAATTTGGCCACAGCAGTTAGTACTGTGACAGATTTCTTTTCCATATATAAAATATGCTTCCTAGAGTCAACGCTATCTAAACATGGACTGGGCCCACGCAGCATCTGGCTCATCCCTGGACGTGTATGTAAACTGAGGCTGGATAAGCTTTGGGTGCAGTTATGTAGAGACTTAAGTCAGTAAATGGACACAATGCAGTCTGATAAAGGAAAGAGGGTGGAGGCGGGGAGACAATCAGGAGGAGAAAAGAGGCAGAGAAGTAGAAGCCTGTGGTTGTGGAGATGGTCTGTAACCCCACCGGGAGCAGCAGCATCTGAACTGGTTCTCCCCTTGCTCCCCTTTCTTTTGCCCTCCAGCCAAACCAGTAACAAAGGGCATTGTCTAGTAGTCTGTGTCAGCAATAAAAGCCATGGGGATCTGACCCGCGGCAGTGTGTTTCAGCCTGCGAACTTCCTGGATATCTTTACGGGGAATCATTCCCGGGGAAGGAAGGGCAGGCTGGAAATAATATAAGGAGATCAAGAAGGAAGTCGAGCAAGTGACACCTTTAAACAGGCCAAGCGAGCCGGGCTCTTCCCCCTGGGACAGTTAGAGTTATGCAGAGCTGTAATTAACCCAGCAGCCCACTGGATATGTCTATTTCACCGCACAAAGGCTGTTGAAAGAAGGATTCTTGAAGAAAGAGGTTCCAATTCAAATGGTATTTGAGTAAGTCCCTTGTCGGATATACTGTTTCTAGAGTTTATGGCTATAATCAACAAAACATGGCCATTCTTTCATGCAGGTTTCTCATGACTTTCTGAATACCAATCTTTAGAAAGAAAAGGGGAAAAAAAAGGCATCCAGAATTGTCTAGGGGTAGAATGGGGGAAAGGGAAGGAGGGGGAAATATGGCTCGAATCAAATTAAGGACTTGGTTTTCTTTTCAGAGGATGTTGAAAACATTTAAAAAGCAGGTGTGTCCTTCTTTCATAAATGAAGACTCTGAGATATGTAAGAAAATTTTCAGTTGTGTATTCAAGTCCCTCAAAATCATTTTATCAACCTCCCTAATTTCAATTAATTTTTTAACAAATATTTTTTGTATGCCTACCCTATATTAGGCACTATTATAGGCGCTGGGGATATTAATATCTCTCTCCTGCCTTCCTGGAGCTAATAGTGGGGAGAGATAGACAAAAACGTTTAAGTATGTAGACTAATTGGTGTGTGAGATGATGTGCTATAGAGAGAAAAATAGCAGGGAGGGAAATACAGTGGGGAGGGATGCAAGGAAGGCCTTGCTGAGAAGGTGGCATTTAAGCGAAGATCTGAAGGAGGTGAGATGTGGATCCGGTGGGTGTATGCGTGGTGGGGTCAGCGGGTGGGGAGAGACAGCAGTGCAGGCAGTGTGCACAGGGATTCGTAAGGTAGCAGTGTCCATGGTAGTGTGTGTGAGGAATAGCAAGCAGGCTGACCGGGCCAGAGTGGAGAGGGGGAGAGCCAGAGCACTGGGAGATGAGGGCAGAGAGGTCAGTTATGGCTGGAGTCTGCCTTTGCCCTCAATAAGGCACCCATTCAGTTACTCAAGTGGGCCAGCACACAGTGGTGTGTCCTCCCACATGCTCTGAGTACTGGCCATTCAGAATGGTTCCCATCACACTTAAAACCGTAGAGAATAAAATTACATTGTCACTGTGCTACTCTTCACCCTTGGATAGTCCTAGAGTCCTTTGGCGTAGCTTTTACATAGTGTGCCACATCCCACTGTACTCCCTTTCCTGAGAACAGACTGATGGACCGAGTTACGATTTATATGAGAGAACCCCAAATCAGAATTCCTAGCCATGTCTAATTTATATATCAGCAGGCAAGTTGTTTTGTTTCTTGTTTGGGTTTTGGGGCTTCTGTTTTGGGGTGGGGTTTTTTTTTTTTTCCCAGTACCGTAACTTATAATCTCAGATCATGGAAGAGCATTCTCTAATGAGCTTTCTAAAGCCAAGAGCTCTACCCAGTTGCTGGGTAAAGGGGGGAACATGGAGAATTAGAATGTTTACATTGTAACTGATTTATGTACACTATATTTGCATGTAAGTGTACTAAAATATTTTTTAAAATTACCAGCCATTAAAAATGTGTTTGCTAATGGGGATAAGAATGCTGGATACAATGAGGTAAGCTTTGTTTAAAAGGATTTAGGAGACTCACAATTCATAATCAATATTTCAACACACTCGTCTGCATTTTTAGGGCAATAGATCTGTAAGTAGAAACAGGCGTATTTGAAGAAAAACATTAGTTTCTGAGATCTGGCCAGCTCCTGTTCTTACCACTCTGTCATCTCTGATTGGATTAGACGTCACAGAAAGGGCCTCAGATCCTTGTTTCACGTTAAGTTTAACCACTCCAGTTGAATACCATCCTTGTGGAGCTCAGTGGAGAGAAATTAAATTTCTATCACCAGAAGTATGGCACTGAATCAGGTATCAAGGGGGCTACATCAGTAAACTTCGTTGGCTACAAGATGTATGTCCTTCCTGAGGCTCTGTAGCTGTTAAGTTGGCTCTTTCCAATCACAGTCTGATCTTTCATTTTCCCGTAATGCAGTTAGACAACCTAGTTATTCAGGCATAGACTTCTCTGTTTTTCATTATCCCTGAATAACATTTGATGCTGAAATAGGGAAGACGGGAAGGACGGGGGAGGGGAGCCAAGCATTTTTCACAGCTTGTGTGAAATGCTTAATATTTGAACGTCTTTAAAATATACTGTACACATACATTCCAATTTTATAAGACTAACATAACATGTTCAAAAGTTTTATGAATTTCAGCATGTAACCAGAGTAAACGTTAGCCTGTTTTAAATAAGCCATAATGGCCTGGCAACAAACCTGCATAGTTAGCAAATCCCTCCTCTGTTTATGGGCAGCCATTCCTCACCAGGTCACTACAAAATACAAGTTTTATCAGTTTCTGTGGACTCCGTAAGTTGGTCTGTGTACTGAGTTCAGCATGAATCTGGTTTTAAGAGCACAAAACCAAGGGCATCATGATGAGGTGATATTTCGTTTTGATTTTAATGAAATGGCATGAATCTGACTTGCTTAAGAATATGTCCAGGCCTCTCGTATCCTGTGGGGGCAACTTGGTTCCTAAATGCCTTCCGTAAGCACAGGGCCACACAGACGTAGCAGGCTTACCCCTTCCTCACTGGAGTCAAGAGAGTGCTTTGTGCCTAGAAAATGTTTGTTTTTTTGGTGGGGCTTTTTTTTTTTTTTTTACTTAGGTTGGAAGCGCCCCCCAGATGATGCTTTTTAAGGTAGGATCTCCTCTTAACAAGTGAGAGCATCAAACATGCTGGGTCATGCCCAGTTCCATCCCATCGTGTGTCCTGGGTCTAAGGTATTAGACACAGTCATGCCTCTCAATGGTGAAGGTTCTATGTTACCAGATCATATATTTCATGGAAATCTGCTAGCTCACCAGATAAAATCCTCCCAGCTTCTTCAAGCGTGGCAGAGGAGAGAGACTTCCCATGTGTTAAAAATCTGCTAAACTTTGCAGCCCCAACTCTTTTGCCCGTAGACTCACCCTGGCCTCAGCCATCCCTCAGGAATCATCTACCGTAGACCAAACTGGCTTCAGGGGATATTCCAACCCCTGATGTACTCTGGCATCAAAAGCTCCTTTAATTACAAATAGGACACCAGAGAACAGGTTGGAGCATTTAAATAAGACTGATCTAAAGGCTGTGGGCCAAAGATTTCTCACAGAGGGCAACACGTAATTAGGTAATCTGACTCACAAGATGAAGTTTACTCGCTTTCATTGTGGTGCCCCCCAGGGCAGCCTTCCCCACCTGCCCTCTAGGCCTGTGTCCTTGTAGCACTTACCACTTGTAAGCCCAGCCTTCTGGGAGACCCTCAGTCAGGTCCAGATGCTTCCAGAGGCCGACTCCAGACTCATCCAGTTTCTTCTCTCTTTGTCTTATAACAGTCATGGTCCTCATTGCTCCCTAAAACATCCTACTTAGTATTTAGAGCTCACTATACATCTGTTCAAAGCTTGGCTTTTGGAAGTCTTTATTGTACCAGTCTTCTTACCTCCTGAAATAAGGAAAATATAAGTATAACTGCCCACAGAGGCATATAAAACTCCTTTCCATTTACCTCATTTATTCGTCTTATTTAGGGGAAGCGCAGTTCAGGGTGGGCAGTCTAGTTTAAGCCATTGAGTCTAGTTTAAGCCGTTGTTCACCATCATGATTTTATAGCCTTTAGTTTTATTCCCTGTCAGCCATAGACATCCCCAGAGATGCAAGAACTCATGCAGGAAAACCCATTTAATTAGGACCCACTGTGAAGGACCAGGAAACAGACCCTAAAGCACTTTATGACGGAAGCTGTTGATCAGGAAACAGGATGTTTTCCTTTCCCTGGGTTTAGGTCTGGCTCATACTCCTTTGGGGAGATCTGGGGGCCTGTCTCCATCTCCACGGAAACAGAACCTGTAACCTTCCCAGAATCAGGTTACCCTAGAGGGCAGTGACATTTATATCTGCTTTTTTGTTTGTTCGTTGTTCTCTTTCCTAAGACATGTAAGTGGCAGGTTTTGAACTCCTGGATCTCTGCCCAGGGGCCTGGCATGTTGTATATCTGCCATTCTGATGTGTGGAGGGCCTCCTGTCTACACTCTCTCTGCCCCATGGCTAGAGACAGCTCATTCTGAGAGATTCTTTTTTTATAGGAAGGCAAAGCTCACCTATCCCTAACATGCAAAAATTTTCACTTGAGGAGGCGGGGAACTGGTTTAGTAAAGATCTTTGCGTGAAATTGAATCCAGTCCTTGCCATCCTTCATGTTCAACTCAAGTCCTCCTTCTATAATGAAGTCTTCCCCAGCCAGAAGTGATCTTTCTCTTTCCATTACATCAGGGCCTTTTCCACATTCCCACCTTTCCCCCCTCATACTGTTGACTAGTTTTATTTCCCATTAGTGCTTTGCACCCTAGTGCTCCTAGGTCCATTTAAAGACCTAAATGGCTGGGATCACATCTTCTACTTGGTTATTTCCCCCACAGCATTCGATCACTTATAAACTGTGTTAATTTTCCCCACAGTGCCTCACATAGAGTGGTGCTCAATTACAACTTACTAAGTCCATTTGAAAAGAAATACACTGTTGGTCAAGAAATCTGTGTGCTGAGTGCTTCAAGGGACACAGGCAGTATAAATGAGACATCCTGCCCTCAGGGAATGTATAGTCTGAGTGGGGATAAGACGAGGCCACATGAAAAGTCTACTAATAGCGGCCAGGGACCATGGCTTCCTACAATACAAGCACTTTGGGAGGCCAAGGTGAGAGGATCACTTGAGGCCAGGAATTTGAGACCAGCCTGGGCAACATAGTGAGACCCTGTCTCTACAAAAAACTTTCCCAGGTATGGTGGTGGGTGCCTGTAGTCCCAGCTACTCCAGAGGCTCAGGTGGGAAGACTGTTAGAGCCCAGGAGGTGAAGGCTGCAGTGAGCCAAGATCACACCACTGCAATCCAGCCTGGGTGACAGAGTGAGACTGTGTCTCTTTGAAAGAAAAAAAGATAAAAAAAGCAACCAGTAATACAATTCCATATAGGATCTGGGCCAGAAAAAAATAAGTACTGATTGTCATGATCATGGTGATACGTTAGTTATCTTGGGTATATACACTGTTTTTACCCATCCCCATAACAACTCTACAAAGTAGATGGTGCTAGACATTCTTAGTCTCAGCTCTCTTGTCTTTAGAGTGAGGACAAATGATTCGTCCAGTGAGTACAGAGTGCTGGGATTCAGACAGCTCTGTGAGCCCTCACGTGAGGCTCACCCTGGGTTCCAATGGCTCAGAGCTTCTCCTCTTGCTTCTCTCTCATTACCCTTGTGCCCTGCCCACTCCCAACCTTTCAAATATATTAAGGAGGATTAACCATATTGTTCACTGCTATTAAACAAGACCAGAGACAGAGTCTTTCCAGCAGAGGTGACACCTTGGTGTCTGAATGAGAAAGGAGTTGTCCAAAGACATCTGCCCCACACAGAAGAAAATTAGACATATCACATGCCTGCTTTGTTATAATGGCATAAAAGTATGTGTATGTTTTAATAAGTCATGTACTGAGTGTACTCAGACTATAGCATATCCATGTGTATTACGGTGGTTAAGAGCTCATCTCTTTAGTAACAAACAGGGGTTCAAATTCTGACTTTACCACTTACAAGCTCTATAGCCTTCAGCAAGCTAGTTAACTTCTCAGGACCTGTTTTTTCATTGATAAAATGAGTGGGGTAATACCTAGCTCAAAAATTTGTTGTAATATTTAAATATGAATGTAAAGCACAGTGCCTGAGGTCACTCAGTGAACTGTGATTGTGGTGAGCATACTGTTATATCCCTTCCTGAGCCACAGAACTTGAATTTGTGTTCAGAGCTGGAGACTCCAGAACATCTCCCAAAGGGAAGCAATTTAAAGTTGAAGTAGCCTCTCCCTTCTGTCAGTGAGGATGCCAGGTCTTTTCTGAGTTTCCTGTAAGTCCTCTAGGATATGTTACTTTGGATAAAGTCTCACTACTTTGACCTGTGGAAAGAAATTACTGTCCAAGTACACAATTTATTTTGACCTCCCAACACCTTTGGACAATTCCAGGCTGGCTCCAGGCTTCATCAGAACAATTATGTCCTCTCTGTGGAAAACATTCCTTTCAAATGAATCAGTAGTTACTCACCTTTTCTTTTCCCAGCCATATTTTTCAGTTGCCAACAGTGGGATCAGTGAGGGGTAGTGGTGTAGCTAACATTAGCCCAATATAGATAAGCTCCAGATTATCCGTCATCTTGTTTGAAAAAAGGCAGGCCTGCCAAATTTGCCTACAGTTCCCAGTGAGGGAAAGAAACAACAGGTTCTATGAAGAGGAAGGCACAGAACTAGTCGTGGAAGTCACTTTTCCAGACTCCCTCCGTTACTCAGGAGGAAACAAACCCAGAGTGTCTTCTTCAAGGTTAAACTCCCTAGAAGCTGATGGAACCTGGCCAGAGGCTGTGAACTTTGCACAGAGGGCATCATCAGAATCACCCTCTGCTCAGTGGATCGCTGCCCTCCCATTACTCTGCTGGCACGTACCTGATTTGGTTGACATTTCCATAATTAATTTATAACAGCAATAACCCTGAGATGAGCCTATTTATAGGTTTGTGCAAGCTAGGTAAGAATATAGATTAAATCTCAGATCATTAACATACTTAAAGGACTTGGGAGAGTTTTGTGATTGTCAAATGATGTGATTAAAAGGCCTCCAAGCTTGATGTGTACTGGGAATCCACAAGTTTACTTTCCTTGCCAAGCTCAGAAACAACAAAATAGCAAAAGATAAGCTTACATTCCACCCATTCACCAAAGATGTTGGGTCATCCGGGGAACTGGACCAGGGTCATCACTGATGGTCTACAGCTGCTGCCCCACAGATGAGGATCTGTGAGCGTGGTTCTGACCCTTGATATGCCAGCAAGTGTGGCACCAAGAGTCCCATGGGAAGAATTGCTGTGACTGTCCACAGCAATAGAGATGAGTGTGAGAAGCACACCTATTAGTTGAAAGGATGCTATTATGACCTGGACTGCTGTGCAGACCCAATCTTACTTTCTTTCCTCCTTTTTATGTTCTGTTGTTCTGGTTGTTAACCTTCTGAAAAGTAACATGGATTGCTTTTCTATTATAAAAGTAAGACGTGTTCAATATCAAAAATAAAGGTAAGTACAGAGAAGAAAATAAAGATCACTCATAATTCCACCACCCAGAAATACCCACTGCTGAATTTCAGTGTGCATCCTTCTAATAGAGTCTTCATTCTGACATCATGCTAGTAGAACTGTTCTCTGGACACAGAGGCCTCCCATTCAGGTGCTTGCTTTGACAGATGTGTTTCCTACTGAGGAAAGCATCTTATACTCAGGGGGTGAGAATCCATCCATCAAGAAGAAGGAATGACTAAGGGACTCCCTGCCTTGCCTGCAGGAGGCTCTTCAAAAAACTACCACCCAGAAGTAGTTCCCTCTCTCTCTTCTTTTTACATTTACCCAGACCACTCAACCCTATTTATCCTTTTCTTACCTGTATATGCAAATATGATGGCACCACCAACGTCATCCACCTCTTTCGTTCAAGACCATAACTTCTTTTAAGGCTCTCATGAGTCCTTCACACCACCCTCCAGCATAGAGAAGGGCTCTTCACCCATTATTCCCATTACTAGTGTTCAAGACTTGTTTTTTTTTTTTTGCTCCAGTTTTTTATTAGCAAACTAGCTACAAAATGCTGAAAATCAAGTTAAAGTTAATACATATAAGATCATCATAAATGATTGCACATGTACACAGATAATTATTACTTTCATTTGTTTTATTATTTTAATCTACAAACTTTGAGCTCTTTAAAAGTGGAGATTAGATGTTATGTCGCCAGACCCTTAACTTCGCACTTGGCATAATATAAATACTTGATTAATATTTATTGAATTAAGATGAAAATGAAGAGAAAATTTAATTACCCAGTCTACTTTTTTTTTTTCTATCTCAGTAGTTAAGTGCAGAGAAAAAGGAGGTCATATAAAAATGATGAAAAAATAGTACCTTAGAACCATTTTTATGGTGTATCAGTGCATTTTTTGTGCTAAGGTATCACTGTTAACCCTAGTGTGGACCCTTTTTAATGACTTTTTAAAATCTTGACGATGTCCTTTTCACTTCTTTCCTAAATGAACATTAATATAAAGCCATAAAATGTTCCTTGGAGGGTTTTATGAGTTACTGTGTTGTAAGGTTGGGGAAAGGACACTTGGAGCCATTTGTTTTATGGAGCTTGATTCTGAAGTCCAGCACCGCCCCTGACCCTTCAGAGGCACGCTCTGAGGCATGAAGCCTTTCTTGAGGACAGTGAGCACTGCCACTTCTCCCCGAAATACACCAGCCACACTCCTACACTTGCCACTTCCCCGGAGTCCACAGTGTCAACCTCAAGCCCTGCCCTCCACGAGTAGCCTAGACACCGTGGAGCAGACGTTACTGATGATGCATTGAACAGCTCTTCTTCCACAGTGCAGATGGATTTTCCGTTCACCAGCATGAATCGCTTTTGCCATATATAATATCATGTAGTACCTGAAAAAAAAAAATGATGCCAAAGACTAGAGATTTGGTCGAGGACATTGGTTTTTCTGGCTCTTTTTGCCTCCGGAACTCTTCTTCAGTTTATATCAGATGTGGAAGGGAAGCCTAATCTATAAAACAAAGATGGGGGTTTGAGTCCCCGGGGTTTCCCCTCACCACTGTGCTAACCCTAAATCAGCTTTCACCACTTACTTGAAAAACCCAGGGCCCAGAGAAACCAAGGTGTGAGAGTGTGAAAGGTAAGTGCAGGACAGATAGACGATAACGAGGGTGATATAAATAATAATAGCTTACATTTTTTTAGGTCTTCTTGTGTTCCAAGCACTGTGCTAAACACAGACTGTCCCCCCAAAATATGGCAAATTGTGATGCCTGAGGCAGAGTATGGTATGGCTGTCTGGGAACTCTTGAAAAGGATATTGGATTGCTTGCAGGCAAGAAACAGGCCAGATTATCTTGGCAGATCTCGCTCTCACTGTGGTTCTTAGCCTTTATTACACTGTTGGAATGGGTTTCTCACAAGTGATATCAAGGGAAAAAACTAGACGGATATGTCCAGTGTATGTGTACGTGTGTGTGCACATGCACTTAGGACAACTTTGAGCCAGGAGTGTGAGCCGGATTAGCACACTGAGTTGTACTTTATTCTAACACATGCAGCTCAGTAGAAGTCTCATCTTAAGGGACATATAGAATGTTGAGGTAGAAATAGCTCAGAAGAAAGTTGATAAAGTAATAGGATACGTGCTTTTGCCAATCTACATGGCCATATCCTTGCATGCTTATTTTGACAGAAGAGTCACAGAACAGAGCAAGTTCTTAAGGCTCATTCATTCCCATTTCCCTCTTGACATTTTGAGCAAAGGACTGGAGGGACCAATCCATAAGGGGAATGCACCTGGTCATCTTTTCCTGAGCATCTTGGGATCAGGTGCTCTTGGGAATAAGATGATACGTATACCCAAGAGCACTTGATCAGTCAGGCAGTGAGTCCATCAATCCACAGCCCTGTTCTGTGCTGGATCCCATACCTTTGTACCTGTGTGGCAGGAGACAGGAAGGATGTGTGGTGGAAACTCCAGGAACTTAGTCCAGCTGAGGAGATGATACAGACATTGGAAAACATAATGGACCACCAGGAAATGATAAGCTTAGGAACTCAGAGAACATCATTTCTAGGATGACCAGAGAAGGCTTCAAGGAAGAAGAGAAATTTAAGCAGTGCCTCAAAGGTTGGGTGGGATGTGAGTTACTCAGCTGGGGCAGGGAGTAGTCTTTGCAGGGAGGGAAACTGCTGAGGAAAGATACGGAGGTGAGCCGTGCACATTGTTCCTGTTGGAACCACACATGTGTAAAGGCTCTGAGATGAGTTTAGTGAGAGTTGAAGGCTCATGTTGAAAAACACTGTGAGAGGCACACCCAGTACAGACTGTGGCAAGTGTTGAATGCCTGGCGGAGAAACCTAGAGCCTTTTAAATAGTTCTGAGCAGGGAAGGGAGGCAAGGAAAGCAGTTAAACTGGTTCAGCTCTCAGGACAAATGTAAAATGAAGGGCTCATGCTTGTGTGTCAGATTGCAGGTTTGCTTAGAAAGCACAGTGCAGGGAGAAACCCGAAGGAGCAGGATTCTGTCTTCTGGAGCCCTAACCAAGGGAGGCCGAAGTTGGTGCTTTCATTGAACGTCCATGTTCTGACATGAATAAATGCCACGTCATGAGTTTGTGGTCAACTCCTGTGGTCAACTTTTAAGCAAGCTTTAAAACAACAGCAAATTGCTTCTATGGAATTTCTCTTACAGCATCTTGACATTCTGGAAAAGCCAGTGCAGCAGTCAAGGGAGTAGGTCCTGTCCTGTCATTTACCCAGGCTTCCTAGATTCAACACATCCCTGTGGGTCCCGTCACACATCTCACCCTGGCCCATTTAACTGAGCTGGGCCTACTGCAGACCTTCAGATATTTAATTTGTAAACACTTAATAAAGCACTGTCAGTAGGTCGGCTTGTCTTCTCTGTCGGCCACATCAAAATCAATACGTCCCCTGTGTATTCTGCCATGATTGTCTGGGCTGGGGAATCTAATAGGATTAAGTGTTTGGGGTCCTATCTGACGCCACAGTCCACAGTCCTAGTTAGATGAGGTTAAAGACTGGCTTGCCATTGTGGAGGCACGATTGCTTAGGGGTCTGAAAAATCATTAAAGCTTGTCCTCTTAAACGTTGATTGTTCCCTGGTGATTTATTGACAAAACACAAAAAAGTGCTCTATACTGCACTCTAATTATATGTATGAGGCCATAAGATCTCATGGGAAATTAAATAAAATTTACAGCTTGATGGTTTTATGCTCCTGGGAGACATACCTTCTTAATAAGATCTTATAGCTGGGAATATTTATGAGGTTAAAGTCCGTAGGCTTGAGCAAAAGACCTAACCTTTCCATGGGAGGTGGGGATGGGGTGCGTTTTGATTTCTTTGAAGATAAATGATCGTAATGAAATTTTCAGGGGTTTAGGAAAAAGTGTTCAGTAAGACACATCAAGCATTTCTCCTTAAAACCTCTGGAGGACAAAGCTGTAAGGGCACGGGGATTTACTGCGACCATTTGTCTCACATAAGGCCCCCATAGTCCTACTCCCCACCTCTGGGGCACTTCGTCCTCCTCCTGTACTCTCTGTGGCTTCCTCGTCTTATTAGCCCCCATCACACTTTGAAAAGGTGGGGAGGATCCTAATTAAGGGCAATGATGTAAGAGGTCAAGGAAGGGAAAGGAATTTGAGTAAGGAAAAGGGAGAAAGACTGAGAGAATCAATACATGTTAAGACAGCCCCCAGAGGAGTCACTGGACATTTAGTATTTTAACGGGTCACCTTCTCTTTATGTTAAGGGATGGCTGAGGACCAGGCTCAGATTCCACAAGGATTATCCTGTGCTGTTCTAGACAAAGAATCAGAGCATATCTGGGATAAGAGGGATTTGGGGGGAGGGCCTCTGCAGGTGTCATGAAGATGAAGATGATATTTATTTGTTACCTTTCTTGACTCTGAATAGAGTGCTTATCCCAACGTCTCCGTGAATCCTAAACGAAGCTTCATGCTTGAAAGTGGGCTGTTTCAATAAGAGTGAGGAGCATCGTTTATGCAGCCCCATTCCTGCTGCTTTCTCTAATAGTTCTGAAATGGCAAGAAGGAGGTAGGTAGGTAGATAGAGAGCTGTCATATATATATGTGTACACACACACACACATAATTCCTATGTATTGAATTATATTTTTATCTACTCAAAGGAGGATAATTGTGTGGAACTCAAAGCGGTTGGGACATGTCATATGTGATCTATTTTTCTGTTTATTTTTTCTATTGAGTTTTTTATATGAAATCTGCATGGCCCCTTCTTTGTGTGGGGGGTTGGAGATGGGGAGGGCATTGACAGAAGGGTTGGAGATCAAGCTTTAGAGGGACTTGGAACAGATGGGCACATCACCTCTCTGGGGCCCCTGAATTTGAGAGCTCTGCTCCCAGCCTTTTCCCACCAGGGGAGCTCATGACTGGCTGTCTTCTACTGTGTGCTCCAGTTTATCTCCAAGGGTCAAGCAACCCCACCTTGAGAGCTCCCTACCTAGGCTCATGTGAAAAGCAAAGGACTATGTGATGAGGATGAATGGATACAGCGTTTGACCTGCTAGGGTGAGGCAAGTGAATTGAGAAGTTCCTGACTTTCCTCATTGCCAACTAGTCATGTTCCTCGGCTTCCCTCTTCCAGAATAAACCAAAATAAAATAAAAGGGACTGCAAATGCCCATGACTTAGATGTGTTAGAGTCCAGCTTCTGTTTCCCCCATTTGGTCCTGATTTTCGAAGTGAAGGGGAGACAGGACTGAGTGGCATGGTGGTGAGCAACCCGTGTGCTTAGCCCAGCGGCTCTCTGGTTTGTCATTGTGGTATCCCTCTCTGGACCACAGTTTCCTCATCTGGAAAATGAAGATCTAAGGCTAGGTGATTTTAAAGTCCCTTTCAGCTCTAAAATATTATTTTACAGTTGTAGGATTTATGGAGGAGAACGGCATTCCGCTCTATCCCTTGCTTTAGCCTTTTGAATGAAAGTGAGATGTCTCATCAGCTCAGATAGAGCCAGCTCAAGCCCAGTGTCTCAGATAAAAGGAGAAAGAAAAAAAAAACTTATTAAAGATAGCTAAGTTCCCTTGATAAGCAGCAAGTGAGAAATCCTGATTTAATTTAAATATGATATTTCTGTCTTCATTAATTTAAAGCATGTATATGATAATGTATCCTTTTTTATTTAGTGGTCTGCCCTGAAGGGAAAGAAAGGCTTGATTGTGAAGCAGAGGGGCAAAAGCTTGGGTATATTTTAATAAAGATGAATATCCCTAAAAATGCTTGAATTATTATGGAAGTAAGATTTGTTGCAAGTTACAAATCAAAGCCTGAATTGTCACTTATCTCCTAATGATACTTCTACACAGATTATTAATTTCATTTTAGAAGCCCAATGAATGTTATATTTTATGACATTGATTAAACATCTTGCTGCCATCTAACCATCCATCCTTTTCATTTTCAAAAATCCATATCGGAATTTAACAAAAACAGCTCATAAATTTGTATTTTACAGCCTAGCAAAGTTGACTGGTTCTCTACTCTACTTACCCTCGGGCCCATTCTGAACTCTGGGCTTGGGCCATTTCCACTCTTAGAAGTCAGCTTTTCCAAACTGACATCATGTTTTGTGGTCAGAGTAGTACTTGGGGATTTGTTTGGAAGAGCACGTGTGGCTTCTGGAGCTGCAAAGCCACCAGGGGAGTTCTGAGGTGGTTGGGGTTAGCCCCTGACGGGAACTCAGGGTCTCAGCTTTCATTCTCATTCTTAGACAAGCTAGTTACCTCCCTCCTCAGTATCCTAGGGATAATTATGCCCTCCCCAGGGGGCTCCCAGTGCCACTGTGGGGATGAATGAGACAGTAGATGTGAAAGGTCTTCTTGCTCTTTAGAGGCAAGCAGTGTGGTAATGGATTTAAGAGCCAATAAAGAACAGTGAGATTGTAGGTTTAGGATCAACCTTAGGCATTATAGGAAAGGTGTAGGATGACTTGAAAGCAGGGATAAAAGCCTTTTGAAAATATCTCCACCATGTTATTATTTATCAAACGTTTGTCAAAAGAAGTACCTCTGGACATAGACAGTTCTCAAAAAAGATATACAAACAGCCAATAAACATATGAAAAAATGCTCAACATCACTAATTATCAGGGAAATGCAAAGTAAAACCACAATAAAATACCACCTTACTCCTGCAAGAATGGCCATAATTCAAAAGTCAAAAAATAATAGATGTTGCCGTGGTTGTGGTAAAAAGGGAACACTTCTACACTGCTGATGGGAATGTAAACTGGTACAACCACTATGGAAAACAGTATGGAGATTCCTTAAAGAACTAAAAGTAGAACTACCATTCAATCCAGCAATCCCACTGCTTGGTATCTATCCAAAGGAAAAGAAGTCATATGAAAAAGACATGGCGCACACATATGTTTACAGTAGCACAGTTCACAATTGCAAAAATATGGAATCAAACTAAATGCCCATCAATCAACAAGTGGATAAAGAAAATGTGGTATATATACACCATGGAATACTACTCAGCCATGAAACAATGGCCTTTGCAGCACCATGGATGGAGCTGGAGGCCATTATTCTAAGTGAAGTAATTCAAGAATGGAAAACCAAATGCCGTATGTTCTTACCTATAAGTGGGAGCTAAGCTATGAGGATGCAAAGGCCTAAGAATGATATATTGGACTTTGGGGACTCGGGGGAAAGGGAGGGAGGTGAGTGAGGGATAAAAGGCTACATATTGGATATAGTGTACACTGCTCAGGTGACGGCTGCACCAAAATCTCAGAAATCACCACTAAAGTACTTATCCATGTAACTAAAAACCACCTGTACCCCAAAAAACTATTGCATTTGTAAAAATAAATTTCTGAACCCTTCAAAAAAAAAGTATCTCTGGTTTCACGAGACTCATATGTGTGTTTCCTCAAAACCACTGTGGGCTCATCCTTTCCCTGGATTGGCTCCCATTAGGGGACCCCGTGTGTTCCTGTCACATTTCCTTCTTTATAATTGTGATCTTTATGATTGCTGTTCATTTCCATCCAGCGAGGGTGCTGGCACCTGGATCGCCATGCAGGGTGCAGCTGTGGCCAGCTCTTCCTCCAGGAAGGAGACCTGAAGAGACGTATTCTGAGAAGCCTGAATTCGACTCTACATTGAAAAATTAAGGACTGGCAACCAAAGGCTGTCACTTGTTGAAGAAAAAAACCTTAATTAAAAAATAAATAAATAATAAATAAATAAATAAATAAATAAATAAACCTAATGAAGCTGAGGGTCAAGGGGCATCGGGATAAACTGTTTTGCAAGGGTTGATGACATTAGGAAAAATAACTCTATTAAATCAGAAGTCTGCCTCTGCCAGGTAATCCTTACCAAAAGTATGCAAGAAGCTTGAGAGATCAGCCCTAGAAGGAAAGGTGCCACCCCAGTCCTCCAAGGGCACAGGGCACAGGGGTTAGCATGTAAGCTTGCTAGTCAGGCTGCTGAGGCTCACATCTTGTCTCTCGCTGTACCCTTGGGGAAGTTATCAAACCTTGCTGATCTTTGGTTTCTTCATCAGCAATAGCCCTGTCACCTAGGGACATTGTGAAGATTAAATGAAGTAATAGTAGTATATGTCAAGTGCTTATTAGTGCAGTGTCAGGCCAAAGTTAGTGCTTAATAAATGTTAGTTGTTGTTTGGCCAGGCACGGTGGCTCACGCCTGTAATCCCAACACTTTGGGGGCTGAGGCGGGAGGATCACTTGAGGTCAGGAGTTCGAGACCAGCCTGACCAATATGGCAAAAGCCCGTCTCTACTAAAAAACAAAAAACAAAAACAAAACAAAACAAAAAATTAGCCGGGCATGGTGGCACATGCCTGTAATCCCAGCTACTTGGGAGGCTGAGGTGGGAGGATTGCTTGAACCTAATAGGCAGAGGTTGCAGTGAGCCAAGATCACGCCACTGCACTCCCGCCTGTGTGACAGAGTGAGATTCCATCTCAATTAAAAAATAAGTAAAAATAAATGTTAGTTATTGTTGTCACGCGTTGGCTGGTAGTCTGTGGTGGTGGTGCTGGTGGTGGTGGTGGTAGTGGTGGTAGTGGTCCTTTTGGTTTCGTTTGTTTTGTTGTTTTTGTATTCCCCCCCCCCCAAAAAAAAAGAAGAAAAGGTTGCATATCATCACTTTAAAAGCTGAAGCAGAGCTTTTCTAGGCCCCACAGGGCCTTTCCCTGTAGGCATGGTGGTAAACTGGTGTTTAGGGACAGAGCATCCTTGAGTGAGGTTGGCTGCTGAGGACAGCCCCTCCCTATTTGGGAGGCAAGGGAGTTGGTATGATAGGAGCGTTACTGGGAGAGGACGGTAGCCGCTTAGTGTGAAGACTTCTCCAGCATGTTGTGAAATGTTCTTGAGTGACACATTTTGCCCTCCTTTTTCTGACTCATCTACCTCATCCTTCTCCTTTCCTCCCCCGCGCCCCCCTCCCAGCCAACCCTCCATAGTGTGCTCCAACACTGGCGATGTTGCATAAAGGGAAAATATGGCGTGTTTACAGAGAGAATTTTCAAGAAGTGTTAATTTAATATGCTAAAGTGTTCCCTTCAGCATTTTACCTTTCTTGTTGTTTTCACAAAACAGCCAAGACTAAATAATGAGCCCAGGGCTGTGCCCTTTGGTAGCGTGATAGCTCATTACCCACTAGCGGCCTCCATCTGCCCTCATGGCTGCATAGGGAGCCATTACGATTATGATGGAAATCTCAGAAGCCATTACCAAGATGCAACAGAGGGCCTACTGCAGACAGCCTAATGGACTAATTTGTAATTGGGAGAGGGAAATGAGTTAGCGAGCTGGGGCCGGTTTTGATGAGAGTGGAAGTGCGCATGCTAAATGTGATAAATGAATAGGAATGTGTGTTTGCACAGTGGGCTCTACAAGCTTTCCATCTCTCCTGGGGACTGGAGGCGTGCTGACAAGCCGTGAGGAGCGAGGAGGAAAGGCTCAGGGGAGGCAAGCAAGATTCAAGGAGAGTAGCTAAGGATAAATCGGTGAGGAAAACTAATGGCAGTAAAAATCCAAGGAAATGACTGCATCTGCCATGAAAGTAGTAATTAGGAAGCATTCGGTGTGCATGTCTTTAACCGTTAAAATAGGGGGATGAGTAGATGGAAGGCTGGGGCGGTGGTGGGCCAAGAGAGAAGCCCCTCGTAGAGGGCTCCGAAGGGAGAGCATCCTCAGACCTGGTGGTCTGGGCAAATGCTGCCTGCTCAGAACGGAGCCGAGTCCAGAAACACCACGGGCACCGCCCTTCGAGGGGCTTCTGGAACCCAGCAATGGGAAGGCCTAGCAAGCTCACAGGCAGCCATTGTGCAAGGCAAGGAGGCCAGGCTGCAGTGCCAGACCTGCAGAACATCTGTCCTTGGAGGGCTGGAGAGTCGCTTCATAAGCCCTCGTGCCCGGCGCTCTAAGCTGAGGAGTGCTGGGCACCAGTGTGGCTATGGACAGATTTCTGAAAGCTGGCCTTTCCTTCTGTTTGTCATTTGGCTCCCAGCATTTCATCTGCCCAGCCTGGAGAGTGCGCCAGGTGCCCTCATGGAGGCCGGGGCTTTTGTTTCCACTCACACTGATGGACCTGGTGAAGGGTAATCCCCCCAGTCGGTCTGAGGCCAAGTCCTGCTTGGAGCTGTCCTCATTTTCTGTTTCTTTTTGGCATTTTCTGTTTCTTTTTGGTGTATCTTCTCAGTTCTGTCCCCTAACCTCCAAGCCCTGGTGTTCTTTCTCCTCAGTCAGACCTTCTTAGCCCTGAAAGCTGCAGGCCAAGCCTTAATGGGCCTCTTTTTCCCAGCAACCTGCCGTCCTCAACCCTTTCTCTGGATCTCACTTTTCCTCATGGGCCAGCCTGAATTGAGCCTCAGGATCGTCCTAGCTCTCAGGATTCCTCCTGCTCCCAAACATTCTCATCTCTTTTCCTGGGAGGACCTTTCAGCCTTCCTAAATAGCCTAAGGGAAGACGCGTATCCCTTCAGGGAAGAAGGAAGCACTGGAACCAATTAACTGAACCCCAGCCCAGGGCTCTTAGAACCCTTTCCCAAGGTGAGACAGCCACGTAGCTGACTCTGCCTGCAGTCCCACCTCTGTCCCACGGGCTCACTTTTCCCATCACATTCCCTAGTACACAGGAAAAGTTCCCATTTTCTTCACCAAGCACTAGAAGAGGTTTCTAATTAGCTCCCTAATGGGATGATGACAGTCCTGTTCAGCAAAATTTTATTGTCAGCCTATTTGATTGATTATGTGAGTGATTGATCCCACCTACTTTGAAAATGAATTTGAGGAAACCAACAAAAAACACAGATACATTGAGACCCCAAAGCAACTCATTCTGGGAGAAGGCAATCAATAAATACAAAAGGCAGAAAAACATTCTCAAAACATAGTACAAATTAAAGAAAGTTATTGAAAAAACACAAATGCGGTTCTGCTGTGACAAGCAGTCATAGAAAAGGAACAACTGGATGAATGTCATGGATTAACAATGGAAGCATATTATTTAATCAGGGGCAACTGACTTTTTCCCATCCAGTGTCCGCTGTTAAGTATAGCATTGGTTATGTCATCAATATCCCTAAACCAAGAGCCTCATCATACAGTCCCATCAATGTTGTATAAAAGACCTAGATTTTCTGTGTAAAGGTATTGCTTAGATATCCTTCAGTAAACCCCCCCAGAATGTGTCAACCTAGGACAAAGCCGTAGAGAGACGACAAAAATCAGGTTCCTGCTGTGCCCAAGTTCCCACTTTAGTGACGTAGAGATTTATACTTGGGTAACTCTAATTCAGTTACACAGACAGTAACAAAGCATTTAGAAAATGCACAGGAGGACATCATCAACACATTTGACAAATGTTTCTTGAGTACATCCTGTGGGCAGGCACTGAGCTAATCACTGGAGACACAGCATTAAATAAGTGGGAGAACATGGCCCATATCCTCATGAAGCTTATGATGATCGAATTCTGACCCAAAGAAGGTATGGTGTGAGGGGAGTATTTGAGCTGAGCTGTGAAGCTAGAAGTTCATTAGAAATCAACAACAATGAGATACCCAGCAAAACCCCAAATATTTAGAAATTAAACAACATATTTCTAAAAAATCCATGGGTCAAAGAGGAAATCACAAGAGAGATTAGATACTATTTTAAACTAAATGAAAATGAAAATGCAACACATCAAAATCTGTGGCATGCAGCCAAAGCAATTCCTCAGAGAGGAATGGTTGTGTTAGATTACATTAATAGAGGAATGCTTGTATTAGAATAGAGGAAAGGTCTAAAATAAATCAAAATTCCACCATGAGGAGGTAGGAACCGAAGAACACAGATAAACCCAATGTGAGAAGGAAGGAAATAATAAAGAAAATAGCAGAAATTATTGAATAGAAAACAACAGTAGAGAAACCAAAGCCAAAACATGGTTCTTTGAAAAGATTAACAAAATTGAGAAACCTGTAGCTAGAATGAACGAGAAACAAATAATAAAAAAAAGAACACAAATACCAATTCACCAAGAATGAAGAAGATGTTATCAGTGCAGATCTTACAGACATTAGAAGGATCATCAGGACAGGAGCTCGACAAGCAGAGGGGAGGTAACGAGTTGCTAGTTCTGTGTGGGTTTGTGGGGTGGAGAGAAGGAGTTGCCATAGCAGGCAGGAGCTGAAAAGATGTGAACCAGAATTGTTGGTTTCTACAGTGACCCAGGACCTGTGTACACAGCCCAGTTGACTGCACCCTATACCAGCAGAGTTCCCACCGTTGAGTGGTGGTCTAATGTGCATGTTAGACCATAGATGCCGAGACTGACAGGTCACCAATGGACCATAATGCTTGGCTTTCAGGGCACCTGGACTTGCTCAAAACATCGTTGAGCATTGGCCAGTAAGTCAATCTGATAGATCTGGGTCCACAGCCCCTAGAACATAGGGGACTTTATTTCTCCCTGCCAACTTCTGGCTTCTGATCATTCAGTCTCATGGATATCAAAACTGACCTGATGCCATCCTGAGGCCATGATATCATCCTTTCCACAGTTTATATGCTTCTGAAAATGGAGCTTTCTTTTTAAAAGATTAAGTCTGAATATTCATGGCAGAAGAAGCTTGCCAAAGCTGGCTGCTCACCTCCAGCTCCCAAGTCAGTATCAGCCTGCCATGGCTTATTCCAGACCCAGACAACATCAAGAGAGAAGGCGGGTGTGGCATGGGCCAGTTTCATCCACTGGTCACAGGACCGGCACCTGTCAGCCATGAGGCTGTAGACAGGGTCCTAAAGTGCAAAGAAAAAGCTGTCAAAGCTTAGTTTTCTCCCCCTGCTCAGATGTTTACCTGGCAGGAGTGCCTGCCGTGTCTTTGTGTCATTGTTGCTCTTTGTGCAACTGGCCTTCCTTATTCTCTCATTATCACACACTCTCTCTCTCTATCTCTGTCTTTCATCTGTCCTATTATTCATCTGAGTGTGGACTCAAAAGAACCAGATTCTGATCCTGGGCAGGCTCCCTTTCCTTTACATATCTTAATGTGACCATCCATAAAATGAGGGAAATGAGAGTGCCATCTCATAGGCTCATGGCAAGTTAAATGACTTGGTGTGTGTGCGTGTGTGTATACACACACACACACACACATATATACACATAATATATATGTTATATATACACATAATATATATGTTATATATACACATAATATATATGTTATATATATACACACAATATATTATATATACACATATATGTTATATATAATATATTATGTGTATATATAATGTATATATATTGTGTGTGTGTGTGTGTGTGTGTGTGTGTGTGTGTATTTTTTTGAGACAGAGTCTCACTCTGTTGTCCAGGCTAGAGTGCAGTGGCGCAATCTCAGCTCACTGCAACCTCTGCCTCCCAGGTTCAAGCGATTCTCCTGCCTCAGCCTCCTGAGTAGCTGGGATTACAGGTGCCCAGCACCATGCCCAGCTAATTTTTGTATTTTTAGTAGAGATGCGGTTTCGCCATGTTGGCCAGACTGGTCCCTACGTCCTGACCTCAGGTAATCCGCCCGCCTCGGCCTCCCAGAGTGCTGGGATTACAAGTGTGAGCCACCGCACCCGGCCAAATGAGTTAGTATATTTTAAAAGCACTCAGACCAGAACTTGACACCTAGGAAGCACTAGATGTTTTACCAAATCACAGGCCTAGGTGTGGTGTTCTTCAGCCTTCCTGGCGCCTGTGTTCCTCAGGCTGACCACGCTGGATTCCTCTTCTGTTGGAAGCTCCTCCACCCCACCCCTCCCAGTGGAGACCTGCCTGCCTCACTGCCTGCAGGCAGCCTGGCCCAACAGCTGCAGTATAGGCACAGGGGGCATTGCTCAGGGGTGCAGGTGTTCCCTAACCCTAAGTTGAGACCTGAGGGTCTCATTAGGTCCTCCAAACTTCCAAGATTGTATACTTAATGAATTGGAGGGTTTCACCTTCCCCCAAATAGCCATTGAGCGAATCCAGCCACCACTCCCGTCAGGTCCTGGCTGTTCATGTTGACACTGATGCTGGCGAGAGGGGAGTATCTTGAAAGGGCAGAACAATTGGGGTGAGGATGGGGAAGAAAAGGGAGAAAGAGATGCCCTCAGGTGGGGAATTTAATTTAGTCACATGATAGTAGCATCAGGCACTTGTGTTTTACTTTTCTCAGAACATTCTCACATGCATTCTCTTACTGTATCCTTACCACAAGTCTGGGAGCTAGCTGTGGCCGAAGTGGGTATTTTCTCTAGAAACAAAAGAGCTGAAGCCTAGGAAGGCTGAAGGACTTGCTCAAGGTCATGCAGCTACCTAGAGACAAAGCGGAGACCATAAGCCCAGAAGTGCTGATTCCCAGGGCTCCCTGCAGGGGATCATGTATAGAGAGTCACTGTGAACTGCTGTCTGAGCAAACTACGTGACCCCCTCTTGGCAAGACGAAAGGCCTTGGCTTGGAGCAAGATGGATGGAGAACACTCCGGGCCCACACTATGCTGTTTTGAAACTGTGCCAGAGAAGAGGAGTGGCCTGGAAGTGCAGCCCCCTCTGTTGGGTGTTTCTGAGAAAGTGTTTTTCTCCTTTGCTGGATTTAATGAATAAATTATAATAACTTTTGCGTTTTTATCCACATTATGCATGTTTATCTGCCCTTCCCCCGTAAACCCCCTTTCCCACTTCCACGTAGTACTATATTTCTTTTCATGTTTTATCTTTGGGAACTTGCCACTGATAATTATTTTTTTAAAAAGCTCATTCCTAGTGATTGCTGGTAAAGATGCACACCTCTTCATTTTCTAAAAATGTATATGCTCAGGACCAAAAATTCAGGGAGGCATGTGTGGGAAAAGGTATATTTCCACTTCCAAAGAGAGGGTACTTTTTCAGAAGCTCAGAAAAGGAAAGGGGAAAATGTTATATGAGCCCTGGTGGTATGTGAGCTCCTTGGGGGAATACATGGTTGTCTTATCTGTCTCCAGCTCTTTGAATAGATCTTGCATGCAGTAGCATGTGAGTACATTGATGGAATGCATGTACCAAGGAGCAGCTGGATGGCTGATGGGCTGGATGGCTAAGTGAGTGCATGGATAGATGGATGCCCAAGCAACAAAGTGAAACCTCATTTGGCTTGTTGTGTCAGAGAGCCTTCTTAATTACTACTCTGGATTTCACTGCTATATTCTATTCTGGCCAAGTCTTGGAATTTCTTTATGTTCTAGGTGGGAAAAGATTACTTCTATAATTCATCAAGGAAAATACTAACTTGCTCCCCCAGAGAGCTGGGGGAAAACACATTAATATAAATATAATTGAGGAGTGGAAACAAAGTCTAGGAGGAGTTAAAGCATAAGTATCAGCCTGGATGTGAATTCTAATATAGGAATTAGAATTCCTATATTAAAAATTGTATTAGAAACCTTTACTTTCTTGTGATTTCTGTTAGTTCAGTAAGTAACCTTTCTTGGAAGGTCTACTAATTCCTTTCAAAAAAGATATTTATTTTATATCTTACTATAATATACTAAGCACTGTTATTGCTAGGGTGTTTTGAAGGGGCAGGAGATGGTATTTAAAACTGAGTTGCAGTTCTAGGCAGTTAAATAAAATCCACTGACCAGAAAAAAATATGTAAAATGATAAGGCAGGATAAGTATTCACTGCCAAAAAGTCAACAAAGAAAATAGTAAGGATTTATGTTCAGCAATCCCTGAGATTAAAATTTAAAATAAATAAATAGGGATAGTACGATTTGAAATCGGCGTCCTCTTTGAACTAGGAATTCAAGACTCAGAATAAAATGGTCCTTTTCATTGCAGAGCTGATCTTTGTGACCAACATCTTGTCTCCACCAGGAACATTTTAGTTGAGAAGCAGGAGAAGTCATTGCTAAGAAGCTTGGATTTTCAAAGAAACAGATATCAAATTGAGAAATCTCTACTAATCTTTCCCTTCAGAGTCTAGGCTTGGGTATTTTTTTTTTCAAAACTACATTTATTTTACAGATAATCAAGACTCTGACAGAGTTTTATGTCTTTTTATCACTCTTTATCTTGAAAAGCATTGTTGGCCTAAGGTTGAATCAGCCAAACACTCAGCCTCATGAAGAGCTTGTCTGGGGCCCATGGCGAGGAAAATGCCAGAATGTAAGTGCTTTAGAGACGGGAGCCATAATTGCAATGAGAAGGGGAGCTGTGGCTGGCTCTGACTGCCCTGCTTCCCACATTTTCTTTTAACGAGTGTCCCCACGTCCCCACCGCCCCTCCCCCCCGACACTCAGATCCCTTCAGTTCCCACTGGCTGCCATTTTCCCTTGCTCTGCAGCCTCCAACTCCACTCCACTTAAGAGAACAGACTGGAGACTGCTGGAGGCCCTGAAGTGATTTATTGCTTAGCAGGAACTTCACTAAACTTCCCAAGTTGATTTTTTTTAGTTTTGAAAATCAAACAAAGTTCAAAAAGTAAACATCACAGGTTGACATCCCAGCCCAAAGCTGAGGAAAAATGTCTCTTGTTACATTTTTTGGCACATAATAGAATTTATGAGCATTTTCAGTGTTTTGATTTTTTTCCCCAGTCACTGTTATTCCTTACCCTCCAGAGTTAGGTGTGGAGAGATTATGTTGGCCTGTTTCCATGGTGACACTGAAGAAAAGTAATTTTTTAAAGGAGGTTTCTACTGTGTTATTTCACATGCATGAAACATCAACATCTATGCTGTGTGGCTATTACCCCTAAACATAAAGACACAGAAATGGTTGGAGTATTTTATATAAATAGACAAGTAGGGTGATATTTTCCTTGGTCTCGTGCCGACCCTAGTAACAAAAGTCTCTCAGTTACCCAGGGCACCTGGGAGAGAGTGAGGGAACAGTTCTGTTCAGTGTTAAGCAAGCTCCTCTCCTGTGAATAACCTTTTCTTTAAAAAAAAAAAAAAAAAAAAAAAAGCTCAAGTTGAAAGTCCACCCCCCTTCTACTTAAACTAGGGACCAGATGAAAAGTTCCTTTTGGGGCTCACTGTTCAAAGAACCAGGATTAATCTCTGTTTTCGATGTAGCTTACTTGGTCAACCACTGCAAGTATTCCCCTTATCTGTCCAAGGCGTTGTCTAGAATCTTCTTGCCCCAGTAAACAGTTGCTTACAGTCTCCTAGAGTGAGGTTGGTTAGGGTAAGTATATACCTTTAGCAGCAGAAATTTGGTGAAACTCTTTCCGCCACCCTACACATAGACACACACCCCCCGCACATGCACACGTCACATCAGCATCAATCACACACCCCACTCACACACACCACGTACACAGTCGCACACACACACCCCACACATGCACACGTCACATCAGCATCGATCACACACCCCACTCACACACACCACGTACACAGTCACACACACACACACCCCACACATGCACACGTCACATCAGCATCGATCACACACCCCACTCACACACACCACGTACACAGTCACACACACACACACCCCACACATGCACACGTCACATCAGCATCGATCACACACCCCACTCACACCACGTACACAAACACACACACGCCCCACACATGCACATGTCACATCAGCGTCGATCACACATCCCACTCACACACACCACGTACACAGTCACACACACACACCCCACACATGCACACGTCACATCAGCATCGATCACACACACCACTCATACCACATACACAGTCACACACACACACCCCCCCCACACACATGCACACGTCACATCAGCATCTATCACACACCCCACTCACAGACACCACATACACAGTCAGACACACACCCCACACATGCACACGTCACATCAGCATCGATCACACACCCCACTCACACACACCACGTACACAGTCACACACACACACACCCCACACATGCACACGTCACATCAGCATCGATCACACACACCACGTACACAGTCACACACACACACACACCCCACACATGCACACGTCACATCAGCGTCGATCACACACCCCACTCACACACACCACGTACACAGTCACACACACGCACACCCCACACATGCACATGTCACATCAGCGTCGATCACACACCCCACTCACACACACCACGTACACAGTCACACACACACCCCACACATGCACATGTCACATCAGCATCGATCACACACACCACGTACACAGTCACACACACACACACCCCACACACATGCACACGTCACATCAGCGTCGATCACACACCCCACTCACACACACCACGTACACAGTCAGACACACACACACACCCCACACATGCACACGTCACATCAGCATCAATCACACACCCCACTCACACCACGTACACAGGCACACACACACACCCCACACATGCACACGTCACATCAGCATCGATCACACACCCCACTCACACCACGTACACAGTCACACACGCACACACCCCACACATGCACACGTCACATCAGCGTCGATCACACACCCCACTCACACCACGTACACAGTCAGACACACACACACACCCCACACATGCACACGTCACATCAGCATCGATCACACACTCCACGTACACAGTCACACACACACACACCCCACACACATGCACACGTCACATCAGCGTCGATCACACACCCCTCACACACACCACGTACACAGTCACACACACGCACACCCCACACATGCACACGTCACATCAGCGTCGATCACACATCCCACTCACACACACCACGTACACAGTCAGACACACACACACACCCCACACATGCACACATCACATCAGCGTCGATCACACATCCCACTCACACACACCACGTACACAGTCAGACACACACACACACCCCACACATGCACACGTCACATCAGCATCAATCACACACCCCACTCACACACACCACGTACACAGGCACACACACACACCTCACACACATGCACATGTCACATCAGCGTCGATCACACACCCCACTCACACACACCACGTACACAGTCACACACACACACACCCCCCACACACATGCACACGTCACATCAGCGTCGATCACACACCCCACTCACACACATCACGTACACAGTCGCACAGACACACAATCACTTCTTGAGGCTTCAGACAGGTTGCTTTATCTAGGGCAAGTCAAAGTTTGGAAACAGAAGAGGTCATGATGGATTGTTGTGCTGTTTCCCTTACGTGTAACCATGGTTAGACTTTCTTGTTATGTAACTGAGAATACTTGGTTTTTGGAAAATAAAATGGAGAGCACTGCTTTATCTTGGAGAATAATATCCTCATGCATGTGGAGAATGCCTTTAACTTTTCCAAGGTTCTTCCTACATGTTATTTGAATTTCCTAATAATTCTGAAAGGTAGATTTTCTTGGCATTCCCCTTATTTTAAAGCTGCAGGGACAGAAGTTTGCGTTACCTGTTCATTAGGGGCATAGCTGAGTCAGGGATTCTGGACCCTCGGTTTTCGCTGAGGTCCTGTGTTATTAATCCTATACTTGGCATCTTCCACACAGCCAGTCTGAGAAAGCACAGGGCCTGCAGCTTCCTGGGACAGGGTCTCAGACACGCAGAGACCATCAGGAGGAGTTCACTCTGCTATTAACAAATGTTTACTGAGCACCTGCTACACATCAGACACTACTCCAGCCGCAATAGTCCAAACAGTCAAGAATCCCTACATTCTATGAGTACAAGGGAATGGTGAGTGAATGAGTAAAACACATAATGCATGTGTCAGATGGTGATTAGTGCCAAGGAGAGAAAGAAAGCAGGAAGAGGGGTAGACAGAATGCTGGGAGTGAAAAGAAGTGGGAAGAGGTGTTATTGAGGGGTGACATTGGAACAAAGATTTGAAGGTGCTAAGGGAGCAAGTTTTGAGGATGTCTGGGGAAGAGAAGTCCAGGCCAACAGAAAGATCAAGGAGTGTGGAAACCGGCATGCGTTGCCTTCCTGAAATCCACAGAGCCGCATACTCATTGCATGTGTGTGTGTATTTGAAAACTTCTTAAATTCTGAGGTTGGTACATGGCTTTAATTTTTGCCTTAATGGCTTCCTGCACTTGGGGAGCTCTTTAATAGGTGCATTCTGGTAGTAGTAATCATCAGTCCTGGGCTGGTATCACATTACCTATGTGGAAAAAAGCAGAATTGCTTTGGCACTGATTGGGTCTTGGGGTGGTGACTATGTTTTCCTGGTTTTTAATGCAGATCATTGAAAACATGTCAGGGCCTGGTCTCAAGTGTTTCTCTTAAATGGGATAGAATCATGTTCTTATAAGCAGAGGGTGTAGGAAGGGACTAGGTGGGGGGTTGGTGGGCAGAAGGGTTCTTATATTTTAAATGCCAGTCAGCTGCAACCACTAGTTAACTGGAGCCTGTTCAAACTCATTTGGAGAACAGTTGAATTTTTAAAGTGCCTTTTGATTCTCTCTTTCATTTATTTTAACTGATCTGCTGGGATTAGGAGCTTGGTAGGGGAACACCAGAATGCTTGCCAAAATGTGTGAATAATTAGAGCTGCGATGATGTGTGCCAGATAGAAGGGGAGTATTCACACTTCTGATTAGATTCAGCTAAATGCAGTTGTAAATCACTGCTGCCACAGTAACAGCGCCCTGTCAGGACTGAGCACAAGAGGAGGCTCAGGGCAGTGAAGAGACGCAGGGCAGCCCCAAGGCATGGGGCTGGACCGAACCTTTGTGGAAGAGGAGGGCAAGGAGAATGGCTCCAGTCACCAGCAGCCCCTGGGACATTGGTTTTGGCATCTCTCTTTCAGCTCACTTCTACCGTGTTGAGTCTTGCTGGGCACTGAGGTGGCCACCATCTCAGCAAATGCGAGTAAGACGGGTCCCTGCTCTCGGGATGCTTACAGTCTCACGGAAGGTGAATGCACAACTGTGGTTCAGTGTGATGCATGTGTCCGCAGGACAGACATTGTGCTAAAGGGTCCCAGAGGAGGAATTGGGCCTGCTGAAGGGAAAGGAGAAGGGATAGGTGGAAAGGCAGTTATTTCCTTCAGAGATAAAAGTTGACATTTCAGAGTGCTCAGCAAGATAAGTTAGTGGCTGGAGGAGTTCCAGGCAGAGGGAACAGCACATGCAAAGGCACAGACAGGCAAAGCCCCACCCAGTCTAAGAGTGCAGTCCTCCAGGATGGCCGGGGAACTGGGAACAACATGGAAGAGGCTGGCGGTGCAACTTGGAAACACTGCAAATAGGTTGGGTCAGAATGTGAAGGGTCTCAAGTGCTCATAGGAGGAAGCTCTTCTTCCAATTACGTACCACTCCCAAGATCCCAGCTACCCCTTGGAGAGGGTGGGTTTCCCACCTCAGCCAGAGAACCCTGCCTTAGCCACAGTCATCGATGGGAATGTGTTAGTATTCTTTGGACAGGAGAAATAAATGTTGAGAACCATTGCTCTCACCAGTGGAGAGTCTTAGGAGGTTAAGAAGGTGAAGAGGAACTATAAGATGGTTAAGTTAAAAAGAAAACTGGCAGAAGCTTTGGTGTAGAATTGTTAGTTTACAGCAAGGTAAGTCTGCAGGCTCCCAGATGTAGATAGGAGGTTACAGTCAAGGTCTGACCAAATGATAGAATCCATTTCAAGAGAGATTTCAGAGTGGAATCCAGTCAGACTTGTTGAGGAAGACTCCAGCTGTGTGCTGGGTTTCTTGCTCCTTTCTGAACCATCCTTGCCTGATCCTGACTTTTCTGTACGTGTGGAGTGCCATAGCTCAAGACACGATGTCCTTCGGAAAATAGACAGTGAGTGTATATGTTTTACAGTATTGCCCAAGAGGTGGAATCCTGTCATTTCCTAATCACAACTACACGTTTCCTCCCTCTCCAGCACTGCTCTGCTCCCTTTACCTAAGGTTGCTAAAGGTACTGGTGGTCTTCAAAAAAAAAAAAAAACAAAACAAAAAGCAAATACCCACCTCTTACTCAGGACACCCCAGTCAGTGGATGCCTTCTCTGGCCCCTCTCCCGTCCTGTTCTTGGAAAAGCAGCCTACTTTCTCTGTCCTGATCATGCAACAAGTTGCTCTGAAATGAACCAGCAGCTTGTGGTGGGAATAAAAGCCCAGGAAAAGGAATGCAGAAGGAAAGTGATGGAACGGCATGAAACCCAAAGCAATTGATAAAAATGAGCACCACATGGAGAATGTGGAAAGGAGAGGCAAGCATAAAAATCACAACCACATCTGACATCTCTAGAAATGGAGAGAGACAAATGAAATCTCACATGTGGCTTTCCTCAAGTCAGAAAGATTCCGCTTCTCCATTCAGGGGCGGGATGAAGGAGCCTCTTTGGAAGCCGTGGGCCTTTCTCAAGTTGTTCTACCACGCCTTTCATTTCTCCCGCTTCAGCCAGTAAGTTCAAGTGCTTAGAGAAATGCTTAGCCTCTAGCACCTTCTCCAGGCACAAAATAATGGGTTGACCAAATTGATAATTTTTTTTTTTTTTGAGATGGAGTCCCTCTTTGTTGCTCAGGCTGGAGTGCAGCAGCATGATCTCGGCTCACTGCAACTTCAGCCTCCCAGGTTCAAGCGATTCTCCCGCCTCAGCCTCCTCGAGTAGCTGGGATTTCAGGCATCCGCCACCACGCCCAGTTGATTTTTGTATTTTTAGTAGAGATGGGGTTTCACCATGTTGGCCAGGCTGGTCTCGAACTCCTGACCTCAGGTGATCCGCCCGCCTCAGTCTCCCAAAGTGCTGGAATTACAGGCATGAGCCACTGTGCCTGGCCCGAATTGATACCTCCCAAAGTATGCATGAAGGACAATAATTTGAGATATGAGGAAAAAATCTAAAATGACTTTTTCTACTTATTTTTATCTCACCTATTCAGATTTATTTCGTGAATGTGTATTTTAGAAATACATTAGTATACTGGTATATCATTAAGCATATCAATAAGTAAAAATATCTCGGGCAAGTTAAATGAGTTATTTGTCTGTTTTTACTCTGGGGGGCACATGATCAGAATGTGTGAGGACTGGGAGAGTAGTTAGCAGTGTCACTAGCTGAATGTGGGGCCAGGAAGAATGCTCTAGAACTGTGAGTCCTTGTGGAAACAGGGGCATTAACTGGATCGGCTGCCTCCTTCTAGCCTATGAGATAGCCTGTTAGCTTCCCTTGTAGCTCAAAGAGCCCCTGGAAATCAGTAGTCAGAACCCAGAGAAAGGGAAGTTCTACCCGTAAAAGAGATGCCCATGTTTTCTTAGCTGATAGTCACTTTGCAGAGCCACACCCACAGGTGACAAAAGCACAGTGGAACTTACCCTCAGGCCCTTTCACCATCACAGGCCTCTCTTCTTTCCTGGTTTTGTCGTTGGGTAGGGGTGGTGGTGTTGCCTCCCGGAACCCTCATCCAGGCTACATGAGACATGCAGACATGCTCCAGTGTCATGAACCTCCCCCTCAACAGCTCCTTCCCCCCTTTCTCCACAACACAAACAAAACCATCAAACTCCATATGATTGTTATAATCTAACTGTGGAGTCAGGAATACTGTGCTGCCCTACGTGATGCTCTTTTCATTTTTGCAGCCATCTAGCTTTCTTTTCCCCCTACCCCAGCAACCCACAAACTTAAACTCCAACCTAGTTCAACCTCAGAAATCCCATTAATGTCTTAGAGGCAGGTGGCCTGAGGAGCCCTTCACTTCTGCTGTCAGCTGTGTCTCCATGGCTCAGGAACTTACCCTCCCACCCAGCCAGGCTGCTTTCCCTGTCAATAGCATTCTCATTCCCTCCATGTCTGTTAGAACTTGACCATTAGTCAAGCTGTTCCTGAGATGTGTCTCTTGTAGAGATGTACACTGGTTAGAAATGGAAGCACCTCCGTGACTTTCCTCTCCCTGTCATGGTGACAGCAGTGTGACAGGTTTGACAGTTCCAGTTTCTAGGACCTCCAGCTGCAAGTGCTGCTTCGACCATGTGCTTACGAATTGCTTCAGGTCCACCTCGTACCCTTTCCCTCTCCAGCCATGTTTATCTTGGCTCCGTATTAATGGCACACCTTCTGAATGTTGGACAAAGATAGTAGCTCTTGTGTAAGAACACACTATCGACAGCAAATGGAAGATGTTACACTTTAAGGCTGCCAGTTGTCCCCACTTGTGCCATACTGAAATAGGAGATGGCCTGCATCTGTTTGAAAGAAATTGAGTGAAATAATAGTTGGTGAGTATAGTCCTGAAGGCAGTGAACTGTGATGGAATCAAGGATCTCTTCCTGTTAGAGTGACTTTTGCCCACCGCTTCCAGTGGTGCTTGTAGAACTTAGGATCTCAAGAATATTTTGTGTCCCCTGCAGAAAAGTAGCAATGCAGGTTGTTCACATCCAGAGGTCATGACTCCCAACAGACTTTGTTTATAGCAGCCCAGGCTCAGTGAGGTGTATAGTGGGAAGGGCCCAGTACCACATGGGCAGAGAAGCACTCATTAACTTCCTACCTGGTTGTAAACATTAGAAAGTTCCCATTCAGAAAAGTACTTAACAGCAAATATCACAGCTATGGTATAGTCCTGTTCTGAAGCGGATGTGTTTTACAGGTGAAGACTTCAGGAAAACAGCCAAAGAAGATGTGATCTTCCAAGATATCATGTACCCTCCATTGTTTGTCAGTAGAGGAGTTTTGGGCATTTAGGGTAGACTCCTCCCACACATCACAAAACACTTAGCAACACTGCTTTGCCCATTAAATACCAGTATCTATCACCATCACCTTGACTCCTGAAAAACAGTCCCACACAGTTGCAAGTGCTCCCCAGGGTGGGGAGGAAAGGAGCACTTCTCCAGAGGGAGAACCAGGGGAAACGAGGTAGCAGCACCCATAGGTGTGCCTGTGCACTGGGTGCAGCTAGTCGGTTATTTCACTCAGACTCTTGATGATTCAACACATTTTGGAAAGAGAAAGTTTGTCCCCAAAAGAGGCACCTGACTGGCCCAATCCATTGTCACATGTTAATGGCTGTCACATGACAGCCAGTTGCTGGATCTGTTTATGTCACCAAATAGTCACTGTCTAATTAGACTTACAAATTCTAAGTGTAGCATTAGATTTACAAAGTCAGTAAACTGTGATGTGTGCCTGTGTTATCTTTCATGATCTGACAGATCATGTTTGAAAATTGGCCCAAGCTAGGCCCAGTGGTTTGTACCTGTAATCCCAGCTACTTGAGAGGTTGAGGTGGGAGGATCACAACATCCTGGGAACAGAGCAAGACTCCCGTCTCATTTTTTTTTTTTTTTTTTTTGAGATAGATTCTCTCTCTGTTGTCCAGGCTGGAGTGCAGTGGCTTGATCATAGCTCGTTGCAGCCTTGAACTCCCAGCCCAAGTAGTCCTCCCACCTCAGCCTCCCAAGCAGCTGGGACTACAGGTGTGCACCACCATGCCCTGCTAATGTTTTAAATTTTTTGTAGAGGTGAGGTCTTCTTATGTTCCCCAGGCTGGTCTCAAACTCCTAGGATCAAGTGATCCTCCCACCTTGGCCTCCCAAAATGCTGAGATTACAGGCGTGAGCCTACTGCACCCAGCCCAAAATTGTTTTTAAAAATAAGGAAAAAAAAAAAAAGAAGAAAGAAAACCGGCCAAAATGCAGAGAAAAGTTTGACTATCAATGCAGCATTACTTTGGTTTTATTTTACATCAGCCATCTCCCCTCCGCTCAAGATTTGAGGTTGCTTGTTAGTTGAACTACTTGGCAATGAATTTGTCATTGAAACAAAAATTTTGAATTTTTGAATATGAGAATTTCATTAATAAGTCATGAATTGTAAGCTTGGGTGTGAAAATCTTTATAATACTTTATAGTGAGACATTTCTCATCTGTCGTCTTGCAGGCTACTGCACAGGAGCTCGAGTACATAGATTTGTTGTCAATTAAATATTAAAGCTTTATAGGCTATTTTTATTTCCTTCTGCTTGCATTCCTTCCTCCAGCTCCTAATAGCCACATGTCCAGTCTTTAAATGGAGCCAGGTTTAGAGAGGTCTAATGAAGAGGGTTTACTGAATGGGGAAAGGGCAGCCACCGTGACCCCATATCACACCTTTGCCACACAATCAGAGACCTCTGTTGAAGCTATTCTGGAAAAGATCTATTCTTACCAGAAGCTGTCCTGCGCTGTCAGTGAAAAGACATTAGGTGCAGGTGTCAAACATGACTAATGAGGCATGAGGAGTCGACAGCAAAATAACAGAGATTATGGGCAGAGAGGACTTGCAGATGAAATGTGAATAGCAGTGTAGATGTGTGAGTGATGCAGGAAGGAAGGGGACCGGCACCGAGGAGCAGTAGCTGTCCCACTTGCGGGAAGGTTGGACAATATCAGTTACTTGATTGGTATCTTCTCCTTTGATATATTAAGTGGACAAACATCTAATGTTTTCCTCTCGAAATCATGAGTTTCCTGCAAGTGTTTGGGGCTTGGTATCCACGTTTCTGTAATCTTCTAAGACAAGCCAGAATCTTTTTCTGTTTTTATATTTACACAGGTTTTATTGTGAAATTGTCAGGAAGGATGAGGCATGTTTCACTCATTAATTTTCATTGTCATCAAAACATCAGAGTTACAGTGCAGTATCCTGCTATTCCAGGGCCCACAGGAGCTCTGATTGATAACATTCTACCTTCACAAAGGTTGTAATCTAAATGGAAGAGGCTGGAAAAAGAAAAAAGTATGATTAGTTGTAGTTGTGTCAAAAGCTGCCTCTGAACAGACCAATACACTAAGCAATCAGAGATTTCAAGAGAGGTAGCAGGGCCTGAGACTCTAACTCAGTGAATCTTGCTTCACCAGATGTGGAGTCTGTCTTTGGTGGTTTCGCAGAGCCTGGCCCTGAGCCTCCATCCACTCAGCGCTCAATAGATGACTGTAAGCATATTTCTATGCGTTCATTAGCCTCAGGGAGGTTGATTTTTACCTCCTAGAGGTGAATTTTAAAGACTTCCTTTTTGGATGAGAAAGAGAAGGCTGGTAGAGAAGGAGGAGCAGAAGCACCATGAAATCAGGTGGGTGATGGTTTCCTTTCCTGGTGCTTTTAACCAGTTCTCCCAGAGTGGAGATAAACATGAAGTTAATATGGGGAATGTTGATCTTCCTAAATGCAGCTCCAAATGATAGACCCAGGACAGGTTTCCAAACAGCTGTTATTCAGATTAGAGGCAAGGACTTGATGTATTGCTCCCATTAGAAAGTGTCCTAATGGAAAGGGCCTGCACTTTCTCCTGGCCCCATCTGAATTAAACAATTGGAGTATTTTAAATCAAGGGTCATAAGTGTCAACAAGATGGAGAGCTTTGCCTCTCGATTAAAAGAGGCTTATAAGTTACTTAGGAAGTTCCTGCCGACACAGATTGCACGTGGCTCCTGTGAACCGTGGTTATACCCAGGCTAAGTCCAGCCGTTGTCCTAAGGAGGGAGCAGGCCACCTCAGACAGAAAATGCAGCTGGAGAATTTAAGTCTCACATGCCAAGATCCTGCTAACCAGAGGGTTTGGGGGAGGTAGGACCTTTCATGTTTCTCTGCCAACTTGTCCCCAAGGTAGGGACCACAATCCTGGCAGGCCGGGATGGGGACCAAAGTGGCACTTGCCTTTCATAACATGTTTGTGCTTGTTTCCGTATCAGTAATGTCTTAGCTCCTTATCAGGTTAATTACCCACCCCTTCTTTCCAGGCTCCGAGTAGAAGTCATGCTCCAAGACCAGGCGCTGGCCTTGAACGTGATGCCTCCTCCTGGTTTGTACCTTGTTTGAGATCATCTCAGGCACAGAGCACTGGAACACGGGGAGCCACGTGATCCCAGGTGCAGGCTGAGCCAAGCATGATCCCTGGGGTGTCTTTTTCTCCCCTGGGACTGACATTAAAGGTGCAGGAGCCAATCAGGATCATAACAGAAGGTAGAAGATTTCCCCAGATTGAGAGGAGAGGAGAGAAAGAGCAGGGCAAGGGGGTGGTGAGGAGCGAGAGAGCAGAGCCCGAACAGCAGTAGCGAGGGCAATGCATCTGGAGCTACAAGGACAGACGTCTCTAGGTAGATGCCCTTATGGCAGCGCTTCTGGAGAGAGAAGAAAATCCCAGTAATATTAACAGGGCTACAACAAATGAAAATTGGAAAATAAACAGATGGAACATGCCTCATAGTTTAGCTTTTATCATCAATAATTCTAAATCTGCAAGTGAATATGGCTAACTGTAGTTCAAACCATCTGCCTATTACTGCCTCTCACTTGAAGAGACTGTGTTGCATCCCACTCTCCACCAAGACTGAGAGGAAGGGAGGGAGGGAGAGGGAGAGAGAATAATTATTCTCAGCTGTTCTGTCAAAACAGACACGTGCTCCGCGCCCAGCGTAAAGGTCAACTGCAGATACACCATCTATCTCTGGAGAGGGCAGCCAGCAGTCCCACGCTGCTCTCCTGGGCTTGTGGGGACCCCTTCTGGCTGCCCTTCTGAGTTCAAATGTAAGCGTCTAACAGGCAGGCTCTGTTGTTTATTTCGGGGCTGAGATTCAGCAGTTTCTTATCTATATGGGGGAAATTAATGCAGGTACATGTATGGTGTGTCCCAACCTACTCTGGGCCATGTGGAGTCCCCTCTGTGCCTTTCAAGTCTTCTGGAGGCTCATCTGGGGTCCAGAACAGTGCTGTGAGAGATGAAAGGACACGAGTGCTGTCCCAGCGCAGAGAGCTCAGAATCTGGGGAAGCCTGGCTCTCCAAGACAGGGACCACTGATGCTGAGTGAGCACCAACCCAAATTAGGCCTGGTCTTCACCACCCTCTTTTGGAAAATGAACATTTTATTCAGAAGGCAATATGGTAAGAACCTTGAGGAAATAAGTGTAAATTGTAAATCAGCCACAAACTCAGTTTTAGCCTACCTTGCCTTGCGTATTCCCTCTTGCAAGACTAACCAGAGAAACACAGAATCAAGCCTTTATCATTTGGTAAATTGTTTCATCAAGAATACTGGCCCAAGCATGGTGGCTCACAACTGTAATACCACTGCTTTGGGAGGCTGAGGCGGGAGGATCGCTTGAGCCTGGGAGTTTGAGGCCAGCCTAGGCAAGACCACATCTCTACAAAAATTTTTAAAATTAGAAAAAAAAGAAAGAATACCATATCTGAGGTGCAGATGAGTGTGCAAGTAATTCTTTTTGTTGTTGTTTTAACATGACAACAGCTGGCTTTTTTATGGAGCTTCCCTGAACATTAAAAAAAAGTAACTAAGGCCGGGCGCAGTGGCTCACACCTATAATCCCAGCACTTTGGGAGACTGAGGTGGGTGGATCACCTGAGGTCAGGAGTTCAAGACCAGCCTGACCAACATGGTGAAACCCTGTCTCTACTAAAAATACAAAAATTAGCCAGGTATGGTGACGGGCACCTGTAATCCCAGCTACTTGGGAGGCTGAGGCAGGAGAATCGCTTGAACCCAGGAGGCAGAGGTTGCACTGAGCCAAGATCGCACCATTGTACTCCAGCCTAGGTGATGGAGCAAGACTCTGTCTCAAAAAAATAAAAATAAAGAAAAAGTAACTAAGACATAAAAACCAACCCAAAATAAGATGGGGCACCTGAAAAGTGTATGTGTACACATGTGTGTGTGCATGTACCTCATATGGGCAATGCATGTGTGGACACAAATACCAAAAATATTCCAAAGACTTAATTTTTTAGGTGTTGACTACTGTTTGTTCATAGCCCAATGGTGTTAACAAGCAGTAGATTGTTAGTGACAATCACACTCTCTCCAGCACTTACAGCAGAAGGCTTGATTTAATCGAAGAGCTGTCATTTATTATTCTGTTGTGCAATTCCATGGGGGTAGCTAACTGATCAAGCTCGGGCTACGGGGAGCAGAGGGCTTTTTTTTGTTGTTGTTATGTCTAAATCCTCAATACAAATTACAGTATTTCTGGACTCCCAGTGGGACCCATTAGAGCCTGTGGGGCATTAACGATCATTAATAGTGCTGTCAAAAAGGAGGGGGGTAGGGAGAGAAGGAAAGAAAGGGAGGGAAGTGAAGAAAGGGAGGGTGCAGAATAGTAGCCAGGGAGAAGTGTGGCTTTTTTTCAGAAATGGAAAATTAATACATCTGCTTTGTTCACAGTGCCGAGCATTTGATGTTTATTAACAGGCATCTTAATTTTGCAGATTAGTACCAGTCGGGTTCTTACTTCCGCATATTGAAATCCTTCCATTGCCTCAGATCCTTCTTCTCTTTTCCTCATCCTTCCTCCGCCTTCCCAAAATCTTTCTCTCCCCAGTAGTCAGTCCTGAATCTCCAACTCCAACAATGAAGACAGAAAGGGACTGAGAAAATATGAGTGGGGAGAGTGTCTTCATTCAGAACAGAGTGTGTGCGCGTACATACATACACCACGGTTACAGCCATAATTGGCAATCTTGCCTGTGATATCCCATTAACTGTGGTTCCTTGTAAGCATTTAACTGTATAGTTAGTAATCAGGTAGAAATGTTTTAATCACTTACTAACTAGCATGCTTATCAGTGTGATGGAGAAAGGGCAAGGTATTAATTAGTTAGGATAACATGCTAATGTTTGCATTGTAACACTTCTGCTATTTAAAGCAAGGAAGACCCTGAGTTTGAGTCTTATTCAGAACTGAAGCCTTTTTCTAGAATTTTTGTTCTCTCCAAATTCCATATCTATGCTAAGCTGACTTGCCTTTTGCCTCCCTATGGTTGCATACTTTTCTCCTTTCATTATATTTTTCCTTTCAGTCTCGGACTCTTGAGATCTAGTCTTCTACATCCATGACATTCTCAAACCACAGAAAGGAATTTTCCCACAATAATAATAGGTGTGCATTACACTTTCTTTCTTCGCAGCAATAAGTGCCATTACTTCATTCAAGTGTTGAGTACCTGTGATGTGCTGGGCACTGTGCTTGACACAGGGAATACAGCAGAGGGAAGAAAGAACCAAGGCACCATTCCTGCCCTCATGGAGCTTCTGCTATGGTGGGAGAGAGACTTGGGAATCCCATAAGTCCATTTAGAATCACAGCCATGGTGTATGGGAGAGGCATTGGGACTATGAGAGATTATAAGGTATTCTGACTTGGGAGGAAGGTTGGGAAAGTACCCTACGGAAGGTACAGTTGAGCAGATAGAAAAGAAAAATAGATTGCTGATTACTTTGTTCCAGGAACCATGTTAAGTATTTTTCCATGGATTATTTCATTTAATCCTTATAACAGTTCTAGAATATAGGGAGGATTCTTTAGTTTACAGATTAAACTAAGGTTTAAAAGAGAATGAGCTGCTGCCTGTCTGGCCCACGGTATAAGCCTACTGCATAGCTCATTGATGAATGAACCCCAGGTATGGAGAATTTGACCCTTGGATAGTAACTCTTCCATCTTCTCTTTTTCGTGTCTTTTGACATTTTTGAGCATAGATAAACCAGGCTGACCAATGCAGCCATTTTACTCTCATCAAGGACTCAGAATGGTGTGGGTACTGTGCACTTGTTTGAGACAATGCCCTTCCTTGCTGATAGCTTCCCGAATTGAGCAAAGCAGATACAAAAAAAGTGAGCAAGACTCTCAGCCTACAATCTCTAGTGTGGAAGAAACACCCTATTTCTTTGCTTTCTTACATCAACTTCATTTTCTACTTGAAACTGTACCCCCTAAAGGGACCTTGCACTTAAGTCGTTCCCAGTGCATCCTACATCCCTAGAGTTGTGTCTGTGTTCTGTGTCTTTTTGCCAAGGGATGTTGAAGGCTGGAAGTCCTCTAGGTCTTAGGTCCCCCAGATCACTGTGGGAAGACCCCACATCCCCATCCCTGTGAGCCACCAGGAGCCTGGTGTGGCCATTTCTCCTGGGGCCTTGCTTCCTCCTGTGAGCCATTCCAGAATAGGGTGTGGGGCCCTGGTGCTCTGACAGCCACAGCTTCCTCTGCTTCTCCATTCTGGGTGAATCTTTTCCTTAGCGAAGCCCTTCCCCATATCTTAGGCACTACAATTCTTTACTTAAGCTCTCTTAAACTTTATCTTTCTCATTCCATTAGATTTTCATGGCCATTGAACTTAGCAACTGAAGAAAACTAGTTTCCCTTTCCTATAGGGCAGAGAGAGCTTTAGTAACCAAATGTTCCTAGGAGGAGTGGGGAAACATTTTTATTTTCATTCCAGTAACACAGTGGTTCTCAAAGAGTGGCCCAGGTACCCAAGGGGGATCCCCAAGACCCTGTCAGGAGTTCTCCAAGGCCAAAACTATTTTCCCAATAATAAGACATTATTTGCCTTTCTCACTTACTATCATTCTCTCACAAATACATGGTGGGGTTTGCCAGAGGCTACATGACATGTGATTTAAAATATTGAATGCAAAAGCAAATATGAGAATCCAGACATCTTCTATACCAGACATTAAAGAAAATTGAAAAAAATGTAAAACTCACTAATTTTTTTGTTTTGAAAAAGTTATTTTTATAAAAATGTATTTAACAGGTAATAGGTTTATTGTTATTTTTAAATGAATAAACATTTTACAGTTTTCTCAGTTTTAATTTATTTATTTTTATTTATTTATTTATTTATTTTTGTTGAGACGGAATCTTGCTCTGTCACCCAGGCTGGAGTGCGATGGCGCGATCTTGGCTCACTGCAACCTCCACCTCCCGGGTTCAAGTGATTGTCCTGCCTCAGCCTCCTGAGTAGTTGGGATTACAGGCACCCACCACCATGCCCGGCTAATTTTTGTATTTTTTGTAGAGACGAGGTTTCGCCATGTTGGTCAGGCTAGTCTGGAACTCCTGACCTTAGTTTATCTGCCCGCCTCAGCCTCCCAAAGTGCTGGGATTACAGGCGTGAACCACTGCGCTCGGCCTTTAATTTTTAATTAGCATAGCAAAAGCCTTTTGGAAGTTCTCAAAAAAAAATTTAAGAGTATAAAGGGGTCCTGAGGTCAAAGCATTTGCAAACTGCCACAGCAGAGCAAAGGAAGAAAAGAAAAACCAAACATCAGATTTCCAGACGAAATCCACCATGCCACACCGGCAATTTCCAAATGCGGAAACTGGATTGTGTCATCCAGTGAGAGAAACTGTTACTTGGATACTTTGGCCCTACCTCTCTTATTTTTTTTTTCTCAAATTTGAAGAGATCATAATAAAACAACCTCCTAAATCTAGGTAATCACACATCCCAGTTTCCCTGGGACAGCCCCAACTTCTATATGCCCTTTGTCCTGTCATAATTTTTTATTTTTATTTTTTTCATTTTAAACTTTTTTTCATTTTCTTTTTTTTTTTTTTTTTTTTTTTTTTTTTATTGAGACAGAGTCTCACTCTGTTGTCCAGGCTGGAGTGCAGTGGCACGATCTGGGCTCACTGCAATCTCTGCCTCCCAGGTTCAAGCGATTCTCCTGCCTCAGCCTCCCAAATAGCTGGGATTACAAGCATGCGCCACCATGCTCAGCTAATTTTTGTATTTTTAATAGAGACCAGGTTTCACCACGTTGGCCAGGCTGGTCTTGAACTCCTGACCTCAAGTGATCCGCCTTGCCTTGGTCTCCCAAAGTGCTGGGATTACAGGCATGAACCATCACATCCGGCCTGTCCTGTCATAATTTTTAAGTGTTCCCACTTTCACTCTTCAAAGTGTCCTGGTTTGATTGATAAATTAAAGGTCAGCCTACCTGAACCCCACCCAACTTCATGAGCTTATAAATGACAAAGTAAATACAAAATTTCTATAGTCCAGAGAGTCAAGAAAGCATCCCATTTGGATTGACTGGCTGGGATGTGGCAGAGAGCATGCATTTATTTGTCTGTGACCTTTTCCTGTTTCAGCTGTGAATATGGGTCCCCACGTTGATCTCAGCTAGGGAGCTGGGTATTAACCATCAAGGCAGTGGTGAACCGGGTGGGCCTCCCACACAAAAAGCTCACTGGCAACTAGCAAATCCAGATGGCGCACATATCCATGTGATATTAGCCACATAGAGGCCTTTGCGGGGCTTTTTTTGGACATTGCTAAGCCTGCTGAGTCTAAGATTTCAAATGCTGTTTTGAGCTACTTGATTTAGAGGTGAAGCCAGACCACTTGGAGGGAAGTGTGAAATTCTTTGGAGTTCTTCAACTCACTTGTGACTCTATAAAAATTACCCGGGGGCCAGAAGCAAGGAAGGAGGTAACGCTTCAAGTGGCCCTTCTGCCTCCACAGCACTTTTCAGATTAGGGAGTGACAGGGGCTGTGGAACCGTTTTTCCCTCCCGCTCCTCAGTAGGAAAACATCGAAACATCCATACTGTCAGCTGACATGATTTGGGGTGAGCTTTAAAGGACTAAAGGACTCCCCCCAGAAGGCTGAAATCCTTGTTAAGCAAGGAACTTTCATCTCAGGTTCTAGGCTCAGGAGCATGGAAATTGGAATTCTTTTTAATTGACCATATGGTTAGTTTTGCAGCTTTGTGAAGCTATAAATCTTTGGTGGAGTTGTAACCCAGCAGAAGTGTCACCAGAGGAAATTTTTTTTTAACTTTTTCCTCTTGTTTCTTCCCAAAACTCACTTAAAGAAAAAAAAAAAACCATGCAGCTTTTGATATATACACACTGGTGAGTGAAGTGTGGGGGGGCAGTAGGTCTTGGACAAGTGAGCGTGGCAGGGATCTGTCAGGCAGATCCAGCAGTTCCAGCCCCATTCTGAGAGCTCGCAATTTAGCTTTTGCTGGTGCCAGCAATTATAAAAGGGGCCTACTCAGCTTTAAGCACTCAAGTGTTGATGGACAAAGTGCTAGTTTAACAGATCTGCGTAATGGGGAACAGGTGGATAAATACAGGATTAGGGAGCCCTTTACAGTAACAGCCTTATTATCACATGTTATGTGGGGTTTTTGCCTTCATTTGACAACTTGGGTTGTGTAAAAAAATTTTAAGTAACACAACATAGAGGAAACCCTTCATAACAAAGCACTGAAACAATTAATCAAGATTTATGAAACCTCTGGGTAGTAGTGGTGTATCAACCAAAGTGGCTATTTCTGATCAGACCCACAGCCTCCTAAATGAATAAATGGAGAGCACAGCACCAGAAGCCACAGCCTCCATAAGTGGTACAATTGTTTTCCATAATTGAAGATAGCAAAAGCCTGTGTACGATCAAAGACCATTCCATTAGGAGAGTGAGGATGTAATAAGGGGACAGATTTGAGTCTGCCCAGCCTGGAAGGCATATAATCTATCCCCCTGTCTCCACCACAGCAAACCCCACTGGTGAAGCTTACTCCATCTCAAATGGTGGCTGTAATCCACCTTTTGCCCTTAGGAAATTGTATTAGTCCAGACCTAACCCCCTTATTAAGAGGAAGCACTTTTGCCATAGAAATCATCTACTTTTCTGTTTCCTTTTTTTTTTTTTTTTGAGATGGAGTCACTGTTGCTCAGGCTGGAGTGTAGTGGTGCAATCTCGGCTCACTGCAACCTCTGCTCCTGGATTCAAGTGATTCGCATGTCTCAGCCTCCCAGGTAGCTGGAATTACAGGTGTGCGCCACCATGCCCAGCTAATTTTTGTATTTTTAGTAGAAATGAGGTTTCACCATGTTGCCCAGGCTGGTCTCGAACTCCTGACCTCAGGTGATTTGCCCACCTTGGCCTCCCAAAGTGCTGGGATTATAGGTGTGAGCCACTGTGCCTGGCCCCTTTCTTTTAAATCACCATAGGATTTATTAAATGAGCACTGTATAGATTTGTTTTACAATTTTTAACCTTTATGTAAATAATGTCCTCTCTTTTACCCCTTTAAAAGCTGTTTCTTGGCTACATAATATGTTTTGGCTGTTTATCTATATGAGATAGAGCTCTAGTTTATTTTAACTGCTGTATATTATTTTATTATGTGAATAAACCATACTTTATTAATCCTCCTATTGGATATTTAGATTGTTTTTCATTTTTAATATAATGACGAAGTCCACAGTCAACCATTGTTTCTTTATGCCAAGGATTAGGTTTGCTGGGTGTGTTAGTCTGTTTTGCATTGCTATAAAGGAATACCTGAGACTGGGTACTATCTAAAGAAAAGAGGTTTATTCGGCTTATGGTTCTACTGGCTGTACAAGCATGGCACCAGCATATGCTTGGCTTCTGGTGAGGCCTCAGGCAGCTTCCAATCATGGAAGAAAGCAAAGAGGGAGCCAATGTATCACAGGGGAAGAGAGGGAGCAAAAGAGATGCCAGGTTCTTTGGAACAGCCAGCTCCTGTGTGAACTAAGAGCGAGAACTCATTCATCACCAAGGGAAAGCCATTCATGAGAGTTCCGTCCCTATGACCCAGCACCTCCCACTAGGCCCCGCCTCCAACACTGGGGATCACATTTCAACATGAGATTTGGAGGGGACAGAACATCCAAAGCGTATCATGGGGTCATAAGGTGTGAGCATCTTCACCCCAACTGCTTATTGCCAGTTGCTCTGCGGTGGTTGAATTCATGCGTGTGCCTGGGAAGTGTCTGAGAGTTCCCTTTCACCATATCTTGCTGAACATTGACTGTCAACAGACATTTTAATATTCTCCTGTGTGATAAATATAAAATACCATCTCACTATTCCGATCATTTGGATTTTCCCAATTACTAGTGAAATTGAGCATCTTTTTACACATTTATAGGCTATTCAACATAATATCCTTTGTCCATATTTTTATTGAGTTGTTTATCTTTTTTGTATTTACCTGTAAAGCTCTTTATATACTCTGGATACTAATTTTTTTTGGTTGTATGTTTTGTAACCATTCATTATTTCCTTGATTCCCTTTATTAAGTAACAGAAGATATAACCAAATAGGTTGGAAGCTATAGCATATAGAGTCATGCAGGTGATGCTCAGGAGTTAAGAGTCTCTCCTGCAGGCAGTGGGGAGCCGTTGAGGGTTATTAAAATGAGGAATAACATGATCAGATTTGCTATAGAAAGAAAAGGAAAGCAGCAGAACAGAGGAGGATGGATTGCAGAGAGGAGAGGCTAGACGGTGGTGCCAATTAAGAGGCTTTTGCAAGAATCCAGGAGAGAAATAATGAGGACCTGAACCTAAACCATGACAGTGACTCCTAGGAGGATTTCCAAGGATTTCCGGGAACTATTTGAGAATGGGATGGGCAATGCTAGTGAGAATTCAGTGGAGCATTTTAATCAGCCCTTTCCTATTGATTCACAGAGTTCCTTTCCCATCTTGCCTCGGTGAGGATTGTTTCCATCATCCCTTGGCCACTCAAGTCTACTTACCGGGTTAGAGACTTGTTGGGTCTATGATGTCCAGTTAGATTTCCCTTCAACGAGACCCAGGGGGACATTCTGCCAGCCATTGACAGATCTTAATTCTCCCTTTGGCTCTCACTTGTTCCCTTCATGCCACCTTGTTTGCCTCTCCCTGACTCTCCCTCTCTCTCTCTTTTCTCTTTTTTTTTAAATTTTATTTCCCATTTTTAAATCATGCACAGTATAATACAATAAGCATTAAATCATGCAAATTGGTCTAGGTTACATTTTGAAAAATGTTAAGAGGAAACTGTTAAGAGACCAGTTTCTGACAGGCAATGCATTTTAAAGTTGAGGGATTTGAAATATTTCAGCAGTGGACCTAAAACAGCATTATAAATTAGTTCAACTTATCAGCCCTAAACAGAATTATTCATCTTCCAAAAGGGTATTTCATGGCCGCTGGGCCCAAACGATCGTTCACCTTCATTTCTGCCCTGCTCTAAGGGTAGGTCTCACTTTACTGAATTCTCCTGATTCATTACTGTGTGTTACTTTATGAATTTTTTATCAGCATTTTAATAGCTCTTTCAGATGATTGAATGTAACTGATTCTTGTAGCAGAACACTGATTGAACAGAGAGACAGTAATGTATGTCGTAGGGGTTAGCTTCAAGCCAAGCAACAGAGTTTTTTACCTATAAAGATGTGCTTTTTCTCCCCTCACTAAGAGTCTCTGCAGATAGAAGCTGCCCCCCTCCTCCTTCCACACACCCGCACCTTACCCACCAGGATTTAGGCAGGAATCTGCCATTTTCAGTTTCCGGCATGGTACTGCCAGCAAAGAGAGGGAAAAATCAGCCCAAGCCTGAAGCACCCTCTTTTTGCTCATCAAAAGTATGAAATGATTAAGATTTCGGAGGTTCTTGGGATAAGAGAAAGACATTAGACTACCTCAGACCAGCAGGAGGATGGTCTGTGGGAAGAGCATTGGAGTCTGAGCCAAGCATGAATCTCAGCTGTCCCTTCCTTGCTGTATCACCTTGGGTTCTTCGTCTCATTGTCCTGAGCTTTTTCACTTTCCTGTAGATCAGAATAACCCACCTTTCCTGGTTATTGTGAGGATTAAATGAGAAATTGTATTAGAAACTCCAGGCACATCAGAGGCCCCTCAGGAAATGTTTGCTACATATGAATAACGTACACGAAAGCACTTGTGTGGCACTGTACAAATATAACTTATTAATATAAGCCACAGTGATGCTTGACCAAGAAAAGACTTTTTATAATACTGTATGCTAGGTTGAACCATATGAGATTCTATTTTAATAGACCCAAAATGGCAACTTCATATGGTTCAACCCAATATTTTACATTGTTTGATCATCTGTTTCCTGGTTACAATGAAAAAAAAATGTGAGGGATTTGTGTTTGGGTAGTGGGGGAATTATATAGCTATAAGGAATATTAGAGATAATTAGGTGCAATTTTCTCTCCTGATGAGAAACCCAAGGTCCAGACCACACTGGTAGTAAGAAGTAGAGATATGAGAACACACTCAGTTCTTCCCAAATCCCAGGACTTATGCAGCATATCACACAGCCTTCCTGAATAAGGGATTTGTTTTCTTATAACAAGTATATAACCGGACTTGAAAGAGAATCCAGATCCTCTTCAGCCTTGACCAGGATTCTTTCTTCTGTATATGCTCACCTGTGTACAGCACCCAACACTGGGGAGGTTCTCAAGAGGGTTTCTTAGACAACTGATTGACTTCAAATGGCAACTAGAGAGAAATCAAAATGAGTTGTAGACATTGGTACATGGGTTTGGTGGTATCAGATAAGTGAACTGACACCTGAATCTTAGCTGCAAATCCCAGCCATCATTTGATTCTTGGTGTGTCTTCTACCTCAAAATGATACAAATTGGAGTTGACATGAGTTTTTAGGGAATCTACAGAACCAACTAGAGTTCAGTGTTTTGGGGCAAATTGTATATACACATATATACAAATTGCATATACACATATATACAAATTGCATATACACATATATACAAATTGCATATATAATATATATTATAATTAAATAAAATATATATAATGTATTATTACATATAAATTATACATGTATAATTTGCCCAGAAACAATTTGTGTCCAGTTAATGATAGAAATTGTTCACTTAATATACACATACATAGTTTGCATATGTATACATATGAATACACACACACACGATTTGTGTCCAGTTAATGATAGAAATTGCTCACTTAATCATTTGTATGTATACATATATACATACATAATTTGTATATACCCACACACACATACATGATTTGTATCCAGTTACATTAATGATGGAAATTGCTCACTTAAGCTCTGAAAGTCATCAACCAATCCAGAAAAATACATAAATGGAAGAATGGGCTGGCAAGAAATGAGTGGAAGTGAAATGTCTTATTTGGCAAATGAAAATATAGCCATTTGGGCAGATACTTACTCATGAAATGCTGATAAAATACTTGAATCACCAATATCCTTGTTTGCTTCCCTGTTTATGTCAACATCTTAATGTGAAATATAATTACAATGAACATTCAGAAACAGAATGGCAAAGCCTGGCTAAATTTATTCTAATGTCCATTCTTATGCTGAAAGCTAGGTCTCCAAATGTACTTCTAAAATTATTTTTTACAATATGTACTTTAATAGGATTGCAGGATTGAAATATAGCTTTTGTGGGGCAATCAGGACGCAGGGGAGAAGTTATATGAAAGTTGGGTAAAGATTGGGGGATTTTATGGCTGATTTTCATGATCCTGCTAAATCATGTGGTCACAGTGGGATGAATGAAGAATGAACACTAGAAAAACGTGTCTTTTTGGGCTGGGTGCGGTGGCTCATGCCTGTAATCCCAGCACTTTGGGAGACCAAGGCGGGCGGATCACGAGGTCAGGAGATCAAGACCATCCTGGCTAACACGGTGAAACCCCGTCTCTACTAAAAAAATACAAAAAATTAGCCAGGCGTGGTGGCGGGTGCCTGTAGTCCCAGCTACTTGGGAGGCTAAGGCAGGAGAATGGCGTGAACCAGGAGCCGGAGCTTGCAGTGAGCCGAGATCGCGCCACTGCACTCCAGCCTGGGCGACAGAGTGAGACTCCGTCTCAAAAAAAAAAAAAAAATGTGTCGTTTTGTTTGTTTGTTTGAGACAGAGTCTCACTCCATGACCCAGGCTGGAGTACAGTGATGCTATCTCAGTTCACTGCAACTTCCGCCTCCCGGATTCAAGCGATTCTTGTGCCTCAGCCTCCTGAGTAGCTGGCATTACAGGTGCACACCACCACACCCAGCTAATTTTTGCATTTTTAGTAGAGACGGGGTTTTACCATGTTGGCCAGGCTGGTCTTGAACTCTTGGCCTCAAGTGATCTGCCCACCTCAGCTTCCCAAAGTGCCGGGATTACAGGCATGAGCCACCACACCCCGCCAATAATATGTACCTCTTTTCACCCATGTAGTTACTGCTTATGGACTTTTCTCCATTAAAAAAAAATCAAAACACTAAAAGCCTTTATTTACACTGTTTGCTCTTTCTTTTACATCTACTCTGTATCTTCTTCCTAATTAAGAATAGTTGGGAACCTCCAGGGTCAAATAGAAATGGTGGCATCAACACGGTCATAGAGAACTCTGATGTTCAAAGGACATGGCCATGGAAAATCAAAGGGAAGACTAATAAAGTTAAAGGAAAGTTTCAGGTTTGTTGGGCCCAAGGACTCCTGAAAGGATAGGATTAATGTGTTTTTTGAGCCAAAGTTCTGCCCTTGAAAGGGAAATCTCCTCTGAGCTTTGAGTAGCTGGTGCTGCATCCTTTAAAAATGTATTGGATGGAATTAATAGTGAGCGTTGCCACATCCCTTCTTCCCAGCCCAACCAAGAACCAGGGAACCAGTCATTCTGTCACAAAATGAATAGAAGTTATATCCAAATGCCAATAAAACCCAGTTAGAATTTAATGTAGGACATAACTAGAGTGTTAAATATGACAAACTAACTTTGAGATAAGTCTGAGAGCTCAAGTTCCAACAGAAACAAAACCTTTTATGGACAAATAGCTTCGTATCTCATATGCTACTCCCAACAGCTCATTTAGATGAATAATACAGATTCTGCATTGGATCTGTATTGGATGGAGGAAATTGAGACATAGAGCAGTTGTGACTTGCCTGAGGACACACAAAGTTAGTGACACTGGCAGGGTTCTACCATATCACTTTACTTAATATGAGCAGCTTCTACTTGATTGGGTGTTCTGTCAGCTGGCCATGAGGAGGGGCAAAGGAAGCCATTCAAGGAATCTGAATTGCCAATGAGGCTGTTAGCTGAGTCTACTTTTTGAAATAACTTCATCATGATATAATTTATGTATCATAAAGTTGACCCATTTTTAAGTGTGCAATTCAATTAGTTCTTTATATATTATAAATACAAATCCTTTATCAGATATGTGATTTCCAGATGTTTTCTTTCAGTCTATGGCTTGTCTTTTCATTTTCTTAATGGTGCCTTCTGAAGCATGAAAGTTTTCTATTTCAATGAGGTCCTCTTTATCTCTTTTTTTATGGTTCATGCTTTTGCTGTTATGTCCAAATTCAAAGGAATGTTTTTTAAAAATAAGTATTATCAAGTCTTGTTCTCTCTCTTTCTCTCTGACACACATGCATACACACACACATGAGCAAGCTTAAAGTCCTGCATGACCCCAGATTTCATCTGGAATAAAACCCAAGTCTGTTGCTGTGGCCCACAAGGTCTTCCCTGATCTGGCACCTGTGCCTGGTCTCTCCTCAGCCACATGTTCCAGCCTCACTGGCCTCATTTTTTTCCTGGAAAACGCTAAATATGTTCCTTTCTCTGGGCCTCTGCTTTTGCTGTTTTCTCTGCCTAGAATGTTGTCTCCAGCAATTCTTGTAGCTGGCTTCCTCCTTTCATCCAGGTCCCACCTTTAGATATCACGTGCATCATGATCACGCCTTAGATTATTCAGGAGATATTTATTCTACTAAAAGAGCCTTCTTCCAGCCAATAAAAAATACCCTTTTAAAAATTTCCTTCGCAGTACTTTCTGAGATTATTTTGACTTTTTAAAAATTTACATGTGAGCACCGTGGAGACCTTGTCTGGGTGCTCACTGCCCCTTTCTTGGCACCTTGAGCAGTGCCTGGTACAAATGAGCGGCTGAGTAAGTATTTGTGGAATGCTCAATGAATGTTAAACTGAGAAGCAGTTCAGAGATCAGAGTCACTGTTTAAACAAATCAGGATCTTCAACAATTCTTTCCTAATGAGCCTTTCTTTGTCAAACTCATTTCATTCCAATCACTCCTGTGTTTCCCCCACGCTTGGAGAAACAATCTTTCTGGTGCTTCCTTTCATTTTTTTTGCAGATGTCCTTGCATTGGTTCATATTCTTTTCTTCCTTGGAAGTTTCCCACCCCACCCCGAATTAGGAAGTTCCTCAGGGACAGAATCCATGTCAACTACTTTATCTTCTGTCTCTCCATGCCTAGCAAATGCTAGGTGTTTGGTCACTGAGTAGATGAATGAATGTACATCCCTGACCTTCACCCTTGTTCCTTGAGTGGAGAAAAAAGACCCCAGGCTGTGTGTACTCTTCATTTCTGGAATGAGGGTTCTTGTACATCCCATCATCAGCTCTCCTGGGCTTTTATTCTGAAGGCTAGTGGAGGCACAACTGCAAAAGACTTTGCAGATACGACGTGTGAAATGCCAAGAGGAAGAAAAATTGAAAGCAGGAGTTGCATCTTGCCATGTGATGTGAATACCTTTCTGGCACTATGACAGTCTCCTCATGGTGGGCAGTGGGATACCATGTGAGACCAAGCAAGGGCCCAAGTCACCTGCAGCTCTGAGATGCCTGCAGAATTCTGTGGAAAACTTCCCAAATGCACTTAGACCCCAGGGTTTTGATGATGTTGATGGTTCTCTGTTCAGTTTTTTAGTTTCTGTCAAAATGTATTATCTAAACTCTTTACTCAGTCCTACCTACAAAATACACTTTCATATTTCTTACTAATCACTTTACTACTGAAGTAAATTTTACTAGTTCACTTTTCCAGTGGACTTTGATTAGGACATGAGAAGTATTTGTTGGCACCTATAGGCAGACTTAGATGCAATGTTTTACTTTGATGCCAAAAGTGGGGGAAGGCCTTAGACCAATAGCATGGCGTTTGTTATTTTAGTTTACCATTCTCCCTCCAAACGGCCCATTTCACTGAGACTGGGGCTATCTTGCTGCAGCTTGGAGTCAAACACACATGGATGTGACTCTGCCTTTGCCTCTCAGAGCCTCAGTTTCCTCATCTATAAAATGAGGCTAATAGTACCCAGCTGATAGGGCTATTGAGAGGATCACATGAAATAACATATCAGATGTTCTTATTACAGTGGTTAGGTACAGAGTAAATACAGAATAAGGGGTAGCTTTATTATGAGGATTTATATGATTATTAGCATTATTATTGCTATGGCTGCAACCAGTACTACCAAGAAGAGAAATGCCACTCAAGCGAGGACAACTCAGTAGGTGTGACGTTTAAACCAACAGAGAAATCAGTGCATTTTTACTTATTTATACCTTTACCTGGTTCCATAAAAGTTTTATCCCTGTTTCTAAAAAGAATGCATCAAATAAATTGAAGTGAACACAGAAAGAAAAAATAGCAACTAAGAAAAAAACACAGATATGGGAAACTTTTTTTATAATTTCAGCTTTCATTTTGGATTCAGGGGGTATATGTGTAGGTTTGTTACTTGGGTATATTTTGTGATGCTGAGATTTGAGGCATGAATGATCCCATCACCAGATACTGAGCAGAGTACCCAGTAGGTATTTCTTTAGCTCTTGCCTTCTTCCCTCTCTCCACTCCTCTAGTAGTCCCCACTGTCTGTTGTTGCCACGTTTTGTCCATGTATACCCAATATTTAGCTTCCACTTACAAGGGAAAATATACAGTATTTGTTTTTCTGTTCCTGTATTAATTTGGTTAGGCTAATGGCCTCTAGCTGTATCCATATTGCTGCAAAGGACATGATTTTGTTCTTTTGTATGGCTGCTTAGTATTCCATGATGTATATGTACCACATTTTCTTTATCCAGTCCACTGTTGATGGGCACCTAGGTTGCTTCTGTGTCTTTGCTATTGTGAATAGTGTTGCAGTGAACACATTTGTGCATGTGTCTTTTTGGTAGAACAGTTTATTTTCCTTTGAGCGTATGCCCAGTAATGAGATTACTGGATCAAATGGCAGTTCTAAGTTCTCTGAAAAATCTCCAGATTGCTTTTGCTGCAGAAAACTTAAAGATCATGTAATTGCCACAACTGAGCTTCAGATTTTAAACTGAGATTCCTGGCAGCCAAGGTCAACTTCACTACATAATTAATTTAAGAATGAGACCGCCATTTCTTCAGGATTCAAAGCTGCTTCTAAAACTAATTTCCAAGATAACTTTCTTACCTGGGACTTTATGCAGTGAACAGTATTCCAACAACATGTTCTCCTCAAATGCAATAACAGATTTTTTATGGCTGCTTCTGGTAGCACCTTTTTGATAATAGCAAAGCAGCATGGCATTAAAATACAATCCGGTGACAGCAGTTCTGTGTGGGGCTAAGGTAATATGGCCCTAGTGTGTAGCTGTGAGGTGGTCAGACTTGATCCAGGGATAGAATGTAGAGTGTTTTGAAGAATGGTTGAACTGCTTGTCCTTCAAATAATCTTTTGTAAATATTGCTTTTCTCAGCTTGCCTTTTGATAGGAGTTGAATAGCAGACAGTTTGAGATTGTATTCTCTGACAAAAGCCTGGTGTGTTTGTATTCTCTGTTCCTGGTCCAGGGCAGAGCCTTATGCCTTAGAAATCAGAAGTGCAAGTGGTAAAGTTGACATCTTACTGTAAAAATTGGACTCCTGCCTGAACAGAAGGCCATTCTCCCTCTCCCTAGGTGGAGCTGCAGGAATACTTGCAAACAAATCTAGACTCCTCTTCAGGAATCAGTTTGGGGGCGTCTAGGGGTCTAGTGTGGCATTCAGACTTGCTGCCCTGGGCCTTATTCAGTAGGTCTAAACTGCAGTGCAGCGCACTCTGGTTAGGGGTAGATTCAGAAGGTAAGATGGCGCAAGGACAAGCTCTAGCCTATAGCTGGAAAGTACAACGCACCGTGCCCCACAGCACCCTTTGAGAGACACCTGCCCAGCAGGAAGGAGGCTGCACTGGAAACATCACCTGAGCACTCCAGGCGAAAACCGGTGAATCAGCTCTAGAGGGTGGCTTAGATCTTTCCCGCCTGGGTTTCTCACTGCCCTGCCCCAAGCAGTAGAAACTGTAATTCCTTCACACAAGTCTAAGCAACATGATTTCTTCATAAACCTGGCAGATCAACTGGCTATAAAATTTTCTCTTAAGAAATTAAACAAATTAACCTGTTCAGTGAAGTTATTCGAACAAAATGGTTACATTTGGAGGCAACGCTACTATTTTAGGTTGCTGTAGTTACTGTTGAGTCATTCTTTCTGACCATGGATGCCAAGACCATTTATCTATTGACACTAGTTTATGTCAAGGTCTATAAGGAAGAACTTGTGTTAGGTAGAGAGAAAATAATAAAGCAGAAAGGAACCATGCAGATGATCCAGTACAATCTTCACATTTTCCAGAGGCCTGGAAGTATTTCCTCAAAGCCTGGGGGAAGTCCTGACTCTCCCACTTACAATGGTCATTATTCCATGTGAAGACTGTTTCCACCATATAGTTGGTCAGGTATGTGTATTAGGGAGAGATAAAATAATAAAATGAAGGTGGCTGTTGGATTCCTTAGAATCCAGGGGCCTCATCCACATTGATAAATATTTATCTTGTTCTAATTAGGACCTACATGCCTACATTAACTGGTGGAAGAGCTCTCAGTTGCATTAAGCTCCCTGGCAGAAAGAAATGGCCTGGAGGCTGCTTCCTCTCAAGTGAGAAAGGGTCTTCCAGGACTGTTCGAACAAAAGGCATCAGGGAAGTACCTCTTGAGTCTGTCCTGTGAAAGTCAACCCAGTTTCTTGGCTTTCCAGGCAGCCTCACATTGCCTTGACTATTACTCCAGTTCATTAAATGTTAATGGGTTATCAATATAGGAAGAGTAATCCCCTGAAGTCCCTTTAATATGTTTTATTCTTCCTCTCAAATAAATGATTGATTAACATCAATAGGAATTGTTCAATATATGCTGTCTGCAAGACTCCTTGCTCCTTGAGGCTTTCTCCTGTGGTTTATAGCCCAGTGCAGACGCCTCGATGAGATCTTAAATAGAGAGAGTGGTAAAAGTTTATGTCAGCTCGTCAGTGAAATGGAGGTGGGGAAGGATCTAATAAGTGCACTGGCTTGAGGATGATGGCATTTTCATAAATCACACTGTTCTTTTCCCTCTTGGTCGGTCCTGCTTGTAGAATCATAGTATCTTAGAGATGGAAAGGGCCTTGAGGTTATTTTTTCCAGCTTCCCATTCTTCAAGGAATTCCTTCTATAGCTTTCCTGACAGACAGTCGGATAGCACCTGCCTGTACCTCCAGGGATGGGCCTTACCTTCCTCCTGAGGCACGCCTTCAGCTCCTCTGCAGTTCTGCTAGTGGAAGATTTTCCCCATTCCATCAGTTGTCATAGTTCCTATTCCTTTTTCTCACGACTCAGGTTAGAGTTGTAATCTTCCATTTATTTGATTGCCTCTCCTAAAAGACTGTAAGCTCCAGGAGGCCAGAGGCCCTTTCCTTGTTAGCTGGCCATTCCATATCATGCCTTGCCCATTGAAGGGACTCAATGTATATTTGTTGAATGAATGAATGAATGAATGAATGAATGCACTTAAGTTTAGAAATTCCAGAAAGAACTAGGAAGATATTACATAACATGAAAATGGAAATAGAGTATTTTTTCCCAGATACCAGCTGATGTGCTCAAGATGACTTTAGGGTGAATATGGAGGAAGGAGTGAGGGGAAGTACCCAGGAAAGAGTGACGGGTTATGACTGAGCAACATTCAGAGCATGGGAAAAACAAAAGGATCTTGACTTTTTAATGCAGCCTGGTAAATATCATTGAGATTTGGCAGGACCAAAACTGAGCATTGGAAAAGGGATGGAAAAGTCTTCCCTATGAGGAAAGGAGCCCACTTGTGGAGAAGATGAACACTCGCATGGAAGCCCACAGAAGTGAGAGAGGTGGCCTGGAGGAGGGCACTCGAGTGAGGAGATGGGCACCTCCAGCCTTGGGTCAGTCACAAAGGAAGGACAGAGGCAGGAAACAGGAGCATTCTGGACAGGGGGCCCTGGCCGCTGCTCACAGCAGCTCATCTTCTGGCGGGAGAGGGTTAGCTCCTGCCCAGTGTCCTCACGTACGAGAGTGGTGAGTTTCTAATGCATCACCTCTCACCATGCACCCCAAGACAGCTGCTCTTCTGAATCCTACCTAGAGAAAAAAAAATAACCCACACAATTCTCGCTGTCTCTCAACCTCCCACATCTAATGAGTCACCCAGTTTTGTCACTTCATCCTTGGGATGTCTCTTGACATGCTTTTTCTTCCTTTCCACTAATGTAGCTCAGATCCCAAATTCTCTCTGGGACCATCACTTGCCATACGCAGCTGAGTCACATAAAGAGGTTGCCCTTACACAACAGATCTCTGCTCACTGTTGCCTAAGACACCGCACGCTCTGCTGACATCGTTTATTCTTCCTGAAGAGTCCTTTAGTTCATCACCTGGTGCTTGCTGGCCAGGTTCTATACCATCTTCAAGATCCTGCTTCTGAGGCCGTGTGCGGTGGCTTACACCTGTAATCCCAGCACTTTGGGAGGCCAAGGCGGGCAGATCATTTGAGGCCAGGAGTTGGAGACCAGCCTGGCCAACACGGTGAAACCCCATCTCTACTAAAAATACATAAATTAGCCAGGCGTGGTGGCACATGCCTGTAATCCCAGCTACTCTGGAGGCTGAGACACGAGATTCACTTGTCTGGGAGGCAGAGATTGCAGGGAGCCGAGATCGTGCCACTGCACTCCAGCCTGGGTGACAGCAAGACTCTGTGTCAAAAAAATAAAAAATCCTGCTTCTGTTCTTCTCTTCATGACTGCCCGTCCAACTCCCTCTGCCCCCTGGCCTGTGATTGTGTTCCCATCTGTACCTTCTTACACTTACCTCCATCTGCCTTATGTGTGCCTTTGAAGTTCCTGCCCTTGCCTCCTCTCTCCCGACACCCTCACCAGCCTCTGAATCTCTGAATGGTCTTAGTCACACTTGCTTCCAGTCAGCCTTACACCCCAGCATTGTGTTTTACATACAGGCTGCACTCACTGAATGTTTATTGACTTGAATGGGATGTTTCTTCCTAAGACATCAATTCCATGTCTTATGATTTTTCATGCTTTTCAAAATATTTTCACAGAGTCTGTTTCAGATCATTCTTGGTGCTGGTATCACACAAGCTGAGCTGCCTTCCTGGGGTTCACCCTTTGCTCTCCTTTGCTCATCTCCGTTGTTCTGGTCTCCTCCAGAAATCTGCTGAGGTGACATCGTCTCCAGTGACCTCTGCCAATTTGTTCCAACATGGGAATGACATGCTGATTTAAAACAGTTGAAGCATACTCCAGAATGACTAGAAATGGTCTCGTGTTTGAAGTTTCTGCTCATTGGTGGAAGTTAAAATTCCAGTTTCTCCAGCAACATTTGGTTAAATGTCCCTATCCAGCATTGGAACTGCTCACTGATCTCTTTTTTTGGGGGGGTTGAACCCCTGCCCATCTTCTCAGTATTTCAAGGGCATAGTCACTTGGCTGTAATAACTGCTCAAACTATTTACTCACCAGTTTTAAGTATAGATCAGCCTGGTGTTTATGTGATAAAATTCTAGAAACTTCTTCCTTTGCATCTTTCTCTACCTGTGCCCACCAAGAAAAGGAGCCGTACTTCACCCCATAGCCGTAGATCAAATGAAAAGAAATAAATTTCTCACTTGTCTCTACCCTATGCTACCTTTTCCTTTGTTAAAAAGGGAGATAAAAGAGAAAAGAAAACACTGGTCTACATAAATAGCACTAAATATAAACAGTGGAAATGGGCTTCTGGGCTTTGAACTCTACAGGGAAGTTGTTATGGCAACCTCAAGTTGAATTCACTGGGGGGGAAGTGTCAGTATTAATGAGATAAGATCGAACTTGTGACTCCAATGGTAACTGTATTCTCCAAGGTTTTTCTTCTTACTGAGACAAGAAGCAAAGCCTTTATTTTATCAGTGACATCTAGATTTAGAATTGGGAGACAAATTGTGTGGGCATTGGGGCCTGGAGTTTAGTTTCCAGGATGAGGTTTCTATTTCTCTGTTGAGAGGAATTAGAGCCACTCCTAACACACCTGCTTTAGCTATTCTTGTTCAAAGCCTATAGTTGTAAATTTAGAGGATGGGTAACATAGACCATTAATTCCCTAAAGAGACTTGAAGTTCACTTAAATTTAAGGATTTTTTTTTTTTTTTTTTTTTTTTTTACTGGAGTGTTACACAGATTTTTCTATAGGGATAAGGTAATAAGATATAATTGATATTGTAACTGTCCAGTGGAGGTTAAGTTCCCAAAACAGTGATTGACCATGGGTCAAGATTCCCCCAATGAAGAAGAAATTCTAAAATCTGAAGAGAGAGAGAAATAAAAAAAAATAATAAAAAAAAAACCCAGGTAATGGAAAGCCCTGGTTGAGGGCGAGAGGAAAGGGTTGCAGAGCACGCTGAGCAGGTACTGCCTATGGAAGTACTGACTCTGACTTCAGAGGTGGGGAGACAGAGGTAAGAGCATGAAGTATGTAAATACTCAAAGTGTTTATACTGCATTACTTTATCATGGAAGTAAGTAATGTATGAAATTTGCATTATAGAAATTAGACTGAGATGCTAATCATTTCTTGTTCCTAAAGCTGAAGACATCTATAAAATAAGTTTCTAATTCGGAGAGGTGAGCAAGGATCCACAGGTTAAGCAGACTTCAAAAATATACCATCTAGTGCCGGGCACAGTGGCACACGCCTCTAGTCCCAGCTACTTGGGAGGCTGAGGCAAAGGATCACGTGAGCCCAGGAGATCGAGGCTGTAGGGTGCTAGTTCAGGGCTGTTGTGCACTATGATTATGCCTGCGAATAGCCACTGCATTCTAGTCTGGGCATCATAGCAAGATCTCATCTTAAAAAAAAAAAAGGAGTATGCCCTCCATCTAGAAGGGGAACAGTGAGCCCCAGGGCACAAAGAGAGGGAACAAAAAAGTAAGGGTGGGCAAAGCAAATGAAGGAGGATAATAGCAACCAGAAAAACTTCTTCCCAAATGTTGTTTATTTGTTGAAAGAGTAAACTCATTCATAAACTATGGCCATGTATAAACACCACTGTACTAACCCAAGGAGACATAGGAGTGCCTCAGAACAGCAGTTGGTTGACTAATGCCAAAAAGGGCCTGGAGCCTCTCAAAACCCCACCACCACAAACACATGAAAGAGCTACTTCTTCTGGGCAGACCCTTAAATGGAAAAGCCTAGAAAATACCAACACTGCAAACTGAACTACTTTGCAATTCTCTCCAAATTCTGTCTTCACCATGCTGGAAAAATGGAATAAAGAACCAAAATCAACGATAGCAGTGTAGATTGCATGTAATAAAGAGCTAAAAAATTTATGTATTTCATAGCCTACAAAGCCCCTTCATAAATAATCTTTGCAAAGCAATCATGTGAGCTAGACAGGACAGATAGAGTGACTCTCGTTTTACAAATGGAGAAAGTGAGGCTTGGAGAGCCGACCAGACCTGCTAAAACTGTACAGCTTCCAAGGGCTAAACCTGGAACTTGAGCCCAGGCTGAATTCTCTGTATTCAGACCCTCTGCTCTTTCTATGGCAAAGTGCCTCAAGAAACCAGGCAAATCGTACCTATAAAAGAAATGTCAAATCACGCAGAATTCACATAAAATTACTTGAAAAGGCTCCTGCCTTTCATCCCAGGCTGTCCTTCACGCTGCTGGCATATCCTGCAAATGTCATGGCTTCAGTGCCCAGGGTTTTGCCAGAAAGAACATGCTGCCAGCCTGCCGAATGAAGGATGCGACTTGAGAAGCAGCAGAATTTGGAGAGGAACAATGGAGTTCTCCTTCTAGGGGGTGGGATCAGTGACCATAGTTCTCAGGGGGCAGTGATGAAACAGGGCTTTGTGTCTATTCAGGAATAGTATCCAGAAGCTCACTTATTTTTGCTTTCCAAATAAGTAAATATCAGAAAGGATAGCTGAGGTCAGTCTAGAAAATTAGAATTTGCTTGGGGGAAAAATATGTTCTGGAAAAGATAAACAGTAGCTTGCAGTTTCACTGTTGGAACATTTGTTACAAGGTCCTGGTATTGATCTTTTATCACCCAATTTCCACTGGGAGCCATGATGTATTACCACACTGGGAAGCTCTAATGCAAGTGCGTGAATCAAGGGAGATTCTAGACAACATCTGTAGTGAGGCAGCATCCATTTGAGGGAGGGAAGATTGGGAAGGGGGTGTTGCTAGCTGCAAAATTCCAAGGGGAGTTTTGCGTTGTGCTGTGTGCAAATGCATATCCGTGCTGGGGAGTGTTATGGGTTTATGAGGAGAGTGATTAAAATTGTATCAAAGAGGCTTATGAAGCTTATGGTTCAAGTTAACTGTATGAAGTAAACAGCCTTTAACGGCCTCCTGGGAGTGTGACAGATAGTCTGTGGGTGTTACGGCAACATGGTACTGGTGAATGTTCTGGCCATCCCAAACTAATCACCATCTGTGAGCATGGGTCTCTGGGGAGCGTCTGGTGGTTGGACAATCATGGTAGTTAGCATTTTTAATCAGCTTCTGTGCGGCACAGATAGAAACCTTATGCTCAAGCCTTTCTTTTTCTGTCTGTGTAGAATTACTTATGATGATGATAGCAGAGCCGACAAGGGTTTGGGTTGTGCCTCTGCAGGATACATTCTGTGGTTCTCTGCCCTCCCTCTTCCCCAGCCCCCAGCCTGACCGTGGAAATTAGCCTGGCCACTGCTTATGGTCACTGCTTTTATTACTTCTCTTTACCACTAGCAAAAGGGATGTCAGGGGAGGGGGGATGTTTCTGGGTTTAGTGGGACTGCTGCCTCGGGTCAGGATCTTGAGTTTGAGATTCTTCTCTCTCCTGCTTTCCTCTCCTACTGCTTCCTTCATCACCACCACCTCTAGCTCTGCCCCAACATTCACTCACCCATCAGGCACCAACTTCTTTTTTCTTGTTCTTATTATCGTTGGGAAGCATTACTTGAGGGCATCGTTGGATGCCCTCTAAGGGACCCAGGCAAAAGGGGAAGTCAATGGTACCATCCCTAGAAGTAGGCAGGCCTCATGGATGTTTTTGCTGTGCAACAGACTTGAGCAGCTGTGACAGACTGTAAGGTCTGCAAAACTAAAAGTATTTGTGATACAGCCCTTTAGAGAAAAGGTTGGCTGACTCCTGGCTTAGAGTATTCCTTATTCTTGAGAAATATTTGATCTAGCAAACTGTACTAAGATGAGACATAAATATCTAAATCAGAATATACATTTCATTAGGCCAGTATATGCACATTTCATGGTAGGTAACTAATTCAGTGGGCTGATTAAAATAATTTATTGTAACAAAAGTATTTGGAACTGCCTGTAATTAAAACTAAGATTTATTAAAGAAACAAAAGTCGCCAGGCCTGCAGACAGCTAGATCCTGTGCGTGAGGGTTGTCTTAGTCCATTTTATGTTGCTCTAAAGGAATACCTGAGGCTGGGTAATTTTTATAAAGAAAAGAGGTTTATTTGACTCATGGTTCTGCAGGCTTTGCAAGCATGGTGCCAGCATCTGCTCTGCTTCTGGTGAGGCCTCAGGAAGCTTTTATTCATGGCAGAAGGTGAAGAGGGAGCAGGCATGTCATATGGTGAGAGACGGAGCAAAAGAAAGGGCTTGGGGGTGGGGTTCCAGGCTTTAAATAATCGGCTCTCATGTGAACTGATAGAAGGAGAGCTGACTCATCACCAAGAGGATGGCACCAAGCCATTCATGAGGGATCCACCCCCATGACCCCAACACCTCCCACCAGGCCCCACCTCCAACACTGAGGACCACATTTTACCATGAGATTTGGAGGGGACAAATATCCAAACCATATCAAGGATGAAAGGAGAGGGTGTCAGTTAGCTTTTGTTATATAACAAACCCCCCCAAAACTTAGCGACTTTAAACAACTATTTTAAGTAGCTCATAATTCTGTGGGTCAGGCAGGTGATTGTACCTCTCTGGGCCAGCTCAGCTGATCTCTGCTGGCTTCTGTCAGTCATCTGTGGCCAGCTGGGGTTGGCTGGTCTAGATTGTTTGACTTACGTCTGGTGAATAACAGGCTGATTGGTCTGGGGATGGTGCTGGGACTTGGCTGGGACAGTTCATCTCTGCTCCATGTGGCTCTTACCCTTCAGTAGGCTAACCCAGGCTTCACTGCATGGCAATCTCAGGATTCCAAGGAGCAGCAAGAGAGCAGGCCCCAGTGAATATGCACTTTGCAAGCTTCAGCTTGTATCGCGTTGCTGATGAGCCACTGGCCAATGCAAGTCACAAAACTGGCCCAGAGTTAACGTGGGAAGTGACCCCAAGGATGTGGATACAGGGAGGCATGACCAAATCAGAAGCCATTACTTCAACAATCTCTGCAAAGAAGAGAGGTTTCCTTCTCTTCATAATCTCTACCACCTTTCATGGTGCCTAGAATTTACATTACAGATTTATTCCTTTGGGTCTTAAAGAGTCTGCAGTCTTCAAGAGGACCCCTGTTATATGAAGGTGTAGTTGTTCAACCAAGGCCTACCCAGAGCTTAGCTGATAACTGAGAACAGGGTCGATACCAGGGTATCAGACACCAAGAAAGAATATGAAAGGGAAGGTGAGAAGGCACTAGAAAAAAATGAACTATTCCTGCATTCGCGTATCCAGCTACCCACAAGAAACCCCTACGTGGCTGTTCAGGGGGCACAGCAAATCCATACTGTCTCAGACCAACCCCATCACCTTGCCTTCTTCCTTCTCTCCAACATGATTTTTCATTCTCGCAGCAAATACAGTGCCTCGTCTTGACCAGTGAAGATGGAAATGAGGGGAGGTGGAGGTAAAGGCCTGCAGAACAAAATGGAAGAAAGGGAATGACAGGTAGGAAAGGGTAGAAAATTATTGCTGAGTCTAAGTATTGAGGGTTCAACTCAGTAATTGATTCCATCCAAGTTTAAGACAGTGGACACATTCCTCTGTTTTTTTGGTTCCTTATCCTTTGCTTCCACTCCTGAAAGGATTATAATCCTCATTCTTGTAGTTGTGGATGGTTATGGCCAGAGAAGGCCATAGGGACAGTCATCAAGGAAAGCAGAGGCCTCTCACTCAGGAGATGCCTCAGCATTTTACTGTCTTCAAAGACAACAGCCCAAGTGCTGGAGCAGCCAGAAAGGAACCGGCCTGATTTATTTATTTATTTAGAGACTTGGTCTCACTCTGTCACCCAGGCTGGAGTGCAGTAGCATGAACACGGCTCACTTGCAGATTCAATCTCAAGCAATCCTCCTGCCTCAGCCTCCCTAGTAGCTGGGACCACAGGCATGGACCACCATGCCCAGCTACTTTTTAATTTTTTTGTAGAAACGGTCTCGCTTTGCTGCCCAGGCTGGTCTCAAACTCCTGGGCACACGCGATCCTCACACCTGACCCTCCCGGAGTGATGGGATTATAGGCGTGAGGCACCATTCCCAGACCAGCCTGTTTTCTAATGGGTGTCCACATTAAATCTGAACTCTGCCTCAAGTTGTAGCTGCTGCTGAGAGAACCCTGGCTCTATGCTTTTCTCACAAAAGAGCTGTTCCAGACTGCCCTTAGAATGTTTTCTCCCGTGGCAGAACAGCTGTTTTCTGTTCAGCTGTCCCTTACATTGTAGCTCTATGCTGGAACTAGCTCGTGTTTAATGCTGTGTTATGGGTAAAGCCCTCTTGCCTTGTAGGTGACACTAATAAAATCACAGAAGAGATCAAACCTAGAATCTCTGCCGATGCAGACCTCATAGTCAGACAAAGAGTTGGATGCTTCCATTGCTCTCCTAGCTTAGGCTGGAGCTGGAATTCTCACAGCAACCAGCAGGGAGCTGGCAAGTAATGGCTGCTGTGTCCTCCTAGACCAGGGCCAGCCTTTAGTAGCAGCTGAGCGTGGGAGTGGCAGGCAAGCTTGGCACCATGCAGCAGTGGGCTTCCTTGGGTGCTGGAAGTACAGTCAGGGAACCCTTGTTCTGTCCACTCTGCCTACACAATGGTTGCCTTCAGTCTGGAGAGTAGTGAATGGCAATGAGTAATGAGTAAAGGGGGACCCTCTTCATAATGGCAGGGGCTGGGAGCCTTCTGGGTTGAATATTTTGTAGCACTCAAAGAGATGGCCAACTAAGAGGTCGCTCTGGTATTGCCTTTTCTCTGCCTCCACATCGGCAGGCTTCCAGCACCCCACTATTCTGGATCTCAACATTGGACAAGTGTACTAATGTTCAAGCAGGGGCCTGGGTGAGATGGCCTCATGGTGCCCTGCTGGTTGCTGCCTTTTGCTGCTCTTTTACAATCCCTGTACTCAAGGGTTGATTTCTGACGCCTGGGAGGGTTGGCACTTTGGGAAAGACCAATGAGATTTTTACATTTGAGATTTTCAGCATGTCAAACATAGGCAAGACAGAATATCGGGGAGTTATTGGGAATATGAATTTGTTTGTTTGTTTGTTTGTTTGTTTGTTTGTTTGTTTGTTTGTTTTGAGACAGAGTCTCACTCTGTCGCCCGGGCTGGAGTGCAGTGGCACAATCTCAGCTCACTGCAACCTCCGCCTCCCAGGTTCAAGCGATTCTCCTGCCTCAGCCTCCTGAGAAGCTGAGATTACAGGCATGTGCCACTATGCCCAGCTAATTCTGTATTTTTAGTAGAGAAGGGGTTTCGCCATGTTGGTCAGCATGTTCTTGAACTCCTGACCTCAGGTGATCCGCCCACCTCGGCCTCCCAAAGTGCTGGGATTACAGGCGTGAGCCACTGTGCCCAGCCTTTTTTTGTTTTTTAAATAGGCACTAGGAGAGCAATATCTTTACATTTTGTTACCTGTGAACACTCAGCACAGGACCATATAGGTAATAGTAATGGTGATTATGGTGATGGCAGTAATGATGATGATGATTTAGTATGATTCACCAACAGGTTATAAGACTTCAGAATGTCACGAACTGGTGAAAAAAAAATGTATATTTTTTTGTAATTGTAGGAGGCCTGCATAGAGTTGAATTGCTAGCTTTTTATATTGCCAAGTAAGAATTTTTTTAAAGTATGAATACCATAAACTATCACCATCTATTTCATAAAAAAAAAAAAAAAAAGATGTAATGTACTGGTTAAGAGTTGTACACTCAAAGAAATTCTGATGATACCTGGGCTAGTAAGCTGTGTGACCTTGGGAAATTTAAGTAACTTCTCTGCCTCAGTTCCCTCATTGTGAAATGGGGATGATTATAACTGTAACTACCTTATGGGATTATTGGCAGAATTAAGTGAATTAATGAATGAAAGGCACTGAGAGCCTGGCACAGAGAGCACTTGGTGCCTCTTATATTTTTATTGTTGTCACTAATACCAAAGAACAAGACATATATAATATTAGAATAAGTAACAATTCTGCACATGAAAACTGAAAATTCACTGCATTGTTGTGTTGTTTTCTTTTTTATTTTTATTTATATTTATTTATATATTTATTTTTTGAGACGGAGTCTCACTCTGTCGCCCAGGCTAGAGTGCAGTGGCGTGATCTCGGCTCACTGCAACCTCCGCCTCCCAGGTTCAAGTGATTCTCCTGCCTCAGCCTCCTGAGTAGCTGGAATTACAGGCACCCGCCACCCCACCCAGCTCAGTTTTGTATTTTTAGTAGAGACGGGGTTTCACCAGGTTAGCCAGGCTGGTCTCAAACTCCTGACCTCAGGTGATCCACCCGCCTCAGCTTCCCAAAGTGCTGAGATTACAGGCGTGAGCCACTGCGCCCAGCCTGTTGTGTTGTTTTCATCTTACTTGGTTATAGGCCAGTGGTGATCTGGGAGCCACTGGTGGACCACACTGGCTTAGTTAGTCTTCCTTCTTTCCTCCACCAAAAGACATGCAGAGCGTTACTGCCTTCCCACCCAATAAAGAGGATGGTAGGTGAGAAAATAAAGAGCTATACTGTAAGCAGAGCAACTGGGTTTCCAAGGAGGGAGTGTAAAACAAAGGATCTCAGTGTGGGAGTGTCTAAGGTTGAAGCTGTCCCAAGGCAATACCTTCTACCCCTACTCTAAATTAAAGGAGTCATAACTCTTTGTGGTTCCTGTAAAAGTAGTTAAGAGGCCGGCACGGTGGCTCACCCCTGTAATACCAGCAATTTGGGAGGCCAAGGTGGGTGGATCACTTGAGGTCAGGAGTTCGAAACCAGCCTGGCCAACATGGCGAAACCCTGTCTCTACTAAAAATATAAAATAATTAGCCAGGTAGGCACAAGAATCACTTGAACCAGGGAGGCAGAGGTTGCAGTGAGCCGAGATGGTGCCACTGCACTCCAGTATGAGTGACAGAGTGAGACTCCATCTCAAAAAATTAAAAAATAAAAGTAATTAAGAGTCAAAGGGCATCATTACATAGAGACACAAAATGAAAGTCAGTATTGTATGCGCCTTTGCCCTGTTTTAGACCTTCTTAACATATGGGAGCCCAAGTAGCCCAACCATGGTGGAAGAGAAGATTTCATGGCCTTTCTCATTGGTCCTCACCGTGAATATGCAGAGTAGGCACACCTCTCTGCAGAGAACTCCTCTAAGAAACCAGATTCAATGATCTGATGATCCCGCTTCTGCTGATATGCTAGAAGCCAAGGCTTTTTTTTTTTTTTTTTTTTTTTTTTCAGTAGAAGAATCAAAAGTAGGCCAAGCGCAGTGGCTCACGCCTGTAATCCCAGGACTTTGGGAGGCTGAGGCGGGCGGATCACCTGAGGTCGGGAGTTCAAGACCAGCCTGACCAACATGGAGAAACTTCGTCTCTACTAAAAATACAAAATTAGCCGGGCGAGTTGGCGCATGCTTGTAATCCTAGCTACTTGGGAGGCTGAGGCAGGTGAATCGCTTGAACCCAGGAGGTGGAGGTTGCGGTGAGCTGAGATTGTGCCATTGCACTCCAGCCTGGGCAACAAGAGTGAAACTCTGTCTCAAAGAAAAAAGAAAAAGAAAAATCAAAAGTAATAACAGGAAGGAATGTGTTAGCAACTGTAGAGTATTAGATGTATGGCTGACCTTCCAACCAGCTAGCTCTCTGGTCCCCAGCCCCACTCCACAACACATCCTCAGGTTCCCAGTTCAAAACTTTAAGGCCGCTGAAACCCAGGCTCCATGCACATTCATCATTTTAGCCCCACTTTCAGACATTTATATGTTGGTGCTCATGCCAAGCCACCTTGGAAAACAAGGACAAGTATATGTTCCCCTCCACCTCCTTCCCACCAGTACCCAGCGTGAGGTCTGTACATAGTAGATCCTCCATAAATCTGGTGTAAAACAAAATAAAAGCAGGTGACCTTCTGTAACCAAGATGTGTGTAGCTACATCCATCCACTCCCAGTACTACAACATTGGATTTTTGTTGCTGTTAAATCAAAATTTTAGTCTTTCAGAATTAATTCTCTTTGCTTAAAATTAATTATGACAGGTTGTGTTTTTTACACACTGCTGAAATGTGTAAAGCAGTTTGGGAGAAGAGGGCCTCCTTTCCTGAGTTGATTTATGTTATATATGCAAACTCTATTAATGTTAAACCATGCTTTTCAATGAAATTAAGACTTTCCAGCAAGCAGCTCTCTCCATTTTATTTAAAGATCCTAGTGACTGATGCACATTGTGCCCCTGTTGCTACGATAGGAGCGGAGGATGTTGGATCTGAGAGATCTCATGCTTAACCCTTAAGTGAGAAGTAGCGTGTGGTGTGGGAAGGTAACACAGCTCTCTCCTGTAAGCAGAAATCAAGCGGTGGTCTACTGAGAGCCATTTTATTACTTCCAGAGAACCCTGAAGGTGAAATGAAGGAGGAAATGAAGGCAGGTGGGAAATTAAAGAAAGAGGAGCAGAAATGGAAGTAAGAAGGACGTAAAAATTTCAGTATCTTGAGAAACCTGACTGCCGAACAAAATGTTTGGGCTGGGAAGATGGAGAATGCACGGAGGCCTGCAAGAACATGGGACAGCCATGACATGTGGGCTTTGTTCTTCCAAAGAGATAAATGAGGCCAGGCATGGTGGCTCACACCTGTCATCCCAGCATTTTGGGAGGATCACTTGAGGCCAGGAGTTTGAGACTAGCCTGGGAAATATAGTGAGACCCCATTTCTACAAAAAATTTTAAAAACTAGCCAGGTGTGATGGCGTGCACCTATAGTCCCAGCTCCTCCAGAGGCTGAGGCTGGAGGATCACTTGAGCTCAGGGCATCAAGTCTGTAATGAGTCATGATTGCACCACTGTACTTCAGCCTGGGTGACAGAGTGAGACCCTGTGTAAGAGAGAGAGTCCAGGCGTGGTGGCTCATGCCTATAATCCCAGCACTTTGAGAGGTCAAGGCAGGAGAATCACCTGAGGTCAGGAGTTCAAGACCAGCCTGGCCAATATGGTGAAACCCCGTCTCTACTAAAAATACAAAAATTGGTCGGGTGTGGTGGCAGGCGGCTGTCTGCCACCTGCTACTTGGGAGGCTGAGGCAGGAGCATCGCTTGAACCCAGGAGGCAGAGGTTGCAGTGATCCGAGATGGCACTGCTGCACTCTAGCCTGGGCAACAGAGCAAGACTCCGTCTCAAAAAAAGAAAGAGAGAGAGAGATAAATGAAACATCTGCTCCTTAAAGCAGTAATAGCATAGTCTTTAATATCAGGAGGAAGCGTTATATGTTTTATTTAAAGGTTGTTGATTTATGAACTTTGTACCTGTCTATTAAGAGTCTGGTTCTTGCATGGTTAATGTGTGAAGTTTTAAAATTTGTGCTTCTCATGTTTAAAGCATGATACCCAGCAAGGCTTCTGACACCAGACCTTTCCCATATTCCATTTCATAGAGCATTTCATAGAAAATGTTTCATAGAACATGTCATAGATATGTTCTTTTCGTAGAACAGTTATATATTCTTTCCTTCATCAAACATGGATTGAACACCTATTGTGTGCCAGGTATAGTGATGGGTTCTGGATGAACAAAACGGGTTTTCTTTAGTTCTTTGTAAGTCTTTGACCCCATGGAATTAACCGCATAGTTAATTCCACAGGCATCCTTGGTAACATAGCCCCCTCTGGTAACGTAGCAGACCACAGAGTGACAGGTGGAGGGGACCGAATAGTGAGACAGTCACCTGGGATTCTATGATTCCACGCCCCTGATGCTTTGGGCTGGGGGAGTTGGCTGCTGTCATTTGTGAGGTAGAGTCGCAACCTGGTACAGCACTAAGAATCCATTTCCTTCTTCTCAGTGACTCACTTCCCACCATCTCCAATTGCTCTCTGGTCATAGTTACTATGTTGTTGTTTGCCAGCAGAAACAGCCATGTTGTTGTTTGCCAGTTTGGGGCTTTCTGTCAACCTGAAAGACTTCCTTCTCTCCAGCCAGTTTGGTCTTGCAGATTTTGTTGTGAGGCCAACAACCAGGCTGTGAACTGCCTAAGCCCAGCCAGCCCTTCTTTGAAAAGCCCTGTGGAACTAGGTCATCAGGTTGTTGGATGGTTCTTACACAGACTGTGCTGTGCTGCAACTTTTAATGTGCACTGTCTATGGAATACCAAACTTGTTTCCAAACTAAATAGTTTCCAATGAGGATTTAATGGGAGTTTTTCATTTGAAATGGATTGAAAACAAGCCATTTCCTACTCCCATTTCAAGCAAATTTTGGTCCAATTATTTTCCTTTTTTTAACATAAAGTTAAATGGACTATTCTGCCCATCCCTGACTGAGCTGAACCGTGATTTCTCTTGATTATGCTTTTACACTGCGAATCGCGAGGCTCCAGAGACATAATGGGCGTCTGTGGGAGAGTGGCAGCAATTTTTAAAATCCTGCCAGTGCTTGTCAGCTTCCACTCTGGTGTCTGCTGTGCGGGAAGAAAGCACCCCACCAAAAGAAAAAAAGTCTGCCAACAAAACCAGCGCTGCCCGCCTGTTCTGTGGGGGTTGGCACAGGGATGGGCTCCTCTCTGCAAACCTATGTAGGGCATATTCTCAGCCACTGAGGAAGCCCGGTTTCCACTCATCCAGCCCTACTCCTCCCACTGTTTTCCAGCCATTAGCTTTTTGTGGTGTTGAAGGTTTCTTTCTCCCTTTTTTTTCCTTGCCTCAATTTTTCTTGGTTTCACTTAGACCATAGCCTCAGGGAAAAGGAGCTCTTGGCACCCTGCCTTCCACTTGGTCCTTTACCTTCAGCAGCCCAGCAAAATGGAAAATAAGTGTCTCATAGTCCTTCTTGGGTGGTAGGTTATTTGTTGTTGTGATATTGTTGGTGGAGGTGGTGGTCATTCTCTTGGATTTGCAGAAGTTTACAGAAAACTCGGGAGAAGAAAAGGCTTCTTGCTACCATCCTCTCTCTTTGGGAAGGGCAGCTACCCCCCTAGCAGATATGTGGGGAGCCTACTGGGCAATGCCTTGTAATGGGAACAGCCTCTTTGCTCTCTTACCCAGCAGTGCCAAGAATTTCACTAGGCCCACTGAAGAAGAAACACCCTTCACCCCAGCTACCATTGTAGCTGCCCTACCATTGTGTGCAGCCCGGGGGAAGCACACAGTCGTCTCTGGGTTTCTGGTGAAAGTCCATTGTGCCTGCTCAGGGCTCCTTGGTGCAGGAGCAGTCAAGCCTTCCTGGAGGTTGAAGATCACGTGCTGTGTTTGGTGGCTCCCCACTTGGGTTTCCATCGATTCATGGTATTGGTTTGGGAGGTGCTCACATCCTCCTGCAAGTACCCTGTAGTGAGGCTTACTCTGAGGATGCAGCTACATCTCAAAACATGACTCCACCTCTTCCTGCAAAATCCTGACTGGTACAACTGCCAGCACATCCCTTTGACCTTGAGAAGGGTAAAGCACAGAGGTGGTAGGTGACTTCATTAGCATGACAGAACGTCAGAGTTGATTAGCACTCAGGAAAGGTTGTCTAATGCCAGCCTCTGCCTTTGTAAATGTCTTCAGCATCACCAGGGAGGGGTTGATCTGGTCTCTGCCTGAACTTGTGCTGGAAAACAGTTCTGAGCAGGCACCCCATGGAAACCTCTAATTCATGCAAAAGTCCCCCCCTATGAAGTGAAGTCTGTTTCTGTTGCTTTTTCCCACTGGTGCTACCCCTTCCTGAGTCCACGAAATCTAAATCCAGTCCCCTTTCTACCTCTTATCCCTCCAGGCATTTGAAAGCAGGTACTTATTCCTAGCTAAGCTTTCCTTCTCTAGGCCTGCTTTCAGGTCTTTCAGCCATCCCTCCTATTGCTTGGTTTCCCAGCCCTGCATCCTTCTAATTGCCTTCTTCTAGACATGTTCTGATTTGTTGTTCTGTTTGTTCTGAGCTCTGAGGTACCCAGAATGAGGTGAGAGACTGTCACAGCCCTTGACAGAGACCCATGCCACCTTTTAGTGAAATTGGCTGTTTCGATAGCCTTAAAAGGGTCGTTCATTTATTTCAAGTTTAATCGAGTCATTCTTCACATACATAACTGCTCACCTTATCTGCTCCACGTATATGTGTGATTTGTCATTACTGAACCTATGTGCAAACCACATTTATTCCTAAAGATCATCTTATCAGGATAAGAAGGAACATATTCATTTCTTTAGTCTGCAAAGATATGTTGGATCTGTGTTTTATGATCCAATATACTGCTATTTCCAGCTTCACATCATATGCAAATTCAGCTCAACCACTGTGTGCCAGACATTGTGCTGAACCTGGGGATACAGCAGGAAATCAGACAGCACAGTTGCTTCCCTCACAATTTATTGGGAGGGACAGACAATTGACTGTGCTTTTCCAATCCAGGGTGACAGCACAAAAGAGGGGAACTGCAGAAGCGTAGAGGAAAGGTGCTTCACAGACTCAGGCTTTCTAGGAAATGTGATATTGTGAGAAGTTGGCCAAGGAAAGAGCTAGGGATTAAAGTTTGAGGTAGGCAGAACTACATATGCAGTGTTTGAAAGGTGACAAAAAGCACGGTGTCTTCAACAGCTTATCACCAGGTAATGCTCCTGATCCTCATCAGTGGCTGATGTGAATGTGGAACCTAATAGGATGAAAGAAATTACCATTAGAGGCCTTCATCATCTGCCTTCGGGCACATCAAACATTTATGAACTCACCTAATTGTATTTTTGTCACAGCCACGTTTCTCTGCCTTGACCACTTGAATTGCATGTGAAATGTATTTATGTCTCACTGAATACAGACCTGTTCTGTCTATGTCATTGCTCAAGTTTACCAATCTAAAAAAAAAAGACTTGTTCTTATGACTTGTTCTTCATAACCCAGGTTGGCTTTGAGTGATCCTAAAAGCTTCCTTCCTTCCTGAGAGTTCACTAGCTCTCTTCCTAATAATCTGTTTTATTTTCCAAGTCATTGGTTAACGTAGTAGGTTAGTGGCAGAGTTGCACCTAGACCCCAAGTATCTGAACTCCTAGTCTAGACATCTTTCCTTTCTATTGCTCTGCTCCCCCTTGGCTCATCTTTCCAGAGCAGAGACACTACACAAGGTTTTTTTAAGAGCAGCTGGTCAGTCCCTGCATCCAATGTAGGAGGCAGCAAGCAAGGCTAGCAGTTACGCCAGGGAGAATGCAAAGTGGGGTGTCCTCTTTCCAGGCACTGGCGCAGGCCAGCTACATGGCATTTCATCTCCTTAGCAGGCCTCTGGGGTAAACTTTATGTGTTAAACTTTATGGTTAACAGAGCCCCCTGCTATTCATTGTCTCCTTTATTTATCAACCAGCCCCATGAAGTCAGTGGGGAAATATTCTTGTTCCCATTTAGCAGATGGGGCTCAAAGAGTAGAAGAGACGTGCCCAGAGGCACACAGTTATACTGAGTAGCTGAGCCAGGTGTCTTAAATCCAGGTTGTCTGACTTCTGGTGCCCCAAGCTGACTTCAGATTTCTTTTCTTCTTATATCAATGATGGCATCAACTCCCTGACCTCCCCCTTCTCCAGAATGTTGCCTGGGTGATTGGGTAAGAGGATATAAATAGTAAGTGAAAAAAATAGATTCAGTTCCAAGCACTAAGGGGCTGAGACAACTAGACACTGTGGCAGTGCTACAGACCTTTAGATCATTTTTCTGACACTCTCTAGCTAAAAAGGAACATGGACAAGTGACACCCAAAAGTCCCTAGGCTTAAACCAACTGTCTTGTGGAAATATAATATAAGTATGAGCTATTCTGAGCAGGATGACAGGATTGGAATTCAGTAAAGTTTTAGATGGACTTTGAGATCCAAATAAGGGAGGAGTATTATAAAGAGCTCTATAAAAATGGTTTAAGGAAGGGTGTGGTGGCTAATGCTTGTAACCCCAGCACTTTGGGAGGCTGAGGTGGGTGGATCATTTGAGGTCAGGAGTTTGAGACCAGCCTGACCAAGATGGTGAAACCTCGTCTCTACTAAAAATACAAAAATTAGCCAGGCACCTATAATCCCAGCTACTCGGGAGGGGTGGTGGCGGGCACCTGTAATCCCAGCTACTCGGGAGGCTGAGGCACGAGAATCGCTTGAACCCGGGAGGCAGAGGTTGTGCTGAGCTGAGATCGCACCACTGCACTTGAGCCTAGGCGACAGAGTGAGACTCCATCTTGGGAAAAAAAAAAAAAAAAGGTTAAAAATGCCAAGCTAGCAGAGAGAGGGACTCAGACACACACACCTAAGTTGTTGCTCCAGCCTAAGCTGGCCCACCACTACCTGACTGCAGTTTGTTGCCTGTCCCGTCATGCTTGCCTTCAAAATGCCTTTGGATTGTTCACAAGCTCAGGAGCCATGGGCCTCCTCCTGTTGAGGGGTGTTTATTGTCTAAATCCCTTACATGTGAATTAAAAATAGGCAAAGGTAAAAAGGCAGGAGTTTTCTAACAGGTATGGGAGTGCTGTAGTAGGCCAGTGGCAAAGACTATCGCCATTTTCTTTGCCTGGGACTTGTTGAGTCTTTGAAGTCTACCTGAATTCCAGAGTCTAGGGCTTCTTGATTCCTTAGCAAGAGCAAAGGGATGTGTACCCTCTCTTTCAGGCTTTGGTGAATTAGACCTTGAGACTTCATAATTAAAATGGATTTAATAGAGGCAGGGAAGCTGGGATGTCTGCCCCAGTAAGCAGGCATCTTCTGTCAGAAGGAGAATGTGTCCTTTGTATTTAAACGGTTTCTCCAAAAGGCTCTAAATGAGATTTGGGACTTAAACAAGATTTGGTGTGATTTGCTAATTACCCAAGTTACTATTACCTGATTAACACAGGAATCCTCATAGTCTGTTGCAGTGCCTTTCTTCCGGGTGCCAGGAGGCTTGACATCTGTCACCTGTTCACTTGGAGGCATTTTAAGTAACCCAAATTATGTATGTCTTTTCTGCTTTAGGATTTGGTGCCTGATTTTTACATTTAAAAGTTAATAACTACCTAAAGGAGGTTTGCTGCCAAAATACAAGAGTGAAAACTGACAAATCTGTTTGTTGCTGACAGTGAGGTGGAGATCTTGGTTTATTCATTCCAACTAGTTAGGCCGAGAAATGATACACAGGACAGTACAGAGCTCTTCCTGGTGACCATCACAGGCATCAGGAATAAATCCCCTCAAATCTCACTTTGCCCCACCAACCTTAATTGAGGCCTCCGCTTGAGCAGTGACAGAACTGGAAGGGTTGGAACCAGAAAAGCTAAGTGTCTTTCTCAAAATCACACAGGCCTGCAGTTAGGATTTGTCTTTCGTTGTTTTTTATTTTCAAGATAATAAAAGGTTTCCACTTTGACCACCAGGAGACCATGCTGACTTTCATTTCAGAGATGGGGCTTCAGTGTGATAAAGTGATCTAGGTTAGAGTCTTAGCAGGTTTCCCTTGAGATCTGAATGGCTGCGGGGTGTGCTGGGGGCTCTGTACAGCAGCTGTTAACAGTTTTCTCCTTCCCATGAAGACGGCTTATTTACCTGGGTCTCAGTTCTGAAGATTGTTTCCAGGTATGCTGTGTACTGAAGGGACTGAGCGTGATCCAAGGAGCCTGGGACCTATGTACTTGGTGACCAGACTCTCCTCTCCAAAAGCAGGGACCCAGGGGACCTCATCCAGCATCCTGAGAAGCCTCGCTTTGGACAGGCCTGAAATTTCCCTTCCTTCATCCTAGCTCTTTCATCCAAGACAGTGATTCGGGAAACAGTATTTCAAAATTGAAATTCAGGCCTTGAATTTCAAGTCTAGAAGAACTGTCCAAATCATCGGTAGGAAGAGCTTGGAAGAAAGGGAAAGTCCCACTGTAATGCTAAAAGAGAGCCACCCAGCCAGGGATGGTCTGCATCCAGACCAGAGCACAGGTCAAAGGGAAAGCCGAGAGCAGTTCCCTAAGTTCTGGCATGGCTTTTGGACGCAAAGCAGCTGGGCTGCGGGCATGCTGTAAGGACAGAGGACCCTTTAGGGTTCCATCTCTTCGGAGAGAAAGTCCCTGCTGTTCCAGTTCACTGAGTGTTTAAGAGGAAATAACGGCCTGAGGCATAAGCCACTCACCCATATAAAGTGAATACTTCCTCAAGGGCACAAAGAGACCACTTGGTAAATGACTTCACCCACCTGCTTTAGATGGTGCTCCAGTGCACTGAGAATGTTAACCTCATTCACCCTTCTGTGGATGAGCAGATTATTCCTAGAAAATGGTCCGTTCATGTTTGACCAGGCATAGCCCCACTGTGAATGACAAAGTCTTTTTTGACCTCCCACGATCTTTCTCCCTTTCTGTCTCAGCCAAGCCTTTTCTTCTGGAAGGAGCTACTCTCTTTTGGCTAGACGATCATTCAGAGGAGTCACCTCTGTCCCTCCCCCTACTGATACATCTCAGGGTCTCAGAGCCGTTTATGTTCCCATTTTTGCATCTTGACATAGGGATGCAAAGATGGGAACATCAAGCATCAGTTCTTCCGAGCCTTCATAGAAGGAGTGGGGGGAGTGGGTAGACATGGAGATGAAACAAGACTGGCCATGGACTGATCATTGTGTAAGTCTGGAAATGGTTGCACAGGAGTTAATTTAACTACTTTGTTTACTTTCATATTGGTTTGAAATTTCCCATAACAATAAGCTAAAAACAGATAGTAAGGGATCTCAAGTGTCTTGGGCAGTGGTTTTCCCATTGCCACAATATATGTGGTGAATGGGCATTATCTGCTTGGAAAATTAACAAAATTAAAATTTACATATAGATCAGTGAAAACACTGCTACAGAGTTAACTTAAAATTTTAGCTGGGTGTGGTGGCTCATGCCTGTAATCCCAGCACTTTGGGAGGCTGAGGAATGTGGATTACTTGAGGTCAGGATTTCCAGACCAAGCTGGCCAACATGGTAAAACCCCATCTCTACTAAAAGTACAAAAATTAGCCAGACACAGTGGCTCACGCCTGTAATCCCAGCTACTTGGGAAGTTGAGGCAGGAGAATCGCTTGAACCCGGGAGGTGGAGGTTGCAGTGAGCCGAGATTGCACCACTGCACTCCAGCCTAGGCAACAGAGTGAGACTCTGTCTCAAAACAAATCAAAAAATTTAATATAATATGTGTTCATTATAAAAATCATTCAGGGCCAGGCGTGGTAGCTCATGCCTGTAATCCCAGCACTTTGGGAGGCCAAGATGGGCGGATCACGAGGTCAGGAGATTGAGACCATCCTGGCTAACACAGTGAAACCCCGTCTCTACTAAAAATACAAAAAAATTAGCCGGGCATGGTGGCGGGCACCTGTAGTCCCAGCTGCTGGGGAGGCTGAGGCAGGAGAATGGCATGAACCCGGGAGGTGGAGCTTTCAGTGAGCTGAGATCATGCCACTGCACTCCAGCCTGGGCGACAGAGCGAGACTCTGTCTCAAAAAAAAAGAAAAAAAAAAAATCATTCAGGTACAGCCAGAGAGAGCCACTGTAGATAGTTTGAAATCCAAAGACGTCTTATGTGGGCATTACCCACAGATGTGCATGCCTGTGCAGCTTAATTTTAGATTTTGTTTTCTTTTGCTTTGTTGTTTTGTGTGTTTGATTTCTTTTCAAATCAGATTTATGTTTCTTACCAGCTCGTTTTAACAACTTTATTCAAATATAATCTACATGCCGTAATATTCACCCGTACTAAGTGTATAATTCAGTGATTTTTTAGTAAATTTATAGCGTTGTGTAACTATTGCCACAATTCAATTTTAGAACATTTTCATCATTCCAGTAAAATCCCTCATGCCCATTTGCAGTTAGTCCCCATTACCACTCCCAGGTCAAGGCAGCCACGAACCTATTTTCCATCTCTCTAGATGTGCTTTTTCTGGACATTTCATATAATGGAACAATACAATGTTGGTGGGTTTTTGTTTTGGGAGACTGAGTCTTGCTCAGTCGCCCAGGCTGGAGTGCAGTGGCGCAATCTCGGCTCACTGCAACCTCCGCCTCCCGGGGTCAAGCGATTCTCCTGTTTCAGCCTTCCAAGTAGCTGGGATTACAGGCGCCCGCCACCACACCCAGCTAATTTTTGTGTTTGTAATAGAGACAGGGTTTCACCATGTTGGCCAGGATGGTCTCGATCTCTCCACCTCGTGATCTGCCTGCCTCAGCCTCCCAAAGTGCTGGGATTACAGGCGTGAGCCACCGTGCCCGGCCGTAATGTGTGGTCTTTTGCATGTGGCTTCTTTCACTCGTCCTAATGTTTTGAGGTTCATCTACATTGTAGCATTTATCCATAATTTGTTTCCGTTAATTGCTGAATAGTATTCCATTGTATGGATATACCACGTTTTGTTTATCTGTTCATCAGCTTATGGACATTTGGATTATTTCTACTTTTTTGGCTATTATTAATAATGCTACTGTGAACACTCACATACAGCTGAGTGGACATGTGTTTTCATTTCTCCTGGTAGATACCTAGGAATGAAACTGCTATGTCATGCAATAAGTTTCTGTTTAACTTTCTTAAGATACTGCCACACTGTTTTCCAAATGGCAGCTTCATTTTACATTTCCCCAGTAATTTAGGTGCTTCTGATCTCCACATCCTCACCAACATTTGCTGTTGTCTGACCTCCTGAACGTGAAGTGGTATCTCATTATGGTTGTAGTTTGTATTTCTCTAAGGATGTTTTGAAATGGGGAACTGTGCGTCTTCCAACTTTGTTCTTTTTCAAGATTGTTTTGGCTTTGTTTCCTTTGCATTTCCGTATACATTTTCATATCACCTTGTCGATTTCTACCCGCACCCCATCCCTCCCCGAAAGTCTGCTGAATAAGGGTGTTGAGCATCTTTTCATTTGTAATTAGCCATATTCTTGGATGAAATACTATTAAAATCTTCTTCCCACTTTTTAAGTGGGTTGTTTATCTTCTAATAGACTTGTAAGAATTCTGTATATATTCTGTATATAAGTCCATTATCCTGGGTATATGATTTGCAAATATTTTCTCCCAGTCAGTGGCTTGACTTTTCATATCCGTAATGCTGACTTTTGAAGCACAAAAGGTTTTAATTTTGTTGAAGTCCAGTTTATCAGTTTTTTTTTTATGGATCATACTTTTGTTGTTATATCTAAGAACTCTTTGCCTAACCTAAGGTCACAGAGACTTTCTTCTAAGAAGTTTTATAATTTTAACTCTTACATTCATCTATGTGGCTGAGGTACTTTTTTGTGTATGGTATGAAATAAGGGTCTAGTTCTGTGTTCCTGCATGTGGATATCCAGTTACCCCATCACTGTTTATCGAAAAGACTATTCTTTCCCCTTGAAATGCATTGCCACTTTTGTCAAAAATCATAGACAATAAATACACAGGCTTATTTCTGGACTTTCATTTCTATTCCTTTGATCTATATGTCTATCCTTATGTCAGTACCAGGCTGTCTTGATTACTATAGCTTTGTAGGATGTTTTGAAATAGGGAACTGTGCGTCTCCCAATTTTGTTCTTTTTCAAGATTGTTTTGGCTTTGTGTCCTTTGCATTTCCATATACATTTTAGGATCATCTTGTCAATTTCTACCCCCCCCCCAAAAAAAAAAAAGTCTGCTGAGATTTTCATAGGGATTACATTTAACCCACAGGTCAATTTGGGCAGAATTGCCTTTTTAACAATATTGAGTCTTCTCACCCTTGAAGACAGAATATCTCTTCGTTTATTTAGATCTTTAATTTCTCTCAACAATGTATTATAGTTTTTGGTGTGCAAGTGTTGCACTTCTTTTGTGTTATTGTGAATAAAATTTTTAAAATTTCTTTTTCCAATTGTTTATTGCTAGTATATAAAAACATTGATTTTCATATTGGTCTTCTATCGTATGACAGCCCAATTTTTTTATTAGTTTTAATAGCTGTTTTGTAAATTCCTTTATCAGATTTTTCCGTGTACAGGATCATGGCATCTTGGAATAGAGACAGTTTTGCTTCTTTCTTGTCCATATGGGATGACTTTTCTTTTTCTTGCCTGATACAGAATTTTAGGAATTAAAACTCATCCAAAGTCATGCCAAAGATCAGTGATTATACTTATGATATCAATGAGGAGACAAAAGAGGCAACTTTTGGAATTTTAAATGAGCCTTACAGAGGCAAAGGGAAGAATGGGTGACTGCATTAGCAAGGAAGTAAAAATACCACTCTACAGCCAGACATGGTGGCTCTCACCTGTAATCCCAAAGCTTTGGGGCACCAAAGCAGGAGAATCACTTGAAACCAGGAGTTCAAGGTTACAGTGAGCTATGATCATGCCATTGCATTTCAGCCTGGGCAACAGAGTAAGATCCTATCTCTTAAAAAATTTTTTAAAAAGCCACTTCGCATTGACTCAGGTTTCACAGTGCTCCTCTTAGTGGGTGGTTATTTCAGCAACCTGACCAGAACAGACAAGATAAGCCCTGAAACAACACGAAGGAGCCCTGAGTAGGAAAAGGTAGACACCACACACTCTCCAGGCTCATTTATGTAACCCACTGGAAGATCTCTGGTCTATACAGAACCTCATCTTCATGTCTACCTATTGTTTTAAAAAGCATTGGCACTTGGTTTTCTAGCTTGTTGATGGTTTTGTTTTGTTTTTGCAGCTATACTTTAGGAAAGGTGTTAGAGAAGAGACGAAGTAGGACTTGAACATAAAGGATGCCAAAAAGTGAAAGGACAGTAGCTGATAGTGAGGGGGCATATTGGAAATGCATTTAAATATCCCATGTATATTTCCTGGACACCTACAGGGACAAATCTTATGCTCAAGAATTTAAAAGCACCACTGGTAGGTCAGTGGAAGGCAACTCCCCAGACTTGATAAGGTCTGAGGACATTGGCTGAGCAAGCCAAGACTCCAGTGACGCCATCCATTTCTTTTGTGGCTGATGAATCAGATTCAAGTACAATGCTTTATAATTATCCCTATGAAATTCTAGCATGTTAGTGTCGACCCATTATTCTAGTCCTTCGGCACCTCTTTGGATTCTGATTCTGGTTTTATGAGTTGAAGATTAATAACTAAGCTTTGAAGGATGGGGGGATTGCCAAAAAAAATAAGCTGAACAGTGCTTTTTTTGTGATAATCCTGTGTCCTCAAAGAAGTTAAGCCCCATTTGCTGCAGAAAGAACTCATTAGCTCCTGTAGCTTCTAAGGAGGATCCTCATCAAAGAATCTTTTTTAAAATAAGTATGTAATAATAAAATAAAACCCACCATCTAGCCAGGCTTCTTGCTATTGGAGTGGGAATTTACAGATAAACTAGGGAGGAGGCTACACTGATGCATGTGGTAATGGGTTAGAGTTAAAAATATCAGTATGAGCTCATGTTTAGCTTAACATAGATACAAATAGTCACATATAGAAATCTTTACAGATCTGTGCATATAAAAGGGTTAGTACCCATATGTATTTCTGTGCCCTGACAACTGAGATGGCCTGAAAGAAACGGACACCCCAGTGTCAACAAGCACACCTTCATCTAGATCTTGGTTCCTATTACCATTCTCCAATAAAAAGAACTAGGACTCCTGAGTGAAATGGTTGCTTCTGGAACTCAGGCAGGAATATACAAGATGAACCTGGAGTATGTTATGGTGCCAGAAAGTAAGGAAGTCCTAAAACAAAAAACAAAACTCACACTGATAGGGGCACATCAAAGAAACACAGAGGCCAACTGAAAGAGCTAATGGCCACTCCTGGATAATTAGAGCAAAACAATAAGGAAGCATCGGATTATAACCCAAAGTATAAAATAAATATCCATGACTCCATACTGATAGAAATAAATAAATGGAGGAGAAGGAACAAACCTCCCACACAGAAGAATTCCAAGTAATTTACACAGATACCTCACCCTCAAGCAGGGGAAGCATAATGCCCCACTCCCTCAATGTGAGTTCCAGGTAGTGGCTCCTTCCCAAAGAGTAGTAGGGGAGGGGGAGGGGAGTCCATTGACAGTGGAGAGACCTTCAACCTGGTGACCAAGGACAATATCAGTAGTCACAAATCACATTAATAGAACAGACCATTGATACAATGTGAAAACAATGGCATTTCACCTCTGTAGTCTTCCTCCCAAAAACCTCTCAACCCAGTCTTAATCATGAGAAAAGCATCAGACAAGTTTCAGTAGGGGGGCATTCCTATAGAATAGCTCAATATTCCTAAAAAATGTCAAGGTCACCAAAAACAAGGAAATTTGAAGAAACTGCCAAAAGAACCCTAGGAAACATGACAACTAAATGTAATGGGCCACCCTAGATGGGATCCTGGGACAGAGCAAAGATACTAAGTACAAATTAAGGAAATCTAAATAAACTATGGACTGAAGTTAGTAGTGCTATGTTAGTATTGGTTCATTACTTCTAACACACATGACATACTAATGTAAGATTTAGTAATAGGGGACACTGGATATGAAGTATATGGGAATGCTCTTTGCTATCTTCTCAATTTCTCTGGAAGTCTAAAATTGTTCTTAAAAAGAAAGCCTATTTAAAGGGAAAACCACCATCACTACCAATTTTGATAAACTTGAAGGGTTAGCATCAATTATCTGGAAAATTTATTTGTGAGAAAACCTTATTCCTTTATGATCATTGATAAGTGAAGCATTGCTGAATTATCTCTGCCTCTCTGAGCAAGTTAATACTATATTTTTAAGAGAAGAGGAGAAGAGAGGGGAGGGAGTAGGGAAAAGAGTATGTGTATCTTTGTGTGTGTATGTGCGTGTGCATGTGCGTGTGTGTTTAAACAAGAGAAAAAGTGAATTCTAAATTGTTAAAACCTTGGAGTGGAACTTAATCTAATTTATACGCAGTTCCACTAGAGATGTGCAAGGATTTTTTTGTTGTTGTTAAAGAGAAAAACTAGTTTCAAGCATTATTAAGCTTTTTTCCCTCCCAGAAGCTAAGAAAACCATCTGTGAGAACCTGTTTGCATGTTTGTTTTCTACAATAAAATGCAAAATACTTCTTCCTGTTAGCGGATTATACCATATGTCTCTCCCTGTAACAAAATCAGCATGTTTATTAATGAACCCAATCAGAGGCAAAGATTTAGAAAGATTTAAGGAACTGAATTTTCCATTCAATATTTCAGCAAAAGAAACTTCTGGTTAGACATCGTTGTTGTGCTTGGAAAATAGAAGGTTTGTTTTTGCTTTGAACTCAATTTACTTGGCAGGGGACAGAGAGCAGGAAGAGAGGCCTTTGAAAATTTTCGTAAAAAAGGTCTGCATTTAGAAATGGCCCTTCCTGCCTAATGATTCCCCTACGGATTTAGACCTACAGTTTATATGTGACTAATATTTAATTTGATCAGTTACATTTTTCCAGACAGACTAATTAAAGTGCTTGATGGCCCAGATCCCCCAAATCTGAAGCAGTAACAGGCCTGTGGGCTTCCTGGAGTAACAGGAAGTGAATGAAGTAGTTTCAGCCATATTGTCAAAGCAACCCCCATGGTACTCATAATGGAAACATGTGAATTTTCCAGCACAAACACTTTCCTCACAGCCCTGTTGACCATCTGAATAATCAAATAGATTGGTAGCACTAGGTATAGCATAGTGTATTAGAAAGAAATATGTCCAGCCAGACCCAGCACTGCAGTTAAAGTACTGGTGCTGTCACGAGCCAGCAGAAGGCCTGGAGCAAATGACGTACTCTCTCTAGACCCCAGCTTACTCCTCTGACAAATGAGGATATCAGCTCTGCTGTTCTCTTGTTTCTGACTTGTAGAAGAATGGACTTGTCAGCAGAGACCGTAAGCAGTGGAAATCCCAAAAGCCAGACAGACCCTGTGCGTATTTTAGGGGATACATTCTGTTCTGGTCATTCAGCCTTCACCCAAGCCATCTTTTTTTCTATTTGGTGGCATAGACACAGCCCAGCCAACCTAATTCTCATTTTATTGCATTCATTGTTCATGTGCCACAGTTTTTTAGAAATCTTACAAGAAAATGAAGCACCTATTACCAGGACACCACTGCAAGGGGGAAAATGACACTTGGGCACCTGGAAGGACAAAGACAGGCAGTGGAGGCATCATGGGGTTGGATTCGAGTAACCCTCTGCCTTCTTCCTGGGGTCTGTTGGCAGTGTTTTTGTGCTGTGGTCATGATACACACAGGTCTCACAAGGCAGGCAGCCAAGTGTTGACTCTGTCTTTGTAGGCAATACAGAAAACTGTCTACTTGTTCCAGTGAGCTAAATCAAGTGAGAACAGGAAAGAGGTTTGTGCAACTTTGGCAACTATAGCAGGAACCACTTTAAATGGGACAGGGCAAGTAATGCTAAATATTTGCAAGGTGATTTTTTTTTTTTTAAGACTTTAAAGGTTGTATTGGGAGACCTTGAGAAAGAGGCCTTTCTTTCTTTTTTTTTTTTTTTTTTTTTTTTGAGACGGAGTCTTGCTCTGTCGCCCAGGCTGGAGTGCAGTGGTGCGATTTCGGCTCACTGCAACCTCCGCCTCCCGGGTTGAAGCAATTCTCCTGCCTCAACCCTCCCAAGTAGCTGGGATTACAGGCACGCGCCACCACACCCAACTCATTTTTTTTTGTATTTTTAGTAGAGACGGTGTTTCACCACATTGGTCAGGCTGGTCTCAAACTCCTGACCTCATGATCCACCCACCTCGGCCTCCCAAAGTGCTGAGATTACAGGCATGAGCCACTGCACCTGGCCTTTTTTTTTTTTTTTTGAGACGGAGTTTCGCTCTTGTCGCCCAGGCTGGAGTGCAATGGCGCGATCTCCACTCAATGCAACCTCCGCCTCCTGGGTTCAAGTGATTCTCCTGCCTCAGCCTCCCAAGTAGCTGGGATTACAGGCGTGTACCACCACGCCTGGCTAATTTTTGTATTTTTAGTACAGATGGGGTTTCACCATGTTGGCCAGGCTGGTCTCGAACTCCTGACCTCAGGTGATCTGCCCACCTCAGCCTCCCAAAGTGCTGGGATTACAAGCGTGAGCCACTGTGCCCGGCCTCTTTTTTTTCTTTTCTTTTCTTTCTTTTTTTTTTTTTTTTTTTTGAAACGAGGTCATGCATGCAGGCTGGTCACAAACCAAAAAGGCCTTTTGACAATTCAACTACCTCAACTCTGGGATGGGCATTTATTAATAACCCCCAACCCACCCAAGTCCTCCAAATACCCTGCCATCCAGGGGAAAACACATAAACATCAATAAACTGCATGTCCCCAAGGGATGCTCTTTGCCCCAGGATAGTCTGGCCTCTCGGGAGATTTCTCTTACCTCCAGGGCTTTGTTTCACCAGAGAAGCCAGCCTGGAGGTAGAAGGGGAAGATACTTAGCAGCAAAATCTGCTGCCCTGTGCAGCCAGGCCAGGGGGGCAGTCAGGGGCTATACAGGCTGAAAAGCTGTCCAGGACCCAGAGCTATGTGACTCATAAAGGCAGGCTGCCCACCCACTGAAGGTCTCCAAGTGGCAGTCCAGATGGACAGTGATCAGCTGTCACATTGGACGGTTGGCCTCCTGTGATGACAACACTGTGCCAAGGAGGCCTGGGTTGAAGCTTTGAGCACATGTTAATTGGCTTAGCTCTATTCCACCACTGTAGAATTTTTTAGTTCAATTCAGCAAATATTCCCTGGGTTCCTGTTCTTTGCCAGGTAATAGAGCTGGACACTGTGAATGCAGAGATGGATAAAATATGTCCTTTAGCTGATGGAGAGAAAAACATGAGCAAATAAATGTCATTTACTATGAAAGATACTAGAGTATCTGGAAAGAACAGTGGAGACAGAGAAGGGATGGATGGCTGAAAGTGTGTGGTTAAAACAGTGCCCACCCATCTTGCCCAGACACAAACCACTCAAAACCAAGACCCTGTTGGAGGAAGCATTCCTGTGAGTTTATTAGAGCAGGATTTCCTGAATTCTTCCTAGGAATGTTAAAAGATAAAATTTGAAAAAAGGATTCCAAGAGCAAATAAGTTTGGGAAATAGTGAGTTAAAGTTAGACAGGTTGCTTTCATTGGTAGCTCATGCTTAAGTGCAGAACTTCTCAAAGCCTTGAGTATGCTGAGCACATTGTGTGATTACCCCAGGGGAGGAGATGGTATTGAGAATTTTGACTTGGGAGCCTTTTTCCAGAGTTACCTCCTTGGACCTGGGACCCTCATATTCTTGGACCCTGGCACAGTGTCCTGTCTGGAGCTGAGAGTTTGCAGAGTGGCCTTCTAGTCCCAGCACTCCCACTGTGACTGAAACTGTTTGGCTTTGGGAAGTCTAACCTTCTCTGATGTTGTTTCCTCATTGTGTTAGGCAATTTTTGCATCTCTATAAAGAAATACTTGAGGCTGGGTAATTTATAAAGAAAAGAGGTTTCATTGGCTCCTGGTTCTGCAAGCCATAAAAGCATGGCACTGGTATCTGCTTGGCTTCTGGGGAGGCCTCAGGAAGCTTTTTTTTTTTTTTGAGACAGAGTCTCGTCGCTCTGTCGCCCAGCTGGAGTGCAGTAGTGCGATCTCGGCTCACTGCAACCTCTGCCTCCCGGGTTCATGCCATTCTCCTGCCTCAGCCTCCTGAGTAGCTGGGACTACAGGTGCCCACCACCATGCCCGGCTAATTTTTTTGTATTTTTTAATAGAGACAGGGTTTCACCTTGTTAGCCAGGATGGTCTTGATCTCCTGACCTTGTAATCCGCCTGCCTTGGCCTCCCAAAGTGCTGGGATTACAGGCATGAGCCACCACGCCTGGCCAAGAAGCTTCTAATCATGGCAGAAGGCAAAGCGGGGGTAGGCACATCAGATGGTGATAGCAGGAGCAAGGGAGAGAGAGAGGGGCGATGCCACACACCTTCAAACAACCAGAGCTCATGTGACCTCACTCACTGTTATGAGGACAGCACCAAACCATGAGAGGTCTGCCCTCATGACACAGATACCTCCCATCAGGTCCCACCTCCAGCATTGGCAATTACATTTTTAACCTGAGATTTAGGCAGGGACAAATACCCAAACTATATCACTCATCTAGAAAAGAAGGGAAGAGTGACATCTGCCTATCTTGCAGTATTGTTGTGAAATAATAGATGTGAAAGCACTTCATACTCATAAGGACTGGGATTGTCATTGCTGGGTTGTGACAATCGCAGCTGTGATCAAGTCTTCGAGGCTTTAGTTACTTGACTGCCTTGAGGTTGTGGCCTCTTGTTATGCCTGGAATTCTCCCTTCCTTCACTTCTTTACCCACCCCTTGAGATACTTCTTATAACCATCCCCTAAGTTCAATGTTGGTAGCCCTGAGACTTCTGTCCTTGGATCCCTTCTCTTGAGACCATTTATCTCAGAGCTCCATGTGTCAACATTACCTGTCTTCTGATAACCACCCAGTTTTCTGTCTCTAGCCTTTGCTTCTCCCTTAAGTTCTGGATCCAAATGTCCAACTTCTCCCCAGATACCTTGATGTAATTATCTCAAGCTGCATACTAGTGCCTCAAACTGCTTGCCCTTCCCCACACACTGTGTTCCTTCATAACTGGGTGTCATCTTAAAAGTACTTCTGGTAAACTCCTGCTCATCCTTCAGAACCCAACTTTAGTCTAGTCTCCTCTTGGCTGACTTCCTCCTGTGCGCTCCCAGAGAACTTTGTACCTACACCTAACATGCCACTTCTCACACTGCCACTGTGGCCATTGGTGTAGTTTTCATTAAGTCAAGGACTGTGCTTTATTTGCCTTTAAATTCTCATCCTTGAGCAGAGTGCAGGGCGGGCAGTAAGTCTAATTGGATGCATATACCTCATTCTAGTCATGCCCATGCAGCAGAGGGGAGTTTCATCTTTAATGCCACATCTGGCTTTACACTAGAGGCCTGAACCTGCCGGATGCACAATTTTGTTCTTTTCCCTGCTGGCTAGGATTTGCAGGCACCCAGAAGCTGAAGACCCTCGGGGTCTCCAGAGGAGGTCACATGTGCCTCTGGCCACAGCCACCCCTGGACTTTCAGCTGGCCAGTGCTCCCAGCTCCCAGCCCTTGGCTGGCAGAGGTGAGCAGGAGTCCCACCCACTCCTCCCCAGCTTAGCCGAGTCATGTTGATATTCTGGCGGCATAGTCAGGCTTGTTATTGAGCACATGCTTTGCAGATTAGCCTGTTTGTATAGCCAATCGAACATGTGCTCCATTAAAAATTAAAGCATCCTGTTTTAAGGATGGAGCAGGAGACATCAGCTGCCACTGTGTAGCAGACATGCAAAGCCCCAGAGCCCATTACCATAGGTTACAGCAAATGTTAATCAGTGCCAGTGCAGTTAAATAATGCAGTTTGTGCAGATGGCAGCTACTACATCTCCTCACAGATGTGTCCTCAAGTCCCGGAGGCTGCTGTATCACAGGAGTTGTCGGGAGCAGTCAGATCTGATGCTGACTGTCAATATCACCTTTTGTGTTTGTGTGCATCCTCCAGCCAGCTGAGAGGCAACGATAGGATGACTCCAGGCCCTACTTCCAGCAGCCCTTCCAGAGCTGGAGCAGGGGGTCTGTGCAGGGCTCACAGGAGAGCAGAAATATTTCACTAAATCGCCAAGAACACTCAGAGTAAAGCTCTGCAGTCTGCTCCATGAAACTGTACCCAGCTGCATCCTGCAAGAGGCTTCCCAGCCAGGTGGAGTGGGGATGGCGTTCCCACCTTCACTCTTCACTGCTTTCTGCTTGCTGATGGGCAAGAATTCCACAAGTATTCTTCCTGGCTTCCATAAGCACAGGGACACCTCACTGTATCAGAAGTTGGAGTTCTGACAGCACCTACTGTGCACAGGGCCTGATTCTGAATGGCAAAGTGCTGTTCCCGAAGCCCAGGCACTTGGCTCTCTGGTCCAGGTGTCCCTACCCTCCAGCCCCTGAACAGATACTCTGCGTAAAATTTAGGAACAAATCGCCACTCATGCTGCCAGCAGTAAGCAGCAACTGTTGTGGCAAGAAAAGACCAAACTGTTTCAACTGTCCCAGCTCTTCTCTCTCTCTGTGTACTTCCTTACTAGCAGCTGTGGGGGACCCTTCCATGAAGGGGCACCTAGAGCACTGACATCCACATGTGGGCACCTGGGGGCATTCCATCTCAGCCACTGTCAGGAGCAGGCACAGTGACTGGTCCCCATGAAGGTGGCCTGTTATCAAGAGAAGATGAAATAAAGCTCGAGGTAACCAAGTGTGGGAAACTTGTATGGAAGCAGGGGAGATTGCTCTTGATATAGTTAAGTGTTTTACTTAAAGGTGTAAGCCTCAGCTTTCTGAAAAATATGCTACTGTAGAACAACTCATTTCTGAATAGCATCAAATATGTGAGGTGAAAATGTACTTATGAGAAAAATAGTTAAAAGTTTATTCATCCTATTTCCTTTCTAGGTTGTCAGACTATGTGCTATTCTTCATTCCTAGATGGGAAACATTGCATCTTATGAATGTAACGTGTTGCTGTAGACAAATATTCTTGTGGAGTGAAGCCCAGGGACAAGGGTCTTTTGCTTTCCTTGCAAAATGTAGAGACATTATTCCTGTTTCACCTTTGAAGGCCATGCCATCTGATAGGCCATGCCATCTGATATGGTTTGGCTCTCACCTTGAATCGCACCTTGAATTGTAATAATCCCCATACGTTGTGGGAGGGACCTGGTGGGAGGTAATTGAATCACAGGGGTGGGTCTTTCCTGTGCTGTTCTCGTGATAGTGAATAAGTCTCACGAGATCTGATGGTTTTATAGAAGGGAGTCTCCCTGCACATGCTCCCTCTTTGCCTGCCGCCATGTAAGATGTGCCTTTGCTCTTCCCTCATCTTCTACCATGATTGTGAGGCCTCCCCAGCCATGTGGAACTGTGAGTCCGTTAAATCTCTTTTTCTTTATAAATTACCCAATCTTGAGTGTATCTTTATTAGCAGCGTGAGAACAGACTAACACACCATCTGATCTGATGGCTTCTACCCTTCCTTTCTTTCTTTTTTTTTTTTTCTGAGGCGGAGTCTTGCTCTGTCACCCAGGCTGGAGTGCAGTGGTGTGACCTCAGCTCACTGCAACTTCTGCCTCCCGGGTTCAAGCAATTCTCCTGTCTCAGCCTCCCAAGTAGCTGGGACTACAGGCACACACCACCACACCCAGCTAATTTTTGTATTTTTAGTAGATATGGGGTTTCACCATATGGTCAGCCTGGTGTCAAACTCCTGACCTCAAGTGATCCACCTGCCTTGGCCTTTCAAAGTGCTGGGATTACAGGTGTGAGCCACCACTCCCAGCCAGCTTCTACTCTTTCTTTACTTCCCAGTCTCAACATCATTTGTGGAAGATTTTAGCACCGACTCACTCCTTTCCTTCCATTAAACTCAGCAATGACATGAGCAGCTCATCTGAGCCCCAGGCCTCTGGATTCCTAACCTCCTTACCTCCAGTGGTCTTTCCTTTATCCACCTCTGCCCCCCATTCCCATTGTTATGCCCTACGTCTTGTCACTACCTATAATGATGTCAGTTTCAAAATTGTGATTTCCAAACCATTAGCTGCAAAGAGTTCAAGGAACTGAGAGGCCAGGATGCTCAAAACCCACCACTGGCTTCACACCACACTTAGAACAAAGGTCTTTCCCCTGCTGTGAGCCTGCCTACTGCTCTGACTTCGTCTCCCACTACTCTGCTCCAGTCACGCTGGCCTTTGGTCTGGCCTTCCAACAAGCTGAGCTAATTTGCACCACAGAGATTGGTTCCATTGCCTGAATGCTCTATCCCGTTATATAGATGGTCGCTTGGCTTGTTCTCTCACTTCATTCAAATGTCATCTCCTTGGAGAGACTTCCCTGACTACCCTATTAAAACAACAACAGTACATCCCCCACCCCAAATCACTCTATCTACTTATCCAGCTTTGCTCTTCTTCACAGCACTGAGCCAACATTTAGACAGACACACCCACACATCCATATACATCTATATTCACTTACTTACTGCCTGTCTGCTCCATTGAAGTGTTGGTGCCACAAGGACAGGGGTTTTGTCTGTCATATTCGCTGCTATATCTGATGTGCCTCCAATGGTCTTCCATTGGAAAATCAATTGAATGAATGAAGGAATATGTTTGGGCTGGAAGCAAATGTTGGAAATGGAGTTTTAAAACAACAGGGTTATTTTTTAAGCTTTCTAATAAACTTTCTATCAAAAGCATTTTTCAATTATTAACACTTCATAAATGAACAAATTTCATCTTCTCAAAGTTACACTTAGGTGCCAACTAGAGAAAGCAGAAGAATTCATTTTCTTAATATTTTGTGAAATCCAGGATAGATTATTATTTCAAGCTATAAGGCTTCCAGCATTAGCCTTGAAACCTCATCTTTATTTTGCTTCACTGCTAGGTGTCTCCTTTTTTGTTTTTCCTAGAACTTTTGTTTGACTTCTAATTTTGTCCTCTGATTGAGGACTGAAACAACGTGTAATAATCTCACACCAGGCAAATATAGTTGAAATTTTTAGTGGATTTGATTACATTCTTGAAAGTGGCAAAATCAAGTAAAAGCAGATAGATCAGAAGATTGAAAGCTTTGGCTTACAATCATTCTTTTTACTTTTTAGGATGTAAATCATCGTATTGGTCCTTTTTACTTTAGACAAATATGACCCCATAAAGTTTTAAAAGTTTGTGTCTGTGAAAAAAAGCAAGATGAATTGTCTCTCACTTCCCTGGTTTGGAAGAGAAGTTCCAAAGCAGGGCTGAACTGTCATCATCATCTAATAATTTTCCTTTAGTTTTCATTTTTCCTTTCTAAATCTTAGCATGTGAGATCACAGGCTCCCTCTCCAAACTCATCAGTTGTCTCTTGTTTTACCAGTAAGAACTGAACCCCTCATCTCAACCAGTCTGTCACCAAGGCACTTGCTCCAAAGACTCTGTACCAGTCGAGATGCTTTTAGCTGCAAGTAATAGAATGCCTCATCCAAAGTAGCCATAGGGTAGCCATAGGGCCAAGCACAGGGACTCACACTTGTAATCCCAGCACTTTGGGAGGCTGTGGTGGGATTGCTTGAGGCCAAGAGCTTGAGGCCAGTCTGGGCAGCATAGCAAGATCCTGTCTCTACAAAAATTTTTTTTAATTAGCCTGGCATAGTGGCACGCACCTGTAGTCCCAGCTACTCAGGAAGCTGAGGTGGAAGGATTGCTTGAGCCCAGGAGTTTGAGGCTGCAGTGAACTATAATCCACTGCATTCCAGCCTGAGCAACAGTGATGAGATAGTCAGAGGTAACCAGATGTGTATTAGGCTGACTCCTAGGAAGCTTTACGTTAGGTTGATAAGATGGCTACAAGCATGGTATCTCCACACCATATACCCAAGGAGGGAAGGAAAAGGGCAGACCTACTCCTTAATTGTGTCTTTCTTTTTAGCAGGAAGGAAAATCCTTTCCGGGGGTCCTGCAGCAGATTGCCCCTTACAGATAATAGCCAGAACTAGGTCACGTGTTGATAAGGTTTAGATACTTGTTCCCTTCAAATCTTTTGTTGACATTGCATCTCCAGTGTTCGAGGTGGGCGCTGGGAGGTGTTTGGGTCACGGGGTGGATCCCTCATGAACGGCTTGGTGTCCTCCCTGTGGTAATGAATGAGTTCTCACTCTACTAGTTCACACAAAAGCTGCTTGTTTAAAAAAGCCTGGCACTTCTTCCCCTCTCACCACGTGCCCTGTTGACTACCCTTGCCTTCTGCCTCGAGTAAAACTCCCTGAAGCCCTCACCAGAAGCAGATGCTGGCACCATAATTCTTGTACAAGCTGCAGAGCCATGAGCCAAATAAACCTCTTCTCTATAAATTATCCACCCTCAGGTATTCCTTTATAGCAGCACAAAATGGACAAATACACATGGGTGCCACAAACCAGTCACTAGCAAATATAGATTAGACCACTTGGTTATCTCCTGGCCTGGACACATGTCACTTTCCTACCTGAACAAAGTTGATGTTTTCTAATAACAGAGAATGAAGGATGACAAGCTGCCAGGGTCGACAACTAACAATGTCTGCTACAGCAGTACAACCCGTTACTCCTACTGAAAAAACTCACTCCAGGTGGAATAGTAGCTTATGTCAGGGTCTGTATTGATAGGCCAGTAGATTATAAAGTATTTGGAAGTGATCTTAGAATCTCTGCTCATTTATGTCACCACTGTTTCATTTACATACCTCTAGGATAGCACTTACCACGTGGCATCATGATTCCATGTCCACAGGTCTGACTGTTCCTACCAGATTGTCACCAGGAACCCCTTATTTCTTTGTGTCCAGAGTACCCAGGATAATACTTGGAACTTAATAGAGGTAGAGGCTCAGTCGGTGTTTGCTGAACAAATGAATGAATAAACTAACAACAAATAATGAATAACATATTCCTGAAGCCATGCGTTATGAAGAACAGTTGGAATAACTATAGGTGTTTACCTGGGGAATGAATGAATGAATGGACAAATGAATAAGCAAATGACAACTAAGAGATTTTTGGAGCGGTGTCCAATGAACTGTTGAAATGACGAGAAATGTTGACATGGAGAAGAGATTTGAGGAATACAGTGACTTTTTGCAACGCAGGATTTAAAAGCCTTTTAAGTGAAAGAGAGATGAGACTTACTTTGTGGGATCTTTAAGGGTAGAGCTAGGAAAAGTGGGCTGAAACTACAAGGAGACAGAATTGTAAAACTAAAATCTAAAAGTGGAGCTATGTAAAGATGGAATAGACTGCCTCTGGAAAGAATGAGCTCACTGTCACCAAGCAGAGAGTGGCTAGGCATACTCTCAGGCAGTGGTAGGATTTTATCATTGAAGATTGGACTTAGATAAGAATGATACTTATTCCCTGGTATAACTGGGGGTCCTCCCTCGTAGTGAGGGTATTCTCTGAAAGTATGAAAAATTAAACTTTTACCACTTAATGTTAACATGAAGGAGGTATGTGGTAGCCCTTTCCAAAGTACCAAGAGACTTTATGATGCTATGAGACATCTTGGAGTAATCCCATCTGTCTTTATTATTCCCAATTACATGTGCCATTTCCCTGTTGAGCTCATTTCTGATAGAAGAAATGTTTTTTAAAAGAAAACGATGTTAATAGATGTCACTGGTTTTGTCTGTCTTAACGGATTCTGTTTCTCACTTCAGGACATTATCCAGTTTATACTTTATTAAAATTGGCCTCATGCACCCTTGAGGTGAGTGGGTAGAGAATGAGGAGAAGAGCCTCACTTCCCGGAGATGGCGGAGAGGGATTGGGCCCACCAGGTATTCTTTCAAATGGGCTGCCTTACTGCCCACCTGCAGGACTGAAAATCAGAGAAAAGCGGTGGAAATTGAGAAACTGTAGGACATCATTCACTCTCGTAATTACAGTGAGGAAGTGTGCTGCATATGTATGTTCCCTCAGTAAAACAGGTGTTCTGCCCTTAAAATGCTAATTATAGACTATTGCAGATCAATGATCTTCACTTATTTCATATTGCTGCTCCATTTTTTCCACATTTAACTACCCTGTGATATAGAAAGCTTGCTCACCCTTGAAAAAATCAAAATGCATATGGATTTTCTGAAATAAGCCCCTTTTCTGGAAGTATTTTGTGGTTAGTTTCAAAATGCAATATCCTGAGAAAGGTTTAAGTCGGCTTTTTATTTTAATATATAATAAAAAAGTAAAATCACTAGGCAATGAGCAATTTTACTTCCATTAGCCTAATGTCTTTGTGGTTTCATCTGAGGTCACTAGTAGATTATTTTTCTTGCATTATTTCATCAGCTGTCAGTTCTATTACAATCATGTAATTCATTCAGTGCTGTGATTTTTCAAAGACATAACTGTAAGCTTAGAAGACAGTTTTTTGGAAGTTTATTTAGATGATTGTAGGGTGTCAGACTGCCTCAATCTTCTCCATGCTCAGTGTCTGAAGGGTCACCAACAGATTGTACATGACCTTAGATGCTCGAGTAATTATCACCACTATGTTTTTATACCCAGCACATAAAAATATATCTGCACTTTCTTTATCATCATCTTTTGAAAGACTGTGGCCTGCCTATGGGCTGGGCAATTAGGTTTACTACTTAGATTACAGGATACATGATACAGCTCTTATTTAACACCAACAATAACTCTTTTTAAGGTGGTTTCATTTCAAGCTTAGTCTATTAATATATTCACCATTGGGCTTTGATTACAATAATGCAGTTTATTTATGTTTGCATATAGTGGGTATCAGTCAAGAAATCATTTGAAAATCATTCACTGAACACCAGCTACTCACAGCTTGTTAGTTTCTGGTGGTTATAAAGGAATTAGAAATTCTCTGCTCTTGAACATATTATTGTGATCCATCAAAGCCTCTAGCAAAGTAGTCATTTAGTTTGGTTTTTGTGAGGTTTTTTTAGTACGAGGATAATTTTTAAATATTAAAAAAATTAGGCCAGGCACGGTAGCTCACGCCTGTAATCCCAGCACTTTGGGAGGCCGAGGCGGATGGATCACAAGGTCAGGAGTTCAAGACCAGCCTGGTCAATATGGTGAAACCCTGTCTCTACTAAAAATACAAAAATTAGCCGGGGGTGGTGGTGCTCGCCTGTAGTCCCAGCTACTCAGGAGGCTGAGGCAGAAGAATCGCTTGAACCCGGGAGGGAGAGGTTGCAGTGAGCCGAGGTCGTGCCAGTGTACTCCAGCCTGGGCGATAGAGTGAGACTCTGTCTCAAAAAATAAATAAATAAATAAAAATTAGAACTCTACATAGTAATAGTTTACCTTTATTATCTTGTAATTTTAAAAGTACAAAATGCACATTTAAGATACATGTGCATAAAATGATATGTCTGGGATTTGTTTTAAAATTATCTGGAAAGGTGGGAGTAGTGGGAATGGGTAGATGAAATAAGACTGGCCATGAGTTGATAATTGTTGAAGCTGAGTGCTGGTAGGTAGCAGTTTATTATACAGTTCTCTCTACTTTTATGGAAATTGTTCATTTAAAAAAAGGAATAGAAGGTTACTATGCACAGGGAGCAGTGGCTCAGGCCTGTAATTTCATACTTTGGGAGGCCAAGGTGAGAGGATTGCTTGAGCCTAGGAATTCAAGACCAGCCTGGGCAACATAGGGAAACCCTGTCTCTACAAAAAAATACAAAAATTAGCCCAGTGTGGCAGTGCATGCCTGTACTCCCAGCTGCTCAGGAAGCTAAGGCAGCAGGATTGCCTGAGCACAGGAGGTTGAGGCTGCAGTGAGCCAGGGTTGTACCACTGTACTCCATCCTGGGTGATAGAGCGAGACACTGTCAATCCATCAAACAATCAATAACTATGAATTCAGCTTTGCTTTTAAAAAGAAAATATATTTTAATGATCATTGAAGCATTTCCATATACTTGAAAAATATTAATAATTGTATGAGAATAGCATATAATTTCCTGAGACTATAGACAGAGCTTTGTGCTCATGGACTCTGAACCCTTTGTTGTAACTATTAGAATACAATAGACAAGCAAGTTCAAGGTAGCTTGATACATACTGTACACAAACACTGAGCACATTCCAAGGGATGTGAACCTTAACTACAGAAGCGTGTATGGAGCTGCTTTAATTTACTGTGACTGTGTTGCATAGAAAAGGAAGACGACCGTGCTGCCACTTAAGTACTGATAACATTTAACACTGTGTGCATAAGATTGAGGCAGCTTGGAAGGTCCAGAATATGAAGCAAAGAATCCGATCCATTCAGAAACCAAGAAACCTCCAAATAATAGCACTTTCACTCTAATTCAGCCTCTGCCAAATTTGCCTTTGGCCAATTGTCACCAGTGCCAAATTACCAACAGACTTCCTTTTCTGGTCTTAGTCATGTTGACCTCTTCCTTCTGTCTCCTAGTCAAGCAGAATTTAAAACATTTACATTGTATTTCAATTTCTATGAAGATGGGAGAGGAAAGGTGTATTTCTTGTCTTTTGTCCCTGGCCAGCTTCTACTGGGAACTTATTTCCTTGAAATTCCTGTCCTGTAAAAGCATGCAGATGAAAGTATCTTTAATGTATAATTACATTTTTATATGTGTATAATCTTAGATTACATGGGAATTGAGTATCTGGAATGGATCGGCCTTAGGAAAATGTTTCTTTTTAAAAACTATTAAATATTGGAACATTATACAAAAAAATAGCATTGAAATATTTAATCTGTGGTTCAGGTCTGTTGTTCATTTAAAGGTTTAACTGTTTCCCACTGTTTAAATATCTCTATCTGATCTTTCATGCTAAGTTAGCATGTCCAAAATATTGAAAAACAGATGAATGATCAAGGAACTTAAGGAATACTCCTCCAGTGAAGCCAGAAGGATATTCTTGAGGAGAAAAAAAGAATGCATGAAACTTATTTAACAAGAAAGATTTGAGTCAGGTAATCTACATAATATATCCACTGGCATTAAGGCTGTCATCTTGGTATTGCATTTCTGGTACGAATTTCGCAATAGCTGTCTTTCACTGTCGGTTCTAATAAAGAGTGTTGGTCAGCTTAAATTCCCTGGGAGCTCAGAGTTATGTTTTGTGAACTGCATGTGCCTGAGGCCTCTCATGCATGATTTAAACTGCTTTGTAAATGTCAATAGGTGGAAAAGCATTGGATCCCTTGTAGATTTCTCCAAATCCTCAAAGATGTGTATGCCATGTATAAACCATGCTGCACTCTCAAGGCCATTGCCGTTTTTTATACTTGCCTAACTGGGGGTTTAAGGTATTGCTAGAAGCAAAATATCAGTGTGTTCATGTCTCGATCCAACTGGCCAATGAAACCCTTTATTAGGAAAACCTTTGCACCAGAGAAATGTCTCCAGTGACCTGAAATGGGCACACCTCATGAATGTTGAATGTTCTTCAAACTCTATTTCTTCATTCTTGACTTTTTTCAAAACATACATTTGACTTGATTGAATTTACTGATTTCAGAGTACTGCATCCATTCCATGGACAGCAGTATGGGGTCATCAAAAAAAATTTCCATTGAGAGTGCCCAGACCTGGGTCCTATCCTGGTTCTGCCACTCTCTGGCTCTTTGTCCTTGGGCAAGCCACTTAACCTTTTGGGGGCCCTGCTTTTCTGATCCATTAAATAAAGGAGGTTGAATTAAATGATCTCTAGTTATCCCTCACAGCTCCAGCATCAGTGATTCCAAGAGATAGTGACAGAAAACCAGTGTGTCACTTTTAAAGCCAGGGAACACATGTGACTTTTTAATTGGGCTCATTCCACTCTCTGGGCAGTACACAGTGCCGGCAGAAGCCCCAAAATGGCCAGCAGCAATGGCGTAGGGAGGCCTGAGTGTTAGCTTGAGGGTTCATCAACTCATTTTCGTTCAAAGCACTTCCTGGTGATTGTTTTCCATGGACCTGGGAACTGCACTAAGGGCGCTCCTCCCACAGTGTGCCCTGACCCCCCAGGTGTGTTCTTTAGGTAAAGCTGTTTTTTAATGTCTGAAGAGGCCAAAGCAAATGCCAGTGAGGGTATAGCTCTCTAGGATCTCCAGAATAGAGGCACCATATGAGCAACAACACTAGACTGGGTTTCTCAGAGTCTGTTTCTCACACACTTTAGTACCTCTCAGCTTAACATGGTACCTGGAGATAGAGGTGCTTAGGAAATGTATGCTTAGCAAATGTTGCAGAAAGAGTTTATTCGGAGTCATAGAGCCATCGGAGCAGATGGTCTTTTTTGTTTTCTTCTTCATGTTTTGACTCCTACATAGTTCAGAATAAGTCACTTTGGTCTTTTCTTTGCACATGTTCACTTTCTAATATAGTGTCTTCTTGGGGAGACTGTTTTATGGGGAATATGTGAGTTCATGTGTTAGCTGTGGAGCCAGCCTGCCTGAATTTGAATCCTGACTTTTCCTCTAACTGTGTGACCTTGAGCAGTTTCCTTAACCATTCTGTATCTCAGGTTTTAATCTGTAAAATAAGGATAACGGGAGTACCTAGCTCTTCAGATTGTGAGGATTGAATGGGATATACACATAAAGCTCTCAATGCCTGGTGTGTTAAAGTGTTCGCAGTTGTTACTTTTTTAAATGTTTTTACTACTTTTGAAATTTAGTGTTCAAGGTGAACTTTTTACAGAAGAGCCAGGGCAATTGGATGCACTTTGGGGGAAAAAAAAATCACTTGCCTCATCCCCATCTTCTCCATCGCAGTGAGGACTGTTCTCAAGTGGGCACACAGGACACCTGTCTCCTTCATCTGCAAGGCCCCAGTGGCTGTGCTGGGGTTTGAGGTCTCTCGTTCAGACCAGGTATGTGAGGGCTTGGTTATCATGCACTGCTCCTGAATCCACCATCTCCATGTCCACATCCTTGGCAGGGAGACCAGAGCCAACTGGGAACTCTGCCACCTGGAGAGACCTTTGAAACACTGTCGCCACCAGTGTTCCATTTGTGTGTTTGCAGAATGCCAAGTAAGCACATTCTTTTTCACCCTCTGACATGACCTCAGGGTTACTTTCTGTGGCTGTTGACAAATTTTTAGACATCCCAGTTTTATCAGCGGAAACCTTGAAGAGTGACAAATGGTTCTTGGAAGAGTTGGTACATACTATAAAAATGTCAGCTGGCTCATTTATAACCCAGTGATGTCCAGTGTCTGAGCCGTGCTATCAGCATGGTCTATAGATAACTCACCCTCACGATGCTCCGCTCTCCCCAAGTACTTTGTGCAGCTGTTCTGGTTGAAGACCCAGTTGACATCTATAATAGATATCAAATGGAGAGCCTCTTATTTTATCACTCTCTGTGTTTCAGCACTGGCGGTCCCCATGGACTGTCAGAAACAGGCAGCCAGCACGTTATGGGAAAGGTGACTTGCTGAGTCCCTGTGCCCTGAGGACATTATTAAGTGCTAGGGAACCTTGTTAGCTCATAAAGTTGGTTCAAACCAATTATTGTTCTGCGACCATTACCATTGCCAAGAATGTAACTCTTTTAAATTCTTGCCCATAAAGCCGATCTTTCCATTACATTATATCATAGAGCAAGACTTCTGATCTGGCCGCACTTGTATCCCACCGGCTGCAAAGACTAAACATTGCATTTGCTGCTCAATATTGGTTACCCTTCAGTGCTTCATGGAGGCAGCAAGACTGCTATTTATAGATTTACTTTCTGTCTCCCTAGTTCAGCACAGTCAGTTTTGACACACTGTCCCAGTAATCTGATCAGCCATGCTGCTTTTAAATGAAGGTCTAGGCCTTGGCCTCTGCAGAGAGGGTGACAGCTGTCAGATACAGATAGTAGGCTACAGATCCTGGCTGCTAAAACCCTCTCATTCATTCCTGTTACAGATCATTGACCACAGCTTGAAGCCATGCTTTACAGTTGGCCGATTAGTTGGCAAGAGATCTACATACTGTATTAGCAAGGTCAACCACTGAGATAAAGGCAAAAACGTAAACCCCTGCACTATTTTTAAACCAGTAGCCATTTGTTAAAGCTGGTTATTTTGGTACTTGTCTCCGTTCCCCTCTTTTTTTTTTCTCCCAAAACAAAACTCAAGAAACTTGTTAAAACTCTTCGGCAGCTAACGAAGATGCCTCAGATAATGAGATGGTTCAAACCTGAGAAGGAAAGATGAGGTCTTTCTCAGAAACTCATTTAGGAACCTCGGATAGGAAGCCGTGTTAGCTGTGCTTATACCTTGTTTTAATCAGAACGTGTCTGGAAATCTTAGTCCAGGGAGACCTGGATGAAAGTGCAGCCAGTTTGAGTGCTCTGGCCATGACAGTAGGTTAGGCAGGTCTGGCCTAGAAAGAGGTAAGTTATGATTCATACAAGTTTAAATCCTCGCTCACTCCTGAATGAGGTGGTTGGGCTTGGTTGTCAGCTCAGATGATTGGACCCATTTTGTAGGTGTTTCCTTCTCCAGAGTCCTTCCTTCCCCCAGCATCTTGTCTGTAGGTATTCTAAAGCCAGGCATTATTCAACACACTATATTGGACTTGTGTAAAGAGAACTTGCACCCTGGGAAACCTTGTGTTAAAGTGATTAATTGACTTCTTCATATTCAGTGAAGATCCTTGCTGTTTCAGAATCGACACAAACGACCAAACCTTCAATCTCATCTTTACTCAGAAAGGGGTCCACCTATAAGATTTTGAACTCTCCTTCACCATCTGACCAGCCTCCTCTCTGCTTTCACCTCTCCTATGCCTTCACTCCCACTGAACGTTCCTTTAACTTCATGACAGCCACCTTCCCCTTTACCCTTCTCTGTGTCCTGCTAAGACTATGTGGACCCAGCTGGGGTTCCCATTCTTTTTCCAGGTTATACTCTCTATGGTCTCTATTTTGTGTCCTCCTCCCTCTCTTCTGTGACCTTACTGCATCTTCCTGTTGCATTCCCATCTCCCATCTGATCTCTTGTCTTTCACTCTCTACCTCTTGTTGACTTATGACCAAGCACAGTTTCCTTAGTGTACAGGGGCACCCAAGGCCCTTGACAATATGTCTGTCCACCATCTTGTAGTCTTGCCTCCTGCTTTGTTTCTTCTCCACCTCTCTAAGGCCCCATGCACACATTTGCTGAACACACCCTGCCCTGTCAAGCTTCTTTGGCTGCCTTTGCTATTCCTCCACCACGTAGGTCCTTTAGAATGGCAAGCCTTACAATGTATAGTATATTTAGTATACATACCCAGTAAATATTTGTAGGACGAGTGCATGAATAAAAGCACAATGTTTGACATTGTTATCAGCATTGACCCAAACCCTTTGAGCTAGATGAGCAATAAAGATTAGAAGAAAGAGGTTAGGTATAACCACAAACAAACTTGAGATTGAAGGCTCGCTAGAAGTAGAACTTTGGGTGGATTTCTCTCTGTGACTTGATTTTCTTGCCTATAAAGTGAGGTAAGTGATATCTGCTTTATAGGTTGTTGGGAGGATCAAAGAAGAAAAAAGGGAAGTAAAGTGCCTAACACAGTGTCTGGCAAATGGAAGGAACTTGATAGATGTTAATTACCTAGCTGTGCCATATAACTCCCACCCCATCTTCAGTGTTCTGTGAAATGTATTTTCATTTTACCCTTGGAAAGGTACAGGACAGGATGGAAGACCAGTTTGATGGGAGAGAAGGCTGGGAGTTACATAAACCCCCATGGTTTTCTGACTTTTCACTAGAGTCAATAAGGAGATGTTTAAACAGACTTTGGCCCACAAAAGGTGACTCACTCTCACATTCTCAGCTTCCTGCTCAGGGAATCAGTGTGGAAACTGGGCTTCCACTTCTCAGCTTCAAACTGGAGCTGGGAAACTTTCGCCTCTGTGGAGGAGCCTTGGGGAAATCTCAGCCCAGCTGCCATGAGGTGTGCAAGGGGAGGACGTGTCAGCCCTGGAAACTCCACAGGCCTCTGTTCCAGATGCACAGGGCAGTCACGTCTTTGCAGGGGTGAAGCAGGAGGACACCCTCCCTCCTGTTCTGTTCTAGCAGCCATCATGAGGTGGGACTTGGAGGGAATCTGATCCTGTTAGGGGAACGATCCAGTCCGGTGCAGAGCAGCTTTGGGGTATTAATGACTGTGTGTTCCACAGGGGGAACTTGTCCATTTCATTTATTTGCAATAAAATATATGAGAGGAACATCTGCAGGCAGCTTATATATTTGTCAAATTTAGAAGTAATTCAGGCATATGATGGGGAGCCATGGCGATTTTATGAATTTTCTATTGTTATGCATTCGAGTTCCCATGGCATCGTTTGGCCTAGCTATGGCAGCCCAGAGAACAGAGGCGGTGCTAGCAGACCCACGTGACACATGCCGCGGGCTTGGGCGGATGCCTGGCATGTGAAGTGATCCAGGGTGCTGGCAGATGCAGACGAGGTGGGAGGGAGGTGGAGGAGGGGCATACTCATGTTTTAGGAGGGGAAATACAGGGTCACCTTTGTGGACGGCAAATAGCCAGGTCCTGAAACTTGCTTCTAATGAATTCCTTACATGCTGTTGAAATGGCAGGAATCATAATAGCTTATTTCATGTGCCTTTGAAGGGTTCCAGCAAATGGAGTCTAAGAGAAGGCAGGGATGGGGGGTGGGGGTGGGGAGGCAGGAAAAGGGGGGGCGAGAGTGAAATATTACTACTTAAAACATATTCTTAGACATAATAAAGCATTAAAGTTAAAATATTGTTGAGACAGCTTTCATTATGCATGTTCCAGGCCTCATTATGGAATAAGCAGAAGTGACTGTGCAGCCGAGACCTAACAATATCTGCACTGAATTCCTATTATGTAAGAAAGGCTTTCTAGTCCCTGCCAGTGTCGGGATGTGGTGGTTGGTTTTCAATAAAGGTCAGAATCGGTGCCACACTGAATAGAGCTAAAAGTGTGTTTCATTCTTTTGTAGGCCACGGGCACTGTTGGGGATTGATCTGAAAATCTGGTCTGTTGCGGGCCTTTGCTCTCAAGGGAGATTAATATTTTAGCTATTCCTTTTTGTTCAGTGCTTCTAAATGTATTTGGAATGAAAAGAAAGGTTAAAGAGGGGCTCTGGGACGGCTAGCTTCAGAGACTAGATCATTTCATGAAGGGAAATCAATTAAAAAAGGTTGACTGTGAACATTTATCCATTTAGCTTAGCCGCTATTGAATTTTCATGATGGACTTCGACTCTTCGGAGAGAACGGAGTTAATGGCAATTGTTCCTTTCTCCTCAAAATTTATTATCTGGTTTATTCATGGAAAACACTCCATCAAACTAGATAGAGGCCTTAGGCCTATTGATAGATTTGCCTGTGTGGGGTTGGAATGGGGAGGTTTGTCACAGATGTCCAGCCTTTGAAGGAAAATTAAACAAGTATCTCATTACAGAATGCTTCACTGGTCCCCGGAGGTGGCCACAGACGCAGTGGATTTAATGAGCTGGGAACGTCAATGCTGCCAAAGTTTACCTCGACCTGTCTTTCTGAAGAACTCCTCTATTTAGGCCCACTCAAGCAAAGGAGAAAGGCACCACGCTGTTTTCTCCCTTTCAACTCCAAAGAAGGGGATAATGCACTTTTTGTGCCATGCATCCAGAGGAATTATGTGTGCTAATTTGATTAGGGGAGATTTGATTAACTGGAAAATGAGGGCTTTGCTAAGACTTTCACACGCTTAATTTATCCCTTGCAAAGCAGACGCAACATTGTGTCATGAAACTCAGAAGGCATATGGGAACAGTATTCAGTGGTTAGACGGCCTTTCAGACCCAACAATATCAAGGATTGCCACGGTTCATATTGGGATAATCATTTTAGAGCATTCGCTTTGCTGCAGAATACAAATTGGGTTTGGCATTGCCAGTTAAACGGTTCAAAGGATAATGAGATTAATATAGTAGGAAACTTAGCTGAGCAAAAAGCTTTTTTTTTTTTTTAACACCATTGCATAACTAGTTTTAAGGGGAACTTAGTTGAAAAATGCTTGGTTTTCTCCAAAGAATGCATTAATTATGTTTTGTGGTTCCATACACTCCTGGTCTTTCTTGCTAAATAAACATATCGTGCATCATCCAGATCTTGCTGAAATTTGGGGGATATGCATTGAAGCAGCCCCTGTTTCTCCATGAAGGTGTATGTCTGTGAGCCTGGCTGTGCAGTTGGGAGGCCTGGGGGAGAGGTCATGCTTCTACCATGGCGTTTTCCATTTTCCTTAAAATGTGCCTCAGCAACAGGCTGCCAAGATCTAATCCTGTTCCCCTACCCCCATAGCAGTTGGGGAATTACCAACAAAGTCTTTACCATCTGACATTCCCCAAGGGCTGTGTAAGGGGGCATCTTACCCCTGCTTTCTTGGGAGTATATATTTTTAAAAAGTTGAAAGGAGACCAGCAATGCCAATCTCTACTAACATCTGAAAAAAGGTCTTTTTTAAAAAAAGCATTTCACATTCAGAAGACACCTGGAAGGTCCCTGCAGAGAGAGCTCTGGGCTCCATGTGCCAACGATCTTTGAATAGAATCCCTTGGAGTTTCTACCCGTATGTCTTTTTTCTAAAGATCCCCTTGCCCTTGATGATTGCAAACTTCCACATAGCTTCAGAAGCCATCTTCATTGTGCCAAGTTTATTTACAAGCAGATTTGGCCCTCTCTGTACTTTGGCCTACATAGTACAAGCAACGTTTGAACTCCTGTTTTGCTCTTAGCACCAGAAGTTTGGGCTTTTCCATTAAAATCAGTCAATCAGGAAAGAGTGCATGCATGCTGGGTTTTAACTTTAACACAGGCTGGGTTTCAACTTTCATGGTGAATTAGGACTGTCTCCTGCCATTCTCCCTTGGCTTGCTGCACTGTAGAAAACTGTGAAAGGAGCCACTAACTAGGGCAGACCACTGGCCCAATTTGAACAGGACTGCTTTGTTTTAGCTGGACCTAGAGGTTTAAATCACAAGACGGCTACTGGATTCCCTTCTCCCCGACCCCCTCATGGCCACCACCACTAGCCCTCTGTAGGAGGAGAACTTCACTGAGCACCTGATTACCTGTTCTCGCTTTAGGATTAGATCAAGATAGGACAGAGAGGTTGTTCATTTGTAGGCTTGTTGCCTTACTGTAGGAGTAGTTGGATTGAGTCAAGCCATCCTTTTCCTTGGGAAACAGGCCCCTGCCGCTTTAAGTGGAGTTGCTGGGTAATCGTTCCGCTCGGTTGCATAACCAGAAAGGGATGTGTCAGGACTGGGACCTGCAGACAGCGAAGGCTTTATTAAAACGCTCGCAGAGACCTAGACAGATGAGTGGTCTCCAGTTGGAGTTCTTTCCATCTTCCCCATCTGTTCACTGCAGTTTTAATTAAATCTACTGAGATTATTTTTGGCCTTCTCCAGGAACAGAAAGCCAGCCTGTGCCAATGTCCACTCGTTTCTGTGCTTTACTGCCAGCCACTAATGAGCAGGCACATGGGGCACCCCTGCCTGTGTGCACCCCCTTCCTTTGCCAGCCATCATGAGTTGCTAATAGGGTAGGAACTAAAAGTGCCAAGCCCAGGCCTCTCCACCTTCTCCCACCTCCACCCCCACCCTCAGCCCCACCTTGGTGCTAAAGAAAGCCAGCTAACGAATGATTCCACTTGTGGTTAGCTAGCTAATGGGAATGACAGGCTTCAAATAACCTTAAAGCATGCAGCCCCAATGCTTGTCTGTCTGATCAGGGCCCTTCTGCTGGCACCTGACACTTTCAATACCATAATGGCATTCACATGCATTCTTTTTGAATGCTGTCATATAGCAAGACCTTTCTTCTCTTCGTTTGCTGGGAGGATGCCTGGCAAAGCTATTAAGTCTGTGATGGGAATGACAGTTAACTGCGGGCCTGTCAGTCCCACTTTGGAAGTCAGCACATCCTTATACCCATTAGGAGCATATCATAGGAACTTCAGAAATAACCTGCTGCAAGATACCATCAGGTTGTTGCGCTGCCTGCAAACATACCACCCAACGAGCTTTGCACATCATTCTGCCCTGCCTCTCATTAAGGGTCTGGTTTGTTGATATTTGGTAGATATTTGATTTCTGAATTTCAGATTGGGACATAGTAATTACTTCTGGAAGGTAGCATGGCTGTCCCCAGGTAGTTGGCAGGTGGTGGTTCTTCCTATTTATGGTCAGTGCTTCATGGATTTGAGGACTTCTGTTAGTTGGGTTTCCAAGAGAAGTTGTGTCTTGGAATCCATTTCCCTAATTGACCCCCTAGGTTTCCAAAGCAGACTCTAGGCAGATGTACATTTTTTATTGCACTTGAGTCCCAAATTCTGGCCTAATCACCAACACCAGTGCACTGGGCAGGACTGTGAGTGAGCCTCAGTTTCCCCTCTTGCCCCAAGTTCAAGGCCTACAAGAGACCCATCTGAGTGGCCCACCCTCCTCTGCGCTCCCTAAGAAGGAAAGGGGTCAAAGAGAGGGATCCGAGTGGTCCAGAGCAACTGCTGCCCCTGCTGAGCTGTGTTTATAACTTCTCATTCCTCCCACTGATAGTCTCACCCCTCCACAGTGATCCCTTGCTCTGTTCTTGAAGACTCCATTTTCATTGACCCATATCAGCACTTGCATTTTGGGGTTGATGTTGTGGAACCTAAACAATTAGAAGGTTGGACTTAGAGCTTTTAGAGTCTTGATTTGTCCATACATACAGCTTGACTTTCTGCTAAGACACACGCTTCCACTCCTAACCAGCAACCGAGAATCAACATCTTCTGTGTAATTTCCAGGAAATGCCTTTCAAACTCACTGCCATTAGGTAGCTCTCCAAACTTCACTTAGAGGAACAATGTTTTAGAAGGATTCCAAAAATAGGAATAAGTGCAGTCCTTTTTCTCTAGATTGGCATTTTCTGAAATGTTTCCTGGAATAGTCTTTTCGTAATATATTAATAGACGCCACTAGGATAAAGGATTTTGTTTGAAAAGTGTTGGATTAGATCAAATTAAGCAAAGCAGTGGAGAGGGCAATATTATGCTGTGTTTACCAAACAGCTTTGACCACAGAACACCTAGGAACATTTCATAGATCCCTTGGAACACAGTTTGGGAAATGCTACTCCAGAGGATCTGGAGTAAGACAAACCAGCAGAGAACCAGAGTTAGCCTTTCTGGTATTCCAGTTTAGAACAGCACCATATGCTCTGCAGATAGAGGCTCTAATAACCCTATGACACCAATGCCAGGACTTTTGAATGAATGAGTAGAAAAAAATATTATTTAGTGTGCTATGTGTTGTTTTGCTTATGTAGATCCTTGGGAGAAATAACACTCTGATTGCAGAGTTACGAATAATTGAGCCTTTTTTGAAGAGTTGGTTTTCCTTTTATCTTGCAACCCCCATGAACTGTGCAACTGCTTAGCTTCCCATCATCACCGTGGCTGCTGGAAGCCTAGAGCCAGCTTCCTGGCCCATCTGTTATAAATAAGTGGTTAAGTGATGGGCAGACTTCATTTCCATCTCCACTGTGCATACCCACATGGTTTATTTTTCCTTCTTTTCTACCAATAATTTTAAAAATCCTCCCCCCTCCCTGTTATCTTTTAAAGGTACCCTAAATCCTTTTGGTCCTTTAAGGTACTTTAAATCCTTTATCCTTTTGGTCCTTTAAGGTAACTTAAATCCTTCGGTGTAGGGAATATGTAAGTGATACATAACATTACCTGTTACCAGTCTTAGCTACTTAATTGATAAATTGACATTGGCTTGTCTGAGATTATTGTCATTTTGGGTTGATCAACAAGGTTGATGAGCAGTTGATGTATAGCCACAGCTACGGCAACAGTTTCTTAGTTTCAGAACATACCATGTGTTTTGTCTGGAGACTCTCTAATCACTGAAACATGAAAACAATTTACTAAGCTATGTTTTTTTCCCCAACTGTGGCAACATCATAAAGCATTTTTGTTCATATGTGTTTTATTGGGTTTTTTTTTAATTTTTTTCTTTATTTTTTTTTTATTTTTTGAGATGGAGTCTTGCTCTGTCGCCCAGGCTGGAGTGCAGTGGCGTGATCTCAGCTCACTGCAAGCTCCGCCTCCCAGGTTCACGCCATTCTCCTGCCTCAGCCTCCTGAGTAGCTGGGACTACAGGCGCCCGCCACCACGCCCGGCTAATTTTTTGTATTTTTAGTAGAGACGGGGTTTCACCATGCTAGCTAGGATGGTCTCAGTCTCCTGAACTTGTGATCTGCCCGCCTCGGCCTCTCAAAGTGCTGGGATTACAGGCGTGAGCCACCGCACCTGGCCTTTTGTCCATATGTGTTTTGTCCTCAGTAGATTCCTAGTAGAATATGAAAATAATTTGCAGAAGATATCCTAGAAAGTTAGAGCTAAAAGGGACCTTAAAGATCATCTAGTCTAGAGATGGCAAATAAGTTTCGATTGTCCTGCTATCTATGGTTTGTTAGTTGGCTGCCTGGAGGCTTGTATTGAAGATTCTGGGCCATGAAGGCATCAAAGGCTAAATCGATTAGTGATGTCTGCCATGAGCATGGCATGAAGGCAAGGAAGTGTGCATGCTGCACATTTTCTGTCCCTAGTTTCTCCCTTTTGACCAATGAAATCACCTGAGACAGAGGTGGCACTAGAAATCACGTCTTTATTCTAAGTCCAGGACTCTTTGTAACCCCATCTTGCTGAAGTAATTATTTTTCTTCCAACTATAAACGTTAGTAAACTAGAGCACCAAAACAATATGCTTCTTCTAGATTTGCCATTGAGTTCACTGTAAAGTGAAATACAAAACCAAGAATCAGTCCCCCTCTTCATTATTTTTCCCAACTTCTGATATAGTTGAGGAACGAGGCCTATTCTATACTGGGACCTACCCAAATTTTTCTTGTTTATACTTAGCCATATTATCATGATTTGGTTTTTTTTAATTAAGACTGTTTTGGTAAGACATATTCTCCAGCAAATTCATTTTCCCTGGGTCCTTCTTTGGTTAAGCATGTTGCTAGCTATAGCCAAACCAACAGGTCTAAGATGCCTAAGTTATATTATCTTTTCTTTTCTTCTTTCCTTTCTTTCTTTTTTTTTCTTTCTTTTTTTTTTTTTGAGAAACAGAGTCTCCCTCCTTTGCCCAGGTTGGAGTGGTGCAGTGGTGCGATCATGGCTCACTGCAGCCTCAACCTCCCCAGGGTTCAGGTGATCCTCCCACCTCAGCCTCTCGAATAGTTGGGATTACAGGCACATGCCACCACACCTGGCTAATTTTTGTTTTTTTAGTAGAAACAGGGTTTCACCATGTTGGCCAGGCTGGTCTCAAACTCCTGAGCTAAAGCAATCCACCCATCTCGGCCTCCACAAGTGTTGAGGTTGCAGGCATGAGCCATCATGCCCAGCCTTATATTCTCTTTTCTAAAAAAAAAAAAAAAAAAGATGAAGGGAGGAACATTTTAGAAAAATCAAGTTAGGCAGCTTTGCTATCTCAGTATGCAATGCTGAGAAGTGTCACTTTAACAGACTTAATCCTTTCAAATAATAATTCAAATGAAATTGAGATGAACAGTTTGGCTCTTAAGGACTTTTTTTCTTGAGACAATGGGATTCTTTTTTCTAAGCAATTAATTTGCTAATAAAAAAAATGGTGCTGCCCTGTTCCTTATTTGCTTTATTTCATGAGAAATCAGGTTGGCAATCTTGTTCACATATTTACCCATGGAACATTCCATTCCATCTCCTTCAATGCTGAAGACATGGGTTTCAAGCCTACCCTGCCCAGGGATAAGACAGAGCAGGTGCAATTAATAAACCATCTTTTCAAGCTTTCCTTCCAGTGGTTTGTAGACTGCTTTCTCCTGACATGAGTCAAGCTATTTAATGTGATGGAATTCATCTTGTAAGGCTCTCTCCATTCAGGCTAAGTGATTGAATTCACAATTCCTCTGATTTAGTGCCTCGTTTGTCACTTTCTTGAGGAGAGGTTTTTGGACCCATTTAGTTGGGAGATTGGCTGGAGCAGGAAGTCGGGGAGAATCTGCCCCTAAGCCACCATTTCCTTCCACTTCAAACATGATTCATAATCAGTCTGGAAGAAGCAGGAAGATAGAGGATGACCAACTGCTCTGAGAAGCAGGCTGCTGTGAAGTTGATTACGTTTGCAGGACAGCCTCTAAGATGTCTTCGAGGCCAGGACACAGACCCTCTAGAAGCCAGCCATTTTAGCCACTTGGGGCTCCACAACACAGTGCCTTCGAACGTAACCAGCACTGACTCGGTGGTGTGCACTGGGCCTCAAAGCACATTCCCGTCTCTTATCATTCAGTAGCCCAGTGCCAATTAGAGTGGACGTACTAGACGGTTTCACTCTTGCAACCCTGAAACAGTGGAGTTTCAGGGCTGAAAGCCAGTCTGACTTCATCCTGACCTTCAGCTATGCACATGTGCCCTGCGCTGTAGCGTGGCTGCCTGCTGAATGGGAATGGGGTAGGTGTGCTTGTCCCAGCATCATTGACATTCCAGGAGGCTGCTTCCTGCCGGTCCTCCCCCTCACCAGGTACCATGTTTCCTATTAGTTCTTCAGGAAGGAAGGCAGGTCAAAAGGGTGGATGAAGTAGGTCAGAAAGAGGGCAGTCTCTAGTAGGAGGGGACACAGACTTATTTACTGGTAGGAATTCTCTCCTGTGGAAAAACAGTTCCGAATTCAGCCTCAGGATACAAGCCCCACCTCTGGAGGTGCTCAGGCCATGAGGGCTGCAGCTGCAGGTCTTCTGTTCGTCAACCTTTTTCTCTTGAGCTGAACACACCAGACTCCCTGCAGAATTGCTTGGGTGTGCAGGGAGAGTCAGGTTATTTTTTAATTGAAAAAGACATTTTTTCTTGAGAACATGGGAACACTACAAACCTTCAAGGCAAATGGAAGAACAAATAGATGTTCCAGTGTCTAGGCCCAGAACAGGAAGTTTTACGTTGTGTTTAACAGATACGACAGGATTTGCAGAGGAACTTTAAAGGAGCCCAGGAGTCCGCTGAAAATGTATTTAAAGTTTTGTTTGTGTGCTTGTGCATTTGCCTCAGAAGATGGTTCTTGGCTTTCATCAGATTTTCAAATAGAATCTGTAACCAAAAAAATAGTTGAGGCTGGGTGTGGTGGCCCATACCTGTAATCCCAGCACTTTGGGAGGCCAAGACAGGAGGATCACTTGAGGCCAGGAGTTTGAAGCTAGCCTGGACAACCCAGTGAGACTCCTTTGCTTCAAAAAAAATTTTAAAATAAGGCCGGGCGTAGTGGCTCACGCTTGTAATACCAGTACTTTGGGAGGCCGAGGCGGGCAGATCACCTGAGGTCGGGAGTTCGAGACCAGCCTGACCAACGTGGTGAAACCCCCATCTCTACTAAAAATACAAAAAAATTTGCCGGGCATGGTGGCTCATGCCTGTAATCCCAGCTACTCGGGAGGCTGAGGCAGGAAAATTGCTTGAAACTGGGAGGCGGAGGTTGTGGTGAGCCGAGATTGCGCCATTGCATTCCAGCCTGGGCAAGAAGAGCGAAACTCCGTCTCAATAAATAAATAAATAAATAAATTAGCCGGGTGCGATGGCATGTGCCTATAGTCCCGGCTACTCAGGAGGCTGAGGTGGGAGGATCGCTTAAGCCAGTGAGTTCTAGGCTATGATTGCACCACTGCATTCCAACCTGAGCAACCTCCAACCTGTTTCAAAGAAAAAAAAATGTTGAGATTCATTGGGCTCTTAACCAGAGACTAACTATGCACACGCCACTTTGGAAATGTATGCTGTTTGTTACCCACCACAGTACTCTCACCCACCTGACCCCTTCTCCCTATCCAACCTTAGCCTTAACCAAGAACAGACCTGGTTCCTAGTAAGCCATGTTTCCATTCACCAAGGTTTGGGGAGCCTTCCCTGACTATAAAAGAGACTCTGCTATCACTTTTATTTCATCTTAATTCAGGCATTTTTTTAATGTGGTGTAGTTGACTTGTTTCTAAATTCCTTTACATTTTGTATTGTTCACACAGTAAAAATGTCTATTTTACCATTCCCCATTCTAATTTTTCATCATTTAGTCAAAGGTGGGGCCAAAATTGAGCTTTAGTCTATGTATAGTAAGGTTTTGTTTCATTTTGTTTTGTTTTCTTTCAACCAGAAGAATAAAATCAGAATTTTAGAGCTTGTCTTACCCAACCCACTTTTTTTTTTTTTTTTTTAACCAGAGATGTTAAGTCGTTTTTCAAGGTCAAACATCTAGTTGGTAGTAGAGGTAATGAGTTGTTTTATTCTTTGCTCTTATCGAAGAAAGGAAATTATAGAATTAATGGAATTTTATGAAGTTGGGGGTTTTCTTTATCGTTATCATTAAAAGAACGCAGTGTGGTTTTATGAAAGCCTCACACAGGCTGTCTTCTCAGCCCTTTTCAGACCCGCACTCTTTCCTCCATCCACATCCTCTCCCTTCTCCCCAGCCCCAACCCTTCCTTCCACGTCAAGCTGAGTATACAAAGCATCCCATATTTCAGGCTGAGGCCTACGGAGTGGGTTCCCACTGGACCCTCTAGCAGCCTGCATTCTCCGACTTGAATGGCTGCATGTGGAGAGTATGTATATTTGTTCAGAGCTCTTGCTTTAAGTTACCCCTTCCCACCACGTTGCCCAAAGAAATAGGAATGTGAGGGGAAAAGGAAAGGAAAAATACCACAGGTATTTTCCCCTCTGGGGAAGCTTGGGACTCACCACTTCACAGAATTCAAGGTACAGAAGCATCTTTTCATTTAGCAGAAGGCTGCAAAGTGTGGGTAGAATGCTGAGTTTTGTTAATGAATTGCTGTTCATTTCCCTCTTCATCGTTCTTAGTAGCTTTTAGAAAATGTGTCTGCTTTTGACTTGAGCCTTCTACAAGGCCAGAGATGTTTCTACAGAGAGCCCTTTTCTTGCAAATAAGAACTCCTTTCACTTTTGTTCATATTGTCCCACCATGTTGCTGCCTTTAAAAAAAATGTGTTGTATATATAACCTAGATTATGTCCCTATAAAGTGAGTTTGTAACGACTCCCTCATGAGCTTAGCAAAAGTATGTCTAGACAATTTTTTTTGGCTTTTCCCCCCAAACTTCTTTGGGTTAAAAATAGGGAAGGACTTGTTTTAATACAGTGTAGTACTGTATCTTTAACCTTTTGTCCAAACGCATATTGCCTGTTTAAGTTTTATTTAGAGAAAGTGTGTAACTTATAAACCAGCTCGCTCAGACCTTGGGGCCGCCCCTGGCTGGTCTTCCTGCTGCCCGTGGATTAGCCTAGTCTCCAGAAGTGTTTTACAGGAAGCTTAGGCGGAGGGAAGCACTTAATTATTATCCAAATTTTTCCCTTTAGTTAAGTCTTACGGTAAGATATCCCAGAGATTATATTTTTAGCAACCACTTTAAAGAGACTGGGGAGATTAATTTAAAATTGATAATCGCATGGCAGCACCACAGCCTAACAAGCTCAAGGTCTGCCTTGTGGAGCTGGCTGCTCTCTGGGGACCCCAGTTCAATTCTCTTTGCTGCCAGTTGAAATCAGAAATCACAACCGCAGTGATTAGCAGTGAATTCCCTGATCTCCCTGCTCGAGGCAGAGGGAGAGGGGGCCTGTTTTCTAAGTAGCCAGTCGTTAACTCTTTCATGGGAGGGGCGGAGGCAGAGGTAGTGATTCATGGGTGTGAGGTGGGGCCTAGTAATCTACACCTTCACAGAAACTTCCCAGGTAATGCTTAGAGTCCCCAGCTCTGGGAGCTTCTGTTTTTAGGGGAGTGGTGGACAGTGAGTGAAGAAAGAGCCTTTTGGGCCCATCCAAGGCTGCCCTCCAGGCACCATGACCGCTGAAACCCGCACCGCACGGCTCAGGCCTCTGCCGAGCAACTCTGTCCTTCTGGGCGAGCCTTTCTTTGTGGAAGAAAGCAAAAAAAACTGCCTTCTGTCCCTCTTCCAGCATTCTTCTTTTAAAAATGGCCTCTGGCTACCAAGTGGACAATTATGGATAGCTCTGTAGAGCAGCGGTAAGCAGTGTTAATTAGCTGCAGGATATCAGAAACAAAAATGAAAATATTTTCCCTGTGGGCCAAACAAAATTAATTTTAAAAATTAATGTAAACCACTAATGCTGCAAGTGCCTCCATTAAATTACAGGACTGTGACATGTACAATGCTATATTTTTGCCGTTGAATTTGTTATCTAAGAGGTGTTCATTGTTTGTTACGGTGTGAAAAGCTGTTTTCCTCCAGATAAGCTTGTTCATTAGGAAACTGGATCTCTGCCACCACCCTGTTTCTTCGCACTGAAGTAATGCCCTGTAGCATAAATGTAGACAGCCGCACTGCATTTAATATCAGAAATGTAAATCAAAAGCGTCCAGTCTGGTTTTAAATGGCTTCAGTCTTTCCCAGGGTGAAATCTGGGGAAAAATTTCTTCTCTGTGCAGCTTCTGACACCACTGCTTTAGCAGACAGGCCCTGAAAGCAGGCTGATAATTATTAAACAAAGTATCTTGTTTCCCACTGAGGTCTCCGGATCGCTCTGTCATTAGACTGGATTTATTTCTAGGGTTTCATTCACGCTGTGACAGCTTGGGATTTATAAGTTCTGTGTTTTAATTTCAGGCAGAAATGAAACTGGTCAATTGCAATTTGGGAGGGGGAAGAACCCTTGATAAAAGGGCTGTGCATCCTAATGCCTAAATACAGAGCCAGAATAAAGAAGGCATCTTGGGTGGCATGCTGCGACTTCAGCCACAGCTGCCAGCGAACTTGAGCCAGCCCTGGGGGCAGTACAGAGACAGGCCGAGAACGCCATGCTTAGTGCAGCCCCAGAGCACCCCTTCACACCACAGGCCCCTGTTCCAGGGAGGCGAGTGCTGGCCTTGCTCTGAAGAAGGAAGGGGGAGCAACCAGGAGGAATCCCTCGTCCTGCCAGCCACGAAGGGCGTGTGCTGGGGCAGTGACTGAAAACTTCAGTGTTTCTCTGGCTCTGTCTTCATTCCAGAAGCTCTGGCACACAGGTGGAAGCCTGGCCTCACCCAGCCAGGAGCATGTAGGTTCTCCTTGAACCTCTGCACCCTGCTTTTCAAGGTGTTGAGTAAGCTCAGTGTCTGATTTCTTTTTTTCAAAGGGAAACCAAAATTATTAACTCCTCTGATATCCTTTCTGGCTCCTATTTACTTACTTAGCAAGCATCTAATTCAGCACTATTTCAAATCTGAGGGGTGTGTTGGTAACCAGTTGGGAGCTGAGAGAAAACCTGATTAGCAGTAAGCTTATTTCCATAGAAACAGGCCAATTAAGATGCTGTGTGAAAAAGCAGTGGAGAGCCCTGACCAGTCAACTTTTGGGGGTCCTGCAGGGGGCAAACTGTCCCTGCCCTGCTGTGGAAACAGCTGGACTGACACACAGAGAGGAGACTCTAGTCCTCTGGGGGGTGCTGTGGCTTTCTGCGGGGCTGCTGGTGTTTTCTTGCGCTCAGAGCACTTTACAACACAGGCCTGAAACAGAGCAGCATCAGGAGGGTCGCTAGAGCTACACTCCCGCTTCTCTTCCAGAATCCCCTATTTGACTGACCAGGAAACTGAGGTTCTCATTAATGACTTTTCTGCCAAAAGAGGCACAAACAAATGAACTCCTTCCGAGAGCCCTATCAGATGTTGCAACGTAAGAGGCTTCTAGTCGGTCATACAGATCGCGTATATTAACATAGGAACTGATCTGCCATCACCAAGGTGACCATAGGTCCTGGTTTGCCTCAAACAGCCCCAATTTATGCCTGCTGTACTTGTTAACAGTGGATATCTTCACTCTTAAAAGTATCCGAGTTTGAATTCTACGGGATGATCACCCTCGCTATTACCCACAATCTAGCCAGTTGGTTCAAGGCGAATAACCCCTAATGGGACCAGTGAATTAGAATCTCTTGTTTAAAAGTTGTGGAAGGCTACATGTGGGACAAAACCAATGAAATAAAGATTTATTTATTTATTTATTTATTTATGTATGTATATATGTATGTTTTGAGACAGTGTCTTGCTCTGTCGCCCAGACTGGAGTGCAACGGCGCGATCTCGGCTCACTGCAACCTCTACCTCCCGGGTTCAAGCTATTCTCCTGCCTCAGCCCCCTAAGTAGCTGGGATTACAAGCATGCGCCACCATGTCTGGCTGATTTTTGTATTTTTAGTACAGACAGAGTTTCACCTTGTTGGCCAGGCTGGTCTCGAACTTCTGACCTCAAGTGATCCTCCTGCCTCAGCCTCCCAAAGTGCTGGGATTACAGGCATGAGCGATCGCGCCCAGCCGAAATAAAGTTTTAAAACACTCGAAACAATGCTACATGGCATTTGTATCTATGTACAAATATAGCAAAAGTATAAATGCCATACCGTGCATGATAAATATCAAATTGGTGAGTGTGTACCCTGCGGGAAGATATCTGAAATATATATTTCTCCAGCTATATGGTGGCTCTACAGGTTTTCCTTACATGTATTCTTATGTTATCCTATACTTTTCCTGTAGTCCAAAAATATTTCATAATTTAAAAAGAAGCAAGCAGGCCTTCAGCCAACAGAGAATGGTTTCATTAAAGTAGGGGAGTGTATTTGTTGGGGTGCATGTAAGGAAGGGAAGGATTCTATTTAGGGTTAAACATCTCAAGAATTGCTCCAGGAAATGATGCGATTGGGAGCATGACTGAAGCGTTGCATTGTACTCTGGGATAGCACTGGTAGACAGGCACTCCAGAAAGCACAGGATGCCTGCCCATTGCATTGATGTTTCTCGAGTTCTCAGCACTAAGGCTTGCATCCTAAACTCTGGTGTGGGAAAGCTAGCTGCATATTTACGTTCTGGGTGGATTTGCCTCCGGAGACCCTGCTGTTCAATCCCATTCAGTTTGCAGGTTAACATTTACTGTTCCTGTCCTTGAGGTCAGCACTTGCCCACAGATTTTCCTAATTTCTTTATTTTACTCTTCCTCCAACAATTGCAATAACTTGGATACTTTCTCTTCACTACTTGCAGGAAACAGGAAGGAGGCACACAGTGTGATACACAGTCTTGGGTTGATGTCTGTTTTCAAACATGTTTTTGGAATCTCCATTTGAGTAGTTTAGGTCTAATTCCAGTCATACCAACTGGCTTATAAAAGCCACCAGGAATGGGTAAAATTGCTCCAGAATGGGAAGGGAGCAGCATTCCATATGGCAAGGGATTTTTCTTTTTTCTTTTTTGAGACAGAGTCTCACTCTGTTACCAGGCTGGAGTGCAGTGATGCCATCACGGCTCACTGCAGCATCAACCCCCCTGGACTTGAGCAACCCTCCCACCTCTGCCTCCTGAGTAGCTGGAACAAGAGGAACATACCACCATGCGGGCTAATTTTTTAACTTTTTGTAGAGATAGGGTCTCACTCTGCTGCTCAGGCTGTTCCTGAATCCTTGGGCTCAGGAGATTCTCCCATCCCAGCCTCCCGGAGTATTGGGATTACAGGCATGAGCCACCACACCTGCCCAGGAAGGGATTTTTCAAGAGGAAATGAGACAGAAAGAGTTTGGACTGAGTGCACATCTTTCTCTACCCTCAATGATGTTTGTTAGCACTGCATCACCTGGCCTAGATGGTCCTTGGCAACTAGGTGACTGATCTGAGTATTTTACATTGCAGCATCTGTACACAGGTGATCTGTATACAGCAAGTGATTCCTGTAAGCTCCTTGACAATAACAGCAATAATAACCTTTACTCAGCACATGCTGCATCCCAGGCACTTTGGTGCAGCACTTTACATGACTTTCTGTCTTCCATCCTCACAGTCACCCTTTGAGGTGGGTATTAGGATGAACCATGTGAAACTGCCATTTTTGTAGGTCAAAAACAGTCAAATATTGGCAATTGTATGTGGTCCAATCTAATAATCTTTTTGTAATCAAAAACAGTCAAATATTAGCAGTCCTATGTGGTTCAATCTGATCATCTTACTGTATTTGCTTTGCAAATAGAGAAATTCAGACATTGAAACTTGCTCAAAGTCCACCCATCTACCAGGTGCCAGAACTGGAATTTGAACAAGGTACTCCCCTCCACACCCTCACACTGAACTGCCGCCGCACAGTGCTGTCTCCTTGGGTGGAAGAAAAAGGCATATTTTTGTGGCCTAGGTGTTAAATAGGTTCTTCAACAACACCTCGGCCAACTTTGAGATCAAAGATGGTTGGTCAGATGAATCAAATGTTTCCTGGAGTCTTGGGTTACACTCGTAATGCTCTGTTTAAAAGGAATGATATGTAGTGAGCACATCAGAAATCTGGAAGATGGAAAATCTCTCTTTAGGATCTCTGCTCCTCTCTCGAGCAAAGAAAGAAATCGGTGTGGTGCCAGCAGAGGTGTTCTCAGCAGGACCTGGCCCATTAAATGAAAGACTTCCATGCTGAGCCAATCAAGAGAGACCTGGACAAAAATCAGACTCTTTCCTGCCCTGGAAACCCATGCCTTGAATCTGTAATTCATCTGTTAAATCAAGTGTGCAGCCGGTGGTTTAGCACAGAGGGGGACGACGGGGAAGAGAGAGGGGCAGGAGCTGCAGCACTTGAATTTCCAGCATCAGAGTCCAGTTAGGGAAAAGAAACAGAGCTGTGATAGCTTCTTGGACCTTATGTTTCCAGCAAAGAGAAAGCAGCAGGAAAGATTTTTGAAAACAGATGAGCTGGTGGAAGGTATTAGAACAATGGCGGAAGAGGCAGGGACCCCAGGGGCTGAACAAAACACAGTTCCGCTGTTGCCTTTCAACAAGACTGAATAAAGTTTAGGATTTTTTTTTTATGGGACTTGTAGCCGTTTTTAAACTTTCATTTTTCATAATGTCACAGATAATCTTTTTATCTATTATCCACTGGCTCTTTTCTGAGAGGCATTTGCATCAAATAGTGCTGTACAGATCATGACTGTCTCTAGTGGGGAAAGCAGCTTGAAATGAAAGGTTATTCACTCCCTCTGCTTTCGCTGGCTTTGTTCTTGATTCTCACACATTTTTTTACATCTGAATTCGGGTATTTCTGGAGTTTTTCTTTAGAAACCCTTCCATTCTGAGATCTAAGCATATTCAGACTCCGATCTATATATCAGGGGTTACAAAGCTTATGCCTACTGAAAGTGAAGCATGTACTTTGAAACATTTGTTGGATACCCCATGGTTTCCAAAATCCCTTCAGAGCATTTCCTACAGAGGCAGCAACCGTAAAAAGCGGCCAGTCACACAGTGGGGGCCCTTTCCCTAGCACTGGCCTCCTGGTGGCAGTGGAGCAGTGGCCTTCCAAGCATGCACTGCGAGACATGAGTGGGGCAATCCGCTCCTTCCAACTGCAGGGAGAACGGGTCTGCAGAATGAATTCTCTTTCTCCACTCCTCCCATGTGGGGAACAAACGAGAGCCCTCCCAGGGGGCGAAGTGGAGCTGCAGGAGAGCATGGTGGAAAACCCAGGAGCCACCTGGGCTAACAGGGAATCAAAAATGACCTTTTTGTGCACAAAACCCCCTGGGAAAAAAAATGACCTAGAAAGAAGTGGGGTTATGGCCAGGTGCGGTGGCTTACGCCTATAATCCTAGCATTTTGGGAGGCTGAGGTGGGCAGATCACTTGAGGTCAGGAGTTTGAGACCAGCCTAGCCAACATGGCGAAACCCCATCTCTACTAAATATTCAAAAATTAGCGGGATGCGGTGGCAGACGCCTGTAATCCCAGCTACTCAGAAGGCTGAGGCAGGAGAATAGCTTGAACCTGGGAGGCGGAGGTTGCAGTGAGCCGAGATTATGCCACTGCACTCTAGCCTGGGTGATAGAATGAAACTCTGTCTCAAAAAAAGAAAAGAAAAGAAAGAAAGTCGTGGGGATATGACTGATAGTTTCTGTTCAGCTTCTATTATAGTTTCTTAACTCATCACCCCAAGCTCCAGGGGGACTCTGGGGGAAGGTTGAGACCAGGTTTGTTCTCAGGCCTGCCTGACAGAGCCCCTCAGGAAAGCATCATCCACTCCAGCTTTCTCCTCTGCTGTTCCCCACTCAAACACTCCTGCCATTCCCTCTCAGAAAGCCCAGAAACCTTTCTTCCCCTCCCCAGGAGGAGGGAGAGCAGTCTGCAGAGGCAAGGCCTGAGTGGCCACAATGACTTAGGTATTCCAGCTGTGCCCAGAACTTGGTCTCAGACAAGTGCACCCAGGTTAGTAGTGACCTCAGAGAACAGTGGCCAGGAACTTGTTTTTGCATTTGTGTGTGTGTGTGTGTGTGTGTGTGTGTATGTATGTATATATATATATATATGTATAAAATAAGGGGGCACTGGCCCCCAGAGAAGTACTGACAACAACCTCTGGTTAGAGGGCAGTTCTTTGCAGCTTTTGATGACAACCTGCGAGGAGAGAATGTTGCTCTCAATTGTTCAAGAAACTGAAAGCTTAGAGAGGTTGAAGCGATTTGCCAAGTTCACGGGCTGGTGACGGAGTGGGCCTCAGAACTCAGATCTTTCTGACTCAAACTGCCTTGTTCTTACCATCCCCTATCTCCCTAGAGGTTGTTAGAACTTTTGGGGGCATACTGTTCCTTTATTTTAGAAACTCTTTGGATATAGGGTAGTGGTTGAAGCAGCTCTGAGGATCTGTTTTGAAGAGAAGGGTAGCATTGTTAGACTAGTAGGGTAATTTCCTTTTCCCAAGCTCGTCCCTCCAGACCTTTGAGCCGGTCATCATAGTTTTATATTTTATGACCGAAAAGAAACTTCTGTTAAATCGTAAATACACTAAAAGCCCTGGTGCCTAAACACATGAACGTATTATCTCCTTGAGCCTGGAAATCTCCCAGCAATGTGGCAGGAATGTAGAAACAGTCTGAGTTGTCAACAAAACATAACAGATTTCCCAGTTGTAACAAACATACGTGTAGTTGTGAATGGAAAACTCTCCCAATAAGCAAAATAATGGCCTTTTTCGTGTTGTTTTCCTCATTTACCATAGCTGTCCTTTCAGAGTGCCATCGGTTTCAAATGTTTCATTGTATTGATATTTATAACACTTCTAGTAAGCAGAGTGCCCACTACATTATTTTTATTTAACTCTCTCCAGAGTTAAAGGAACTTGTAGTTAAGGTGTCATCTTTCAGATTTACAATTTTACCTAGATTGGCAACATGGGTGGCAAAGTGCTTGGAACTAAGACAGAAAAGTTGGTTCCAGTCCTGGCCTGCCTTTGTGTGTGACTTGAGTAAGGCTCAGGAAGAGAGGCTGCTGATACCCACCCCACCTGTCCCCACCCCACCTGCCCCCACCCCAGATGGGTCCCAAGGCAAATGTGAAAGATTAGGTGCTCCTGAATGTGACACCAGACGTGGTGTGACAGAGCCCATTTGTGGGTGTCTGTTTCAAAGCTTTTGGTTCATAGGCCATGCTGCCCGCTTTGCTGGAGGAAAGTTCCAAGACCCACACCAGGCTACTCCTTGACAGGAAGCTTTTGTTCCTAGCAACGGGTTTACCCAGTCTTTGTTTGTTTGTTTGTTTGTTTGTTTGTTTTGAGACAGGGTCTCACTCTGTCCCCCAGGCTGGAGTGCAGTGGTGCTATCTCAGCTCACCGCAACCTCCACCTCCAGGTTCAAGCGGTTCTTCTGCCTCAGCCACCCAGGTAGCTGGGATTACAGGCACTGGCCATCACGCCTGACTAACTTTATATATTTTTAGTAGAGACAGGGTTTCACCATGTTGGCTAGGCTGGTCTCAAACTCCTGACCTCAAGTGATTCTCCCGCCTCAGCCTCCGAAAGTGCTGGGGTTACAGGCATGAGCCACCCCGCCTGCCCCGACTCTCTTCTTAATATGCTCCATGCGTTTGTTTATGCTCCCCCCACCTGCAACATACTTTGTAGTCTACGCATGTGTCAGGGCTATTTGCTGGTCTCTTTTCTCTCACCCTGATCTGGCTGTGAGCAGATAATCCCCCATTCCTCAATTTGGCTGGTACTGCAGTTGGCACGGCTCTCCAAACTCTGCAGCCACCAGACATGTAGAAACAAACCTCTAGGCTTCCCAGGAGGCTCACGGACTGCCTCATGGCTGAGCCTTCAATAGAGATGATCATCTATGAAAATAATAACAAAAAATGTTGCTGGTTATAAATGCAATATATGCTCAATAGAAATAGTAGTCTATAAAATTAGAAAGTTATGCTGTTATAAATAGAATATATGCTCATTGTAAAAATGTAGAAAATGTAATACATATTAAGAAAAAATATTCATATTTGCCATCGATATATATTTTACATATTTGTATGTTTTTTCAGTATGACACATCAAAGAAAGGGCAGAATCTTCTTTCTTCTCTTAACTTTTTGTCGTGAGCAATACAGTGTTAAGTTCAGGGAAGGAATTGAGTTCGGAGCCAAACTGCCCAGGTTTGAATTCAGCTCTGCCACTTGCTAGTTGTGTAATACTGCTTTTTTGTTTGGTTTGGTGTATTTTATTTTATTTATTTTATTTTTTTTTGAGATGGAGTCTTGCCCTGTTGACAGGCTGGAGTACAGTTGCACAATCTCAGCTCACTGCAACCTCCGCCTCTGGGTTCAAACAGCTCTCCTGCCTCAGCCTCCCGAGTAGCTGGATTACAAGTGTGTGCCACCATACCCAGTTAATTTTTGTATTTTTAGTAGATATGAGGTATCACCATGTTGGCCAAGCTGGTCTCGAACTCCTGACCTCAAATGATCCCACCCGCCCTGTCCTCCCGAAGTGCTGGGATTACAGGCATGAGCTACCACGTCCACTGCCTGCCTGTCTTTTACTGAAGTTGTAGATGTCCTCTTTGCCTATTCTCTGAATTCTACCCCTACCCTACCCATGGTGACCCACAGAGTGCTTTGTATACAATAGGGGTGTCATTAATGTTTGTTGAACATAAATGAATTAAAATATAACATCCTAAAAGTGATTTCAAACTTTGGAATTTAGGTTTTGTTGTTTTTGTTTTTTATTAGAGACGGTCTTGCTCTGTTGCCCAGGCTGCAGTGCGGTGCCACCATCTTGACTCACTGCAACCTCAAACTTCTGGGCCCAAGTGATCCTCTCACCTCAGTCTCCTGAGTAGCTGGGACTACGGGCACAATCCACCATGCTAGCTACTTTTTTTTTTTTTCTTGTAGAGATGGTGTTTCACTATGTTGCACAGGCTGGTCTTGAACTCCTGGCCTCAAGCGATTCTCCTGCCTCTGCCTCCTAAAGTGCTGGGATTAACAGGCATGAACCACCATGCCTGACCTGACTTTGGACAAGTTATTTGGCATTTATAATTCCACTTTCTCATCTACAAAATAGAGACAATAATAGTACCTACCTCATGGGGCTGTTTTGAGGAATTAACACAAATAAAGCACTTAGAATAATGCTTCGTGCTGTGCAGTAAGCACTCAATAATCTAAGTTGGTAATATTCCTGTTTTTATATCGTGTTTTAATAAATGAGAACATAACATTTTAAAATCAAGGAGCTGTGATTTCATGCTCTGCACACTGCCTCAGTGACATAAAGACTGGGACTGAAGCTGGGGCATCACTCCCTTTGGTTTCCCCTCTCCTAGGCCCTTAGTCACATACACCTTGGAGAACAGGCACAACCGAGAGGACCTGCATTTCAGTGATGTCCGAGGCCAAGGGACAAGGCCAGATTCTAGTCAGGTGATAATGGAATGAGAGTGTTCACTGCACATGTCTTAATGAATGGAGATGATAAGGGGTCACCAAGCCCTATATATTTATAGTGCTTTATTTTTCATCCAAAAACACAAAGTGCTGTTTAGTCCCCACAACAATCAGGAAAGCGAGGAACTATTCTTCCCACTGAGGGGATGGGAAAGCTGAGTCCCCTTGGTGGGACCGGGCTGCAGGCGCAGGGACTTGCTCCCCTCAAACTGTTGTGGTCTCACCACAGTCAGGACCAGTCACTTGAACAGCTCCCATTTCCCCAGAATGATTCTATAGAGAGGCAGGAGAACCCTGGACCCTGAGCAGGAGACTTCAGTCCAGGGGCCAGCAGCGCAAGCACAGCGTCATAGAACATCATAGAACATAGAACATTATTCTGCTCAGGGCAAAATAATGTGGGCTGCACAGTCTGGCCCAGGCAGCCCTCAGTGTTGTGCCCTCAAGTGTTGAGATGACAGGAGGATGGGGTCAGGCCAGTGATCCTCAAAGTCAGAAGAAGAATACTATGCCTCAATCCTACTCATTTCCTTTCCAAACTCTCCCTAGAGGGCCTCTAACTGTGGCTGAGGGGAGGGGCGGCACTTTTTGATACACGGTGCAACTTGCCCACTTTGACCCTGACCTTTGCTCTGTCCCCTTCAGGTGACCCTGGCAAGTAGCTTTTTAGAGCAGTGGTTCTCAAACTTGAGTGTGTGCAGAATCCCCTGGGGTTGGGGGGCAGGGCTTTGAAAATACAGATTGCTGGGCCCCACCCCTAGAGTTTCTGATACAGTGGCTCAGGGATGGGCCCAATAATTTACATTTCTGACATCTGGGTTCCTGGATGCTGCTAGTGGAGAGAACCGGTGATTTGATAGCATTGGTGAGCTGGCTCAACTCTCTGCTCAGGAAAGTGACAGGATGCCTCAAATGCTGAGTGCTGCGTATTCAAATTCCAAACACAAGGCAACTAGGATGGGAGCCCTTCTAGACTCTGTGTATTCAAGGACCAGGGAGAGGCTTAGCAGCTCTCAGCTCTCCTGGCACAGAGAGAGTTCTCTGAAGCTTGCTGTTTTTCTCTCTCCTACTTTGATAGTTTCCTCCATTTGTATGGGCGGAGGTTGCAAAGGCCAGAATAGACTCAGCGAGAGTGGGAGATGGGGGTGAGTGAGTGTGTTCACTTTTGATGAGGAGCAGATGTGACAAGCACTAAAATGGAGTGGGCAATAAGAATTATTACTAGCTGAGGCCGGGCACAGTCGCTCACACCTGTAATCCCAGCACTTTGGAAGGCCGAGGCGGGTGGATCACCTGAGGTCAGGAGTTCAAGACCAGCCTGACCAACATGGAGAAACCCTGCCTCTACTAAAAATACAAAATTAGTCGGGCGTGGTGGCACATGCCTGTAATCGCAGCTACTTGGGAAGCTAAGGCAGAAGAATTGCTTGAACCTGGGAGGCGGAGGCTGCAGTGAGCCGAGATTGCACCATTGCACTCCAGCCTGAACAAGAGTGAAACTGTCTCAAGAAAAAAAAAAAAGAATTATTACCAGCTGCTTTGTGGTCAGGATGTCCCAAGCTGGCACTGCAGCAACCGCTGTTAGGGGGCTTGGTGCCATTTGCAAGGATGTCATCCTCAGCCACTGGTTTCTAGGCAGCCCCTCCAGGAATTCCTCTTCCATGCACCTCCTTGGGCAGAGCGTTGAGGTGTGGTGGCTGAAATTCAGGAATTATTGTGGAAGCTTGAGTTTGCATGCCCACTCCGTTTCCTACTAACTAGCTCAGGGGCGGGGGAGTTTCTGAACTATGTTGGCATAGTTCAGAAACTTAATGTTTAAGTGTCTTAATGTATACGATGGAGATAATGCTCTCTGATTTACTGACCTCTCGGGTTGTGGGCTAGACACCAGAGTTTCAGAGTTCTCGGTGCACTGCTGTGTATTCCTGGGAATGCCCCTGAGGGTGGAGCTCTCTGTAAGGAAGGCAGCCCCAAGGGCAGGGCTGGTCTCTTTAGAAAGACTAGGAATGAGGACACCCGGCGTCCAGGCCTAGCTTTTCCACCCACTCACCTTCACAGCTCCTTCATCCTTTCTGCTTCAGTTCCCTCCTCTGTAACATGAAGTTGGAGTAGATACTTCATTCAGAGCATCTTCCGGCTGTAAATGGCTTGAGCCCATTGTCAACTGGAAGACAGAGTGTGACGTCTAAAAACCCAAACAGCAAAGAGCATCTCTTCCAAACCACCCAATCTGGAGAGGTGGGGCAGTTTTGTGGTTCCGGCACCGACACCGTCCCTTTCACACGGTACTGAGCCGCGGGCTGCTTCGGGGCGGCCCTCCCCGCCCCGTGCCTTGCCGGGATGGCAGAGCGGATCAGAAGCTGCGCGCGCTCTGCCTGCGCGCTTTGCCTGCGCGCTTTGCCGCCGCAACCCGCGCAGCAGCCAATCCGCTGGTGCACTGCAGGTGACCTCCCCCGGGCCCGGGAATAAATTGTCAAGTTTCCCCACCGTGGGTGTCTTTGCTAGCCGGCGAGTTGCAGTCTTCTGAGCTAATTAGGAGACGGTCATGAGGAGCGAGGCGGGCCGGGGCGCTCCGCGGGCCGGGGCGGGGCTGGGGCGGGCGGCGCGCAGCTCCTGGGCCGAGGCATCCGCGAGCCGCGGGTAGATCGCTCGCGTCTGATCGCCGCCCGGGAGCTCCCGCGGAGCCGGCTGCCAGGACTCGTTCCAGCTCCAGTGCGGGGCTGCCCGGGCGTCCAGAGGCGGCGGACGGCGTGCCGGCAAGTTTCCCCGGCACCTGCCAGTGCCCGCGAACCCACCTCGGAAGCCAGACCCGGGGAGGCAGAGGCAGAGGCCGGCTGGCTCCAGCCGTGGTACCGCACGGCTGCCACCCTCGGACTTCCGTCTTGAGTCTCCTGAGGCTGAGAAGCAGCAGATGCCGAACCTGCCCCCTGACGTGGACGTACACCTCAAGACCTAAAATGCGCCCTGCCTGGAGACTTTGAACTTAGTCTTCTGGAAATGCGGAGACCGCTTCGGGTGGTTTTGTTTTTGCATCCTCTTCGGCTAGGTTTGGCTTTGGGATTCTCTGGCTACCTGGATACGCCTTTCCTTTGTGGGCAAGTCTCCCGCGGATCGCAGCACCAGCAGCCAACCCTGGGGCACACCAGCCTTTAAAACCCCCGAGCCTGGAGACGCATGGAGCTAGAGAAGAGGACCCAACTCCTGACCACGTAAGGACTCTGATTCCACCTTTCCCGTGATGGAGAGAAATATAATTTCATGGCAGAATTTTCTTTAAGCACATTGTCTGATAGGATTGGCAATTACTAACCAGGAAAATGAGTAGCAATTAGGAGTTCAGTAATAAATGGAAGTCTATTGTCCTAATTGAGTGGAATTACTGACTGGTAATGGCAACACTGAATTCTTCAGTTTAATTAAGAGTTTATATAATTATAGTGCACTTTTTATTTCTTGGGGGAGCCATGGGGTAGGAATTAAATAACCAGTGTGATGGTTAAGAAACCCATTTAATGGGTAAGTAACCAATGAGTTGAAATGAATGTGAGTGCCTTGCTCAAGCAATGCAAACTTAGATGAATTCCTGATAAAGAGATGTAACAGCTTGGGCCAAGCAAGACTTTCAGCTGCTAATTCCTGTCTGATAAAAATCTGAACGGCTTAGAAATGATTGGGTAATCTCTAAAACTGGCACACTGAAACTGTTTTAGAGATACCAGAGCTCCCTCTCTCCTGCCGGGGTATTAACCCCGATTTGTGCTCTCTGTCGCTGTGTTTTCCACATTCTTCAAGAGTGAAACGAGTGGGTCATTTGAGAGTGCTTTTGCAGCCTGGGGTTTCTGTATGGAAAATCTTGTGATTGAGCTGTTGAGCTGTAAATGTTGATAGCTGAAGGGGATAGACAAGCTTCATCGAAGTTACTCAAATTCAAAGCAGAGTGAGTATGTAGGTGTGCAATTTGGGAACTAATCTGTAATTATAAAGATGTTATTTTCCTCTTTGGTGGTGTATTGTTTCCTTTACTATTATGTTCTCAAGAAATTGTTCCCCTTGTGGGAAGCAGTGAAATTGGAGAGAAATCCCTGCTCAGAGGATAATTACTTATATTTTTGGTGTAGGTTTCTGGGAATCCTTTTAACCCTACATTGGGATGCACATATTTATTTCCATAAGAAGCTCCAGCAGGTTTGGAAATCACTAGGTTTTGAATACACTGGTAGATAATTAGCACTTCAAGTAACAATATTTATGCCACTCTGTACCTTGACTTCTTTTTCTTGCTTACACGAGGTCTAGATTTTCAACAGGATGATCAGGGACTACCTTCTCTAGAGAGCTTGCATATTGCAAGTGGGTTCAGGGAGCACCATTATAGTTGCATTTCACTCCAGAAGAGACAGTGAGTGGCATGGAAGGGGCATTGCATCTTGAATACTGCATGCGTTTTAAAGTTTGCAGAGCTTATTCATAAATCCGCTTGGTTAATGAGAAAAAAGCAGGTATCGAAAGACGTTTGCTGTATGTGTGCCTCCCAGTCTCAGCCCTTCCAGGTGCTTTGCAGGTCCCTAAGTACAGAGTGTCACTGTCCAGAATTTTAAGGGCTTACCTACCCTGGTTTTTCCCCTCTCCCCTAGTCCTGTTTTGTCATTGCTACCATGAAAATCTAGCAAAAGTGTAGAAAGTTGTGTCCTTCCAGAACCACGGTTTCTCAGTGCAGGTTTACTGTATTGAGCGCCCACTCCTTTTCTGTTTGTATTCTGCCCAAGGCACAGCAGACATTCACTCCTTTTATTTCCCATGAAATTGTACAACAGGCAGAAGCTTGAAGATACAACACGGATGGAAATTTGAGCCTTGTAACGTTCAAAAATGACACAATTGCCAAGTTTCCTAACTTTTCCTAAGAGTTGATTAAAGATCACAACTTCATATCGCTCCTTTTTCCCTATGCATTTGCCGTCCATCACACACCTGACTGTGAGCTGTTGTAATAGCTAGATGAGGTTTAAAAAAAGAGGGAGTAGGGGCTCAAGGATTGCTGTCCTCTCAGAAATGTTGCCCAAGGCTACCCTAAGGCTCAGCCTACCCCCAGATTCTCTTTCTGACAAGTGGGTGTTTGGTAGGATGGTGTGAAAGTTTCCTTCTATGATAACATCTTTAAGATTTGTTTCCAAATTCCCTTTTTTTTCTTTTTGTAACCTGCTGAGAATATGAGTCTGTAACCTATGTATTTATCTGAAGTCAGCCTGAACAGATAGAAAAACTGAGTTACAAGGTATGGGACTCCCAGTAAATTAGGAACAGATGTGGGTCAAAAACAGATTTCCAAACTCTTTATCAAATGATCCCACTTGGAAACAAGACATGAACAGGCCTAACTACTCTTAAAATGCAAGGTTTGTCTGAGGGCAAACATGCTGGAAAAGATGGTGGCCACCACCCTGCCTCTACTTTTCTTTTCCTTTCATCTTTCTTCCCACCGTCTTTGGTTCCCTGCATAGGCTGTGTAGTGGGTATCAGTCAGCACTTGTCTGCTGGTTGCACAATGCAGATTACTCACTTCTGCCCAAGTAACTCCCTGAAGCCGTACTGTAACAATAGAGCATATAAAAAAGAAACTCAGGTTGATCTTGGCCCCTGTCCAAGGGGATTAGCTAGGGAGCACCTGAAAGGCCTGTGTTGAACACACTCACCTGTAACCCAGTTCCATGGCCTGGATCTCAAGGACAGGGTAATCTCAGTACCTTTTAATGACCTAGTAAATGTGGTATCTTTCTGTCTTTACACTCGACCTGATGGCTCATAGAGTCTCCTCATTATGGAGCTGGAGGAGTACTTTGAGGTCATCTAGGCCCTCACTACTCAAAGTGTGGACCATGGGTCAGCAGCATTGGTATCACCAAGGAGCCTGTTAGAAATGCTGAACCTCAGGTCCATCCCTGGATTTATAGAATCAGAATCTGCGACAGGTTCCCCAGATTTCTCATATGCATTATGACAGGTGGGGTTGTCCCATGATCCAACTCTGAGATGGAGTTTAGCCAGTGGCGTATTTATTAAGGAGTGCCCTTTGGATCAATACCTATGGGAAGGAGGAGGAAGGAACAGGAATAGGTAGGTAGAGCAAGAAGTCAAGCAGCAATACAGGCCCAGTGACAGTCATCACTCACAACACGGGAAGCTACACAGCTAGGTCAGCCTTCTAAGTTGTCTGTGGTGGGCAGGGATGGCCAGGCCTTTCAACTCACTGCAGACAGCACTCCCAGCAGTCAGCAGCAAGTCTGTCATTAGACAGGGATCTGGGTAGCTCATCACAGTGTCCACCACATGCACTGAAGTTGGGAGAAGCTCTATTCTGGGTCACTGGTTCTCAAAATGTGGCTGCATACCAACAGGACCTTCAGCACCCCGGGGACTCATTAGAGATGCACATTCCTGAGCCCCACCCACAGCTACTGAATCAGAAACTAGGGTGGGGCTCAGCAACCTGTGTTTTCACACGTTCTCCAAGTGAGTGCTGCATGCCCAAGTTTCAGAACCACTGCTCCAAGGCAGCCTTTTTTCTGTTTGTTTTGTTTTCTAATTGTTATTGAAATGATTCACAGTCCATCTTAATAATAAAATTCACCACTTTAAAGTGTACAATTCAGTAATTTTGTGGGGTTTTTAGGTTTTTTGTTTTGTTTTGTTTTGTTTTGTTTTTGAGACGAAGTCTTGCTCTGTTGCCCAGGCTGGAGTGCGGTGGTGCCATCTTGGCTTACTGCAACCTCTTATCTCCTGGGTCAAGGGATTCTCTCGCCTCAGCCTCCCGAGTAGCTGGGACTACAGGCGCCCGCCACCACTCCTGGCTAATTTTTGTATTTTTAGTAGAGACGGGGTTTTGCCATGTTGGCCAGACTGGTCTCAAACTCCTGACCTGAAGTGATCTGCCCACCTCAGCCTCCCAAAGTGCTGGGATTACAGGCACGGGCCACCGCGCCCGGCCCAATTCAGTAATTTTTAGTATATTTATAACCTGTTTAGTATATTTGCAACCCTCGCCTTTACTTCCAGAACATTTTCATTATCCCCAAAAGAGATCCCACACCCATTAGCAATCACTCTCTGCACCCCCTCCCAAAGTCTGGCAGCCACTCATCTGCTTTCTGTCACTGTGAATTTGCCTGTTCTTGATACTTTATTTAACTTGAGTAATGCAGTATGTGGCTTTTGTCTTGTTTCTTAACGTTTTGAGAGTCAGCCAAGCTGTAACATGTATCAGTACTCCATTTCCTTCATGGGACAAATCATATTCCATTATTTAGACAGTACCACATTTTGTTTCTTTATTCATCCATTGATGGTCATGGGTTCTTTCTACTGTTTGGTTATTGTGAATAATGCTGCTGTGAACATTGGTGTACAAGTTTCTGTATGGACATATTTCTTCAATTCTCTTGGGTCAATACCTAGGAGTTGCTCAGTCATATGTTAACTCTATGTTTCACTTTTTGAGGAACTCCCAGACTGTTTTCCAAAGTGACTGTACCATTTGACATTCTTACAAGCAGTTTATGAGAGTTCCAGTTTCTCCGTATTATCTCCAACACTTGTTAATATCTGTCCTTTTTATTATAGCCATTCTAGTGAATGTGAAGTGGTATCTCAGTGTAGTTTTAGTTTGCATTTCCCTAATGACTAATGATGTTGAACATAGTTTTCATGTTTTCATTGGCTATTTGTACATCTGCTATGGAGAAATGTCTATTCAGATCCTTCTTAGGGCAGCTCTTTTTGTTCCTTAAGGAATCCCTCAGTATGTCAGCTTTGTGTCCAGTCCTGTGCAGGTGTTTTAGGATTTATGAAACAAAGCCTACAACCTGTGGCCATTACCCACTGGAAAGTTCTAATCAGATGTGAAACTGTCTAAAAAGGGGAAAGGAGGACAGGAGAGCCCACTGTCGAGGGTTAGCATGAAGAGATTCACATTCTATTACAATTCGTGCTTCAGAAAGACACGGTGTGACTTGCTAGGATAGAGTGGTGTGTGTCAGGGATGTGGCGGCTGCAGACTGCTGGAGAAGACTGGGAATGTTGAGAGGAAGAGGAACAAGTAGAGAAGCGGGGACAGGAAGTTGTGGGCAGACCTTCTAGTATTCTTTTATGGGTTACACACACCTGTAAGAGGGGATCTCAGGAGCCCAAGATTTCTTTCAAGATCATGACCTTCACCAGCCTCAGCAAGGTGAAGCAGTTCACCTTTTTCTTCATTTGGGCAAAAATGACCTGCCTCCACCATTTCTCAGAGTGTTTGTAAAGACTGATTATAATACTCTAAACAAGTGCTTGAAGAGTGTGATTTATTCTACATTACAGGTGAGAAAAAAGTTTGTAGGTGTCCTTAAATAGTCTCTGATTCCCTATTAGCAGATCCTCATGGTGGCAGTGCCATGTCCATCCCAACCCCCCAGGGCAGGTGCCTCTCTCAAGATACCTGAGACTACCAGGCACATCCTCAGGGCTCCCAGGCAGCTTCTCTTTATGGTTGCAACACACCTTGAAAATGACATATTGGGGCAAAAGAATTTCAAAACAGCAAAACCTTTGCCATCATCCTCTCACATAGCTAGGGCCTCTGCACGTATGATAACAAGACAGCTACCTTAGACTTATGTCATGCCATCTAACTTACAAAGTGCTCTCTCAACCTTGCACCAGAGGAAACCAAAGCTCCAGGAAGTGACTTGGCTAATGTCACCGGTTGGACTGTAGCATGATCAGGACCTGACCCCTGGTACATTGACACCTGACCCAGTGTTTTCATCGGGCACTTTTACCTTACAGGTTGCTAAGGATTAATGATGGGATGTTTTGATTCTTAGTCTATAAGTGGATCCTCTCCCAGGAGGCTCCAGGTCTCCGGATGCCAGGCACTCATGTTTTATTTGGTGTTGCAGCTGTGTTTCATTGTAGTAACATATTCCAAATGCTATGAGATCACCCTGAGTCTCATTGAAGAAAAGTGTTTCAAAAGTATGCAGAGAGGTCAAAGTATTAGGAAAGTTCTAGAATGTACTTAAATTCTCAGTTTCTTCCAGGAGCCCCTCTGTAACAGGCTGGGTCGTAATTAGAGTATTTGGATCACTGTTTCTTGAACACATTCAACACAAAACTGTGGCAATGCAGAATTCAAAGAGTGGATCAGGACATTTGTGTACTAAGTAGCCCTGTACATACTGGATAATGATTTTCTTTCGTCTGTTCGCCCTGAGTTCTCTAGCGTATACCCTGTCTTGGGTAAGAATATATCCTGAAAAGTCATGTGTCAGGTTGATGTCCTTTGAGTCCTATTTTAAATTCACAAGTGGTATGTGCTGAGAAAAAGCAGATCCTCTGATAAAGCAAAGAACTGTGTTGTGAAAAAAGTTATTCTATCCCTACTCATTCATTTCTTCTGTAAATCAGGATTTTAGGTATTTTTTTCCTTAAAGCTAGTTATATCTACGTAGAAGATTTCTGCATACTTCTCTTTTTTGTTTGTTTTGTTTTTGAAGAACAAAGTATATAAATGCCCTCTAGAGTCATAGACACAGATTGAAGGTGGCAAGGTGAGCAAAATTGGCATTTTGTCCCATTACCCCATTTTCCTTTTCTTTTCTTTTTTTTATCCTAAGCAGGAGAGAAGTGATCTGCAAGTTTCTCAGGATGCTTTTGGGTAAGAGTTTCACCATAAAAATGTCTTCACCCACACTCCTCCCAGTGTCAGTGTGCCAGGTACCCTGTCACCTTTGGTTGATGTCCTGATGGATTAAGCTCTGGACAGAGCCACACCTTTGAAGAGGCTTCTTGGCCAGATTAACACACCAAGGAAAGTGCTTCAGTCTAGAACATGCCCCGTCGCTGGGGTCTGGCACCCTGGCCTCTGTGCTGTGCCCTCCTGCAGCCTGTGCTGTGCTCTCCTACTCCAGTGCTTAGAAATGCCAAGTCAAGGATGTGGGGGCAGGTGCTTGAGAGAGGGTCAAAGTGCTGTCATTGTAAGAAATTATTCATCAACCTCAGATAGTATCTTCCAGTAACAAACCATACAAGACCCTGGCCCTCGAGGAGGAGCCTGCAAATGTTAGCTCCCCTGCCAGCCAAAGAAAATCAGGAAAAGAGCAACAGGGAAAATACTTTATTTTTAAGGAGATATTTTGCCAATAATTTAAATTGCAGCTTTCTTCTCTTAATGAAGAAATATGCATTTCGTGATACCCAGCCTCCCCCAGTTCCTCTGAAGCAGAGATAATAATAACTACTATTTATTGAGGACTAGCAGCCAGGTGCTTCAGCACTTTAGTATTTTCTGCCACTCAAAAAATCAATGGGATTGGCATATAATGATGCCAAAGCTTGGCAAGGTGATTTTGTCTGGGTTTAAACCCGGGTCCCTCTAGCACAGTGCTTTAAAACGTGCCTGGCCCACAATACAAACACACCGTGACCCGGTGTAAGGTGTTTTGTGGAACTCACCAAACCACTCAATAAATATCGACTGCATGAAATGAATGGCTGAACTTCTTAGGACAATTTTATTCTTTTTGATGGTCATTTCAGGTGTCATTCCTCTCCACAGAATGGTAGTTATCACTTACCTTTTTATATCCGCACAGATTAAAAGCTTTGGTGACTGTCGCTTGGTTCCATTTTGTGCTCTCCTCCAGGCTGGTGATGGGCTGGGGTGGGCCGAGAGCAAAGTGTCAGTGCCCACAGCATGCATGAGCTACTGCTTTCAGGCCTGGAGATGCAGAAGGTGGGCCTTACCTAGCTGCTCTTTTACTTGCTGTGATTGTGTAAGGCAGAAGTTCACCCTTGCTCTGCAGCAACCATCACAGAGAGTTGCACCAGCCAGATTTGCGTTCAGCATGCCCAATGATCAACATGCTGTTGAAAATGGAAGTTTGAAAGGAATTGAAAGTAGAAATATTCACCTTACAGGACAGGTAACACTTGCCCCTAGGCCCTACTTTAAGGATTTGGCTGTTCCCCAGTATAGAATTAGAGAACGTCAGAGCTTGAAGGGAATTAGAGAGCATCTAGCCCACTCCACTATCCCTGCTCACCTCTGCCTCTGCTGACAGAGAAGCTATGGACAAGAAAGGAGAACCGAACCACTCAGACCACCACAGTCCTTGGTGGCAGGCCTTACACTGGAGGCCACAGCTCTGCCTTCTGGTACCTTCCACCATGTGGCATCTAGCTGCAAGGGAGGCTGGGAATTTAGGTTCTGTCCTTACAGTGGGGAAAGAGACTTAACCCAGGAGTTTCCCCAAATATGGGAAATCTGATATAAATGGGCTTGCTTAATAATTATTGCCATTCTTACAGGCTAAAATAAAAATCAGATTTCTTCACTGTGGGAATAGATTTTCCTGAGATGTTAAGGGAGCTCCTGCTTTGTATGCCCTTAATCTTTTCTTGTGGTAATGTTTTAGGGCGGTTCCATTAAGCACGCAAATGGTCATGATATCTTTTAAGGGTTCCTCCTGCTCTATGAGTCTTCATTTTCAACACGTGAAGAATTCAGTATAACATTTTCCATTTTTCACTAAGGCTAAACTTATACACACTGACATATCCACTTTAAAGCATCATAAAACAGCATTTGCCCTTGCTCTGTGCTCAATTTTTCTTTCCTTGGAAATGCTGAGAAGTCGTTGCCTGTTCCTGGTTTTTGACGTTGGCTAACCACCTACTGCTAAATGAGACGAATTGAAATAATGGTCTGAAAACTGAATCGTATGGCATTCATGTTCACAGGCTGACCAAGCCAGGAGGGACTGGAATTGATATCTTCCATGGAAAAGATGTCTAACAACACAACCGTTTGAATCAACTCACGTTTACTACCAGGTACTCCTGGTACTAAATACTATAAGTAGCAGTTCATTTGTTTTTGTCTTTCTTTTTTTTTTCTTTCTTTCTTTCCTTCTTTCTCTTTTTTTTTTTTTTTTTTTTGGTCTTTTCTTTCTCTTGTGTAAATATAAAGCTCCCACTGAAATCTACTTAAGTATCATATCTGGAACTTTTCTAGTAAGTAGTGGAAAATCAGTTTGTCTGAGGTCATCTTTCCCATAAAAGGTGTTGAAGTCAAAATACAACATAGCGATGAATTTCTCAATTAAACATTGTATTAGCGAATCACAGAATTACAATTTGAGGAATACACACAGACCAGAGTAGTCTTTGGTATGTTCAAAGGACAAAGAGAAGATTGGGGATTTTATTAGAAAGAGAAATGTTATGTATTGTTTTGAAAGAAGGCTCATTGGCACTACAGAAGCTTTTGGGAGCTGGCAAGGTCTGATGAGTGAGGCAGCAGGTAAAACTCTAGACAAGAAGCAAGACAACTCACAGCAGGTCATTTCAGCAGCTCTGTGTAAAACAACCTTAGGGTCATAGCAAGCCTTTTCAGCAGCTGGGCTTGCAGAAAATTCACTTCTTGGAGCTGGTGCTATATGTCCAGAGTGCCCCAGCACCTCGACTCTGATTTAGTTGAATATTTCAAGAATGACTCAATTCGTATAATCAACTTTCACACACGCTTTTTGGGCGCTGGATAAGATTATCAGAGGAGATAATTACGCTACCTCCAGACCTTTAAAAGTGAGCCTCGTCTAGATCTGATAGTTATGAGGAATTCTACTTGAAGCCTATGAGATTAACTAGACGATTTAGGACTTAGGACTGAGTCCCTAACACTCTAGTAATCTATGATTCTTAAAAGTTAATATTTGTATTTATATTTATATTTGCAGCCCATCAATAATTACATTAATGATGAACTTGGTTCTTAGTTTTGAAGCATCATTCATGCATTTGGTCAATAGCATTTACTGTGCAGGCACTTTGTTAGCAGCCGGGGATACAGTGGTGAAAAAAGTAGACATGAAGCTTCATGAAGCTTATATTATAGTGCAGCGCCCATAAGCTTTTCAAAATCTTCAATTACTGTAATAGTGTTTCTTGGGGCCAGACGTGGTGGCTCACGCCTGTAATCTCAGCACTTTGGGAGGCTGAGGCAGGCAGATCGCCTGAGGTCGGAAGTTCGAGACCAGCCTCATCAAAAGTGGTGAAACCCCATCTCTACTGAAAATTCCAAAATTCGCCAGGCGTGGTGATGCACACTTGTAATCCCAGATACTAGGGAGACTGAGGCAGGAGAATCGCTTGTACCTGGGAGGTGGAGGTTGCAGTGAGTCGAGATTGTGCCACTGTACTCCAGCCTGGGCGACAAGCGAGACTCTGTCTCAAGAAAAAAAAAAAAAAAAAAGTCTTTCATGGAGGACTTCTCATACACGTGCGCACACACACAACACATTGAACACTTTATTGTTTCTGTAGTGATGGGGAGACAGCTAGGTGTGGAGACCTGTAATAAGTCCTAGTGATAGCGAGCCCCAGTTCCCACCTGGGCAGAGTTAGATTTATCCTGTGTAACTGACCAATTCGGAGTGATTTGGAGTGTTTCTCTTCTTGATGAGGCCCAGGGGCCCCACTGCACTTGGCCTACTTCTGAAAGGAGGGAAATGCTGCTCTCAGTAATCCTCTGCTGGGGGGCGAAGGTGGGAGTGATTGGATTACAGTTCCTTTAGTAGCTGCGTGGAGCTTGCCATGTGTCAGAAAACCTTAGAGTGTAGTCATGGAATCCTCAGTGCTGACAGGAATGCACTCTTTTTAAAATAAGTATGCCTCTCTGTGTTGGGATATATGATCAATTGAAGCCTCTGGGCAGAATCCATTGATGGAAAGCCTATATTTAAAAACGAACCTAGTGGAGGTGTATGATACAGAGGATATGGTACAGAGAAGAAGAAAGCAGTGAGGTCTCAGGTGTTGGAAAAGTCAAGTCTAGACAAGAAGCAAGACAACTCACGATGCAGACGAGATGACTGGAAGAGTCTGGGGAACTTTGGGAGATTAAAGGATAGAGATGGTGGATGCTGGGTGATTTCTACCTGTGAGCACGATTACCAGATGTCCTTGATAGTGTGCAATGCCCATGCCATTTCCTTCAGGCGACGCTGCAGTTCAGCGTGCAAGATACTGCCACACAGTTGAGATGCAGATGAATTTGGCACATGTTCATGTTGATGTTGCCCATGTGATTAAGCTTATATGAAGTGGTACACACAAAAAAAGAACCATTTCCTTCCACAGATATTTATATTTAGGGAAAAATGAGAATATTTAAAGAAAAGCTGTTATGCATTGTAGAAGTAAAATTGTAGAAGGTCTTCTACTATCTGCATTTACTTAAAGTTAAAAGTTAATCACTTCCAGCAAGGAACTGCACATGTGGAATGTTGGTGGTCAATGTGTTATGTTAAGAAACTTAAAACCCTCATTTCTACAAATAGTCATATGATACGACTCTTCCTGAAAACTAGAGTTGGGACACTGGTACCCTAAGCACAGCACAGAGTACCAGGATGCCTATCTGACTGGACCTTTGCCAGCTCTGGGCATTTGCTCTTTTGTTAGTCTTTGGCATTTATTTTATTTTATTTTTAGAGGTAGGGTCTCATTCTGTTGCCCAGGATGGACAGCAATGGCACAGTCATAGTTCACGGCAGCCTCAACCTCCCAGGCTCAAGAGATCCTCCTCCCTCAGCCTCCCAAGTAGCTGAGACTACAGGCATACACCACCATACCCAGCTAATTTTTAATTTTTTTTGTATAGATGGGGTCTCACTATGTTGCCCAGCCTGTCCTCAAACTCCTGGGCTCAAGCAATCCTCCCACCCTGGACTCCCAAAGTGCTGGGATTACAGGTGTGAGTCACTGCATCCAGCCCAATCTTTGACGGTTTGACAGACAAAAAACTGGCATCCTGTGGTTTTGTCCGGGAGGTTTTTAAATGCCTCTGCCCATAGTGTAGCAGTGACTATTTGAGACTAAAATGCTTTTTTTAGGGGAACAGTTTATTTGCTATTTTCTTATTGGGATAACTTTTTCAGAGCAGCCTCCCCCCATAGTAAGAAAATTAAAGGTATTCACGATGAACCACCCTGATGAAAGGAAGAAGTGCTTAGAGCTTCCGTGTCCCACATTCTGTGTGGGATTGGGAACCTCTGGCATGGGTCCCAGTGATGATATTGGACAATCCCCTGGTGTACTGCTCAGTGGGAAAGTAGATATGGCAGAGAATGTTACTTGACTTCTAATAATCATTTTCCCCATCTTCCTTGTTAATAGAACCACTGCATTTTTAATTTGGTGACTTGCCCGATTAAATGCAATAAAGACTACATGTCTTAGCCACCATTGCAGCAAGGTGCTGTCATATCACTAAGTTCTGGCCAATGGTTATTTTTAAAATTTAAATACATTCATTTATTTATTTTAATTGATGTATAAAAATGGCATATGTTTATTGTGTACAACATGATGTTCTAAAATGTGCATACATTGTGGGATGATGAAATTGAGCTAATTAACATACGTATGACCTTACATACTTGTTTTTTGTGATGAGAACACTTAAAATCCAGTGATTTCTAAGAATACAATGTTATTATCTATAGTCACCATGTTGTACAATAGATCTTCTAAACACATTCCTTCTGTCTAGCTGAAATTTTACATCCTTTGACCAACACTTCCCAACCCCTCCGCCCAGCCCCTGGTAACCACCATTCGACTTTTTGCTTCTATAGCTCAACTTTTTTAGATTCTGCATATAAATGAGATCATGTAGTATTTATCTTTCTGTGCCTGGCTTATTTCACTTGGTATAATGTTCTCCAAGTTCATCCATGTTGTCCCAGAGGACAGGATTGTCTTTTTTTTTTTTTTTTTTCCGAGACAGAGTCTCACTCTGTCTCCCAGGCTGGAGTGCAGTGGTGTGATCTCGGCTTACTGCAAACTCTGCCTCCCAGGTTCGTGCTATTCTCCTGCCTCAGCCTCCCAAGTAGCTGGGACTACAGGCGCCCACCACCACGCCAAGCTAATTTTGTTTTTTTTGTTTTGTTTTTTTTTTTTGTTGTTTTGTTTTTTTAGTAGAGACAGGGTTTCACCATGTTAGCCAGGATGGTCTCCATCTCCTGACCTCATGATCTGCCCACCTCTGCCTCCCAAAGTGCTGGGATTACAGGCGTGAGCCACCACGCCCGGCCAGGATTGTCCTCTTTTTTAAGACTGAATAGGATCCATTGTGTATGTGTCTTTACCACATTTTCTTTATCTATTCATCTGTCAGCGGACACTTAGGTGAATTCCATGTCTTGGCTAATATGAATAATGCTACAGTGAATATGAGAGTACAGGTATCTCTTCAACATATTGATCTTATTTCCTTTGGATACATACCCTAAAGTGGAATTGCTGAATCATATGGAAGTTCTGTTTTTTGTTGTTGTTGTTGTTGTTGTTGTTGTTGTTGTTGTTGTTGTTTTGAGACAGAATCTCACTCTGTCGCTTACTTAAGTTGGAGTGCAGTGGTGCGATCTTGGCATCTTGGCTCACTGCAATCTCCACCTCCTGGGTTAAAGCGATGCTCTTGCCTTAGCCTCTGAGTAGCTAGGATTACAGGCATGTGCCACTGTGCCCAGGTAATTTTTGTATTTTAAGTAGAGACAGGGTTTTGCCATGTAGGCTGGGCTGGTCTCGAACTCCTGGCATCAAGTGATCCAACTGCCTTGACCTCTCAAAGTTCTGGGATTATAAGCATGAGCCACCACACCCAACCCATATTTTTAATGTTTTGAGGAACCTCCCTGTTGTTTTCCATAATGGCTGTACCAAGTTAAATTCCCACCAACAGCATGTAAGCTTTCTTTTTCTCCACATTCTCACCAAAACTTAGCGCTCATCTTTTTTTTTTTTTTTTTTTTTTTTTTTTTCCTGACAGAGTCTCATTCTGTTGCCCAGGCTAGAAGGCAGTGGTGTGGTCATGGCTCACTGCAGCCTCAACCTCCTGGGCTCAGGCTTTCCCCCCACTTCAGCCACCCAAGTAGCTGGGATGACCACAGGTGCACGCCACTACACCTGGCTAATTTTTAATTTTTATATAGAGACCAGGTCTCACTATGTTGCCCAGGTTGGTCTCTCATCTTTTTGATAGTGGCCGTCCTAACAAGTATGAGGTGATATTCATTGTAGTTTTAATTTGAATTTCCCTGATTATTAGTGCCGTTGAGCAGTTTTTAAATATATCTGTTGGCCATTTGTAGTTCTTCTTTTGAAAAATGCCTATTCAGGTCATTTGTCCATTTTTTATTTGCATGATTTTCTTGCTGTAGAGTTGTTTGAATTCCTAATCTATTTTGGATATTAACCCCTTATCAGATACATGATTTGCAAATATTTTCAGCCATTTCATAAGTTCTCTTCACTCTGTTGATTGTTTCCTTTGCCATGCCAAAGATTTTTTAGTTTGATGCAATCCTATTTGTCTATTTTTGCCTTTAGGATCATATACGAAACATCTTTGTGAATGTCATGGGGTATTTCCCCTATGTTTTCTTCCAGGAGTTTTACAGCTTCAGGTCTTGTATTACATGTAAGTCTTTAATCCATTTTGAGTTGATTCTTTCACACGGTGTGAGATAAGGGTCTCATTTCATTCCTCTGCACGTAGGTATGCAGTTTTCCCAATACTATGTATTGAGGAGACTGTCCCTTCCCCATTAGCCAGTGGGTATTAACGAAAGAGTGAAGTGTTACTTGTAGAGTGTACCCTTAAAGAGTCAAGGGCATGCCCCCTTCACCCTTGCTCCTTCTGCGGTCTAGAATGTGGACATAATGGTTGGGGCTGCAGTTATCATCTTGCACCATGATGTAGCTTTGGGAATGAAAGGCAGTAAGGCAGAAACAGCAACATATCTAGAGAAACCCTATGTCCCTGACATTATAGAGTGCCATGCCAGCCCTAGGCTGCCTACCGTGGGGCTTTGATGTGAGAAAGAGAACTCTTACTTGAGCCACTGTTATTTTAGGTTGCCTGTCACTTGCAGTCAAACATAATCCTAACTAATCCAGTGGGGAAATGGCTCTAAAAGGAGCTATCATCCACCTTCCTAAATTTCTAACATTTGGAAGCCGCTTCTTATAGCAAGTCTTTTTGTTACAATTACGCAGTCACAATGGATAACTATCTGCACTTTACTGTGGACTGTGGAAAGGTATGAAGCACAGAGGAATGAAAATCTCACACTCACTCACTAGAATGTACTTATACTCACATTTACCAAAATGCCACTTACAGCCTTGTGCATAATAAAATAAAGTAATTACTAATTAGTCCGTCACGTGGGCATCCAAACCATACTTGAATAGTGACTTCAGTGATGTGCTGAGAGTCGTACTCATTAGAGTAGTCATAGTTTCTACAAAGGGGGCCTTAGAAATGGGCTTACTTGAAGCATTTCTCTAAATATACAAATAATAAATTGGAAACCTTCTGGAGTGTGTATAATGTATACACAAATGTGTGCATTGGTTGTTATACTCGAAGTAGCAGAAAACATCTGCTCCTGACTTTAACACGGGAACAAATGACCCCAGATTATTAGCTGCTAATAGATTTTTGTAGTTTTAGGGAAAGGAGAAAAGTACCATAGCCTTCTTTGTTCTATAAAGAATACGTATTTTATGTATTCTGTGTTTGAACCATCTCAGCATCAGAATTGACTGTTTAATAGTTGCAGTTGTTTAATAATTTTTTTTTAGTTAATGCAAAATATTGGAAGTCATCTCCAGGCTTCTGGCTTACAGAGAGTCCCTGTAGAGATAGCAGATCACTGCATCTGACATCGTCAGCTGTGGTTGCTCAAACCTCTGGTCCAGGAAGAGGCAGAGTCAACCTTTTTTCCCAGCAGAATGGGATTCTAGACATGCAGATCAGCTCTCCTAAATAGTCTTAGAGTCAGAGTATTTTACCACCGGATGTGAACCCTGGAGATGATCTAGTATTGTCCTTCAAGTTGAGGAAACTGAGGTCCAGTAAGTCCAACAAGACCTACCCAAGGTCACAGTGGCCTGGGTGGCACAGGGCTGGAACCCAGACCTCATTGTTCTTGTCATACAGCATGACCTTCCATTTCAAGGAGACTAACAAATACCAAGTTTGGCAATGTATCCACCCTCACTTTTATTTGAGAGGTTACAAAGCAAACAAAATGAGATCATGTCATAAGCAGTTCTGTCCTAAGTGGGTTAGGATTTATTTCTTCTTTTCTACATTTTTTTTTTAAATCAGAAGGTATATCCCCAAGAACAGGAACTAAAGGAACAGATTGCTTAGACCCTTGTGACTCTGCCCTGGTGGTGGATCATTAATGGTGTAGAAAATGAGGGCAGTGCTGGGCAGGCAGTCCAGGGTGGGGTGCATGCCTCTTTAAGAGATTTATGTGGAGGTCTGAGCTAGGGAGACAGCGCGGTGGTACATCATCATGCAGGCGACATCAGAGACTTTCTTCTTCGCTTGGGTGCATTATCATAAAAAGTGATTTAGACTGGAGCTGATTGATGCAAATGGCCCTATGTTCTTTCCTATCATTAGCGGCCTCTTTCAGTGGCCAGAGGCAGTGATTAAAGCTGTCATTTGGAGCTGCTCATTAAAGACAAGCCCCAGAATAGCAAGAGGAAAAAAGGTTGGAGAGGCATATATATACATATATGTGTGTGTGTCTGTGTGTGTGTGTGTGTGTGTGTGTGTATTTTTTGCCTTAAAAGTGCATCATTCTTTTCTAGATTGAGCCACTGAAATCAAGGCTGTAGAGACATTTCCACTGAGAATATAGAATGCTGTTTTGCAAGTAATATTAGATTTTCGGAGTGTCATAGTAGATTCTGATGACAGCTTGCCTACATATTATGAAAGGAGATGAGGAGGGTATTGTGTTAGGTGTGTTTTGTTAGGGATTGACCCTGGTGAGAACTCATTAAGTCTCCCTCCTCCCAGGCTGGGGACTTCAGAGGCAGGCCACAGGAGAGCAGAGGGGAGGGTTGCCGAGAGTGGATGGCCTCAGTAAGTCCCACTGTGACAGTGTTGACCCCAGGGATGGACAGAAGAAGGAGAGCAGGGAGGAGGCTTTTTGCTGAGCCCAGATGATATAGATGCCTGGATGTCACTCAGAGAGAGGGGTTGGTGAGAGGAGGCCCCTAAATAGGAGGGGAATGGAACAAAGCAAGATCCATAGATGCGAGAAGAGAAATTAATCAGAACATGATCCCTGGCTCCTTGGAGTCTTCCAGACAGGGCGACATGACTAGTTAATCACTCTTGTGGTCAAATTGGGCTTCAGTGTGCACCTGCCTACCTTTTCATCAACATGCATTCACATCCACTTACGCACTGATTTTTAGTTTAGTGTCCCAGTAGTACCTAAAAGTGACAAAAATCCCAAGCTCCAAATGAATTACAGCATGCCCCAAATGAAGGCTAGGGTAGTTAGTGGGTGGCGGCTAAACAGGGAGCCAGGGCTGTGAAGCCAGGGAGGGAGCCATCTTTGTTTCTTGGAAGAAACCAGTTTGAAGTCAGAGATGAGACTGGCTGGCTAATCCTGCACATCCTCACTGGCCAGTTGATGTCTTACTGCCCAAATCCCACCAAACTTTCATACAAGCTAGTCTACAGCTCTCCTCAGAAATTCCTCTGGGAAAGGAAAAAAATAAGAAATTATCAATTTAATTTCTCAGTCTAATGAACTGGTCTTATACATAAAAATTTAAATTACTTTTTTTTTTATGAAAGTGGGGACCAACATCATTTATGCAACCACCACTGTCTCCATGACAACGCCTTGGATGTGGCAGCTCATGTGACTTCACAGTCACAGGCCCTTGAAATGAAGCAAAGGAAAGTTTTAGTTTCTCTTCTGTAATTTATTGGACTCTAGGGATGCTCACGATGGTGCTAAGTGGAGGTGTGGGGGTTTCTTTTTGCTGTGGACAGTAAATAGTGAGAAAGTGGTGAAATTATTCCTTCCTGCGGCAGGGATTGGAACTTGCTGCAGAGAGTGCTTCCTTGTCAGCCTCAGAGCCAGTTGACAGCTTCAGAGGCGTGGCTTTTGTCCTCCTCTCTGCTGCACCCCCACCCCCACGCTGGCCTTCTTAGCCTGGGTCTGGCGCATCAGGGCCTATTAGTACTGATGCTGGGCTGTGATGTTCCTCTCCTCGGGGAGCACGGCAGCAGAACTGAACAAAGTCACTGGTAATCTGTGCTTACAGCCTCCCCCCTGGGGAGAAAGCCTAGCCAGCTGGCACTCTCACGCTGAGCACATTCACTTCCCCTGGCTGGTCGGCAGCCTGGCAGGGGCCCAGAGGCTGGCCGGCTGCAGGGCTAACCTGCACCAGCACCCCAGGCAGCCCAGCTCAGGATCACACACGCATTGTTCTCTGCCTTCCAGACTGGACACTGGCTGAACTCACAGCTTGGACGGTGTGGCTCATCTGCTTAGGCCTTCCCAGGGTAGCTCTCTAGAAATAAAAATTACGAACGCTGGATGAAGAACAATTGGCTGGCTACATTGAGGTTAATACAGGACCATTTCCCCTGTCGTCTTTTTCCTTTCCCAGGCTCTAGGTCGGTGACATCAGGAAGATTTATCATGAGTTCCGTCTTCTGTAGTTGGAAAGGAGATGGCACATCTGCCTTGGGTGATGGGGTGGAAGAGTGGGTGGCAGGGATGAGGGTGGAGCAGGAAACACCAGTAGTCCTGGATGTGTGTGTACTTGTTAGAAATACCTGCAGGGAAAAAAGAAGCGGCTGGTCTTTGGATCCTTGCTCAGGTGGACCTTCCAGCACACCCATTGCCAGATACAACTTCTGTCGAACTAAGACTTCCCTCCCATGTACCAGAATCTTGCATAAAGGGAGCAGAGGCTTGAGAGGCCCCTCTGGGGAAGCAATGTCTTTAGTCACTGCTCTGCTCACAAGGTGCAGGAAAAGTCTAGATTTTTCTCAGTTGACTTTCAGGCTTAGAAAAAAAAAACCTCTAGAAGATTTATGGCTTGTTGTTGTTGTTGTTGTTGTTGTTGTTGTTGTTGTTGGAAAAGCATTTATTCTCTTTAGGAGCCATCACACACCAACATGTATGTGGCCCTTAGTTGGCGTAGGTAGAGGTCAACTGTGCTGCTTTCACCAGGTATACAGGTGTCCTAATAAGAGTTTGGGGACAGTGCAAAACGGCAGTGTGTTCTGTTCAAATTTTTTTTTTGTCTTGCTCTGTTGCCCAGGATAGAGTGCTATGGTGCGATCTTGGCTCACTGCAACCTTCACCTCCCAGAATCAAGCGATTCTCCACCTCAGCCTCCCGAGTAGCTGAGATTACAGGTGCTGGCCACCTTGCCGAGCTCATTTTTATATTTTTCAGAGAGGTAGGGTTTTGCCATGTTGCCCAGGCTGGTCTCGAACTCCAGACCTCAAGTGATCTGCCCACCCTGGCCTCCCAAATTGCTGGGATTACAGGCGTGAGCCACCACATGCAGCCCAGAAACTTTTCTTTTAGCAGAGATAAAGGAGGGATTTCTCCAAAAAGACAACAAAAAAGGTGCAAATGAATTAGCTTCTGTACATCTTCTTCAGATTTTCCCTATTCTGTTAGTGAGTTCACTGAGAAGTGGAGGGAACAAGAGGAAGAATCATTGCTAACATGAAGCCAGTGCTAGGCCTTATGCTAAAACTCTTACACAGGGGTCTTATCTCCTTCTGACAGTGCAGTTGGGAAGCATGCTCACCAGCCCCATGTGGCAGGTGAAGCCCCTGGCTCAGAGCCTCTCAGCAGCTAATAGCTACCACGTGGAGGCTCCAGGATCTAAGCCCAAGTGCCAGCCTAAAGACCCCACGCTCTTCTCCCTGGCTGAGTGCTGAGGTACCATTCGGCTTTAACAGCTGACGGGGCTGATGCAGCTGCCCGGTGACACCATGTGCCCTGCTGTGTACTGCAGTTGCCATTTTGCATTTATAGTGGGATTATCTGATGCTCCAAGCTCCACAAGGGCAAGGTCTTAGTTTTTACATACTGTTGAGTCCCCAGTGCCTGACACTGTGCTCTGCACACCATATGTGGTCAATACATACTTGGCAAATGAAAAAGGGAATGAACGAGTGGTCAGGGTTAAAAATCAACGTATCTTTAAAGTAAGCCAATGTGCTTCCCAAACCCAAAGAAATTCTTCTCAAAATAGAGTGTCGAATAGTTTTTTTTTTTTTTTTTTGATTGGAGAAACTTGAGCATGTTTTTAGGCCAAGCAGTAGGAATTATTAGAGAGGGAATGATGGCACTATTGATGGAACACGGTCCCAGAGGAGATCTGAAGTGACAAGATTAAGAGCAGAGAAGAATTTTCATTAGCAGAAACAGGGCACTTCCTCCTTAGAGACCAGAGGTGAAGAGAGAAAAAAAGGATCCGGTAGTCATGGGCTATGTATCACTTAGGAGTGCTTTCAGCTGCAAGTAATAGCTTGACTAGCAGTGCCTGAAACAATTAAGGATTTATTTTTTTCATGTGATGGTAAGACAGCTACAGCTGGGTGACCACTGTGTTGCTTCAGTGGCTCAGTGGGGTAAGGGCCATTGTCTTCAAGACTTTCTTGGCCTTTCCCTCATGAGATGCACCTTCTAGCATCACATTTGCATTCAAGTAAAAGTCCGTGCTATCCTTGCAGACACTTACTTCGCATGCTGCCTGCTCTGCTGATTGAGGAAATGGTCAAGACTAAATGACCACTAGTCCCTCCTTCAGGTATGACAGTGGAGTCCAACGGTTAGTGGGATCTGACCTCCAGCGAGCTTATTTCTCCTATGATGAATATAAGAAGTTTGTGGCCGGGCTCAGTGGCTCATGCCTGTAATCCCAGCACTTTGGGAGGCCGAGGTGGGCGGATCATGAGGTCAGGAGATCAAGACCATCCTGGCTAACATGGTGAAACCCCGTTTCTACCAAAAATACAAAAAAATTAGCTGGGCGTGGTGGCGGGCGCCTGTAGTCCCAGCTACTCAGGAGGCTGAGGCAGGAGAATGGCATGAACCAGGGAGGCAGAGCTTGCAGTGAGCTGAGATCACACCACTGCACACCAACCTGGGCGACAGAGCGAGACACTGTCTCAGAGAAAAAAAAAAGAAGTTTGTGAGGGATTCCTAAGAAAGTGACCGAGGGAGAGGAGGAAGGGGAGAGTTGGAAAAGTTAAATGATTCACTTGTAAGCTACTAGAACTTTGTTAAGTTTGGGGACATCATGGTTTTGTGAAATCTACTTTCGCTGAAATTTATGTCCATTTCTTTGCCTCCTTCTCTCTGCACACCGCCTCTACTCAGAAATTTAACCATTTACACACAACAGAAAGAATTTTCCTCAAGATCGCTACTTTTGCCCAGTATTTCTGATTGTCTTTCTGCTTCACATCTCCAGAAAATGTATTCCCTTTAACAACTTAACTTGGAGAAGGAGGAAAGAAACCTAAGCAGATATGACTCCACCTAAGTTTTATGAGGAACCTTCGAAGGAAACTCTGAGAAAAATGAGTCTGTATCTTTTTCTCCCTCTTAGACCAGGCTTTTGACATCTACCAGTGTGCACACTTACCAATTAACAGTTACGTTCTTATTGGTTGAGAGAACAAGGCATTAACACGTCTGGTGACTGCTGCGCTGGTCCCGTGAGACCTGTAGAGAGGCCAAGTGGTTGCCGTGGGCTTTTGCTACCTCTTTGGGCAGTCACTTTGCCTGTATGAGACGAGGAGGCCGGACCCTCTCAGCTCCTGACATCCTCTCTAACCTCCTGTGATCTGGTCACCCTGTGGGAAAGCCAAGGCAGCCCTGGCCCCTCTCCAGCAGTCTCTCCCTGGAGGGCTCGGCCTGTTGGGTTTTACTTAGCTCGCAGTTTATGCCTTCATTCTCCTCTGACCCTCATTAACCAAGAGGAAAAACTAATTCTAGAAAGGACTCCATTTCCCCCCATATTGTATATTTCATATCCACAGAGCATGCTGTGCCCTATTGAGAATTAAACTGCGATCACTAACCTCATCTCATTTGTGCCAGGGGTCTTGTTCAAAAGCTGTTTCCCCAGCAAAGCAGTGCCGTGGGTTAGGACCCCCTCACCCCACACACACATGCTTGGTGGAGTGGTTCCCATCTCTTTTTAATGCCTTTGGCAGGGGACAGACAGAGAGAGAGAAAGAGAGAGAGAGAAGGAAACACAGGGAGAGAGAGAGCAAGAGAAAAAAAAGAGAAACACAAAAGAAGAACAAGAGGGAAAGAAAAGCTCTCGAACAGCAGCCCTGTGTTTTGTTAGAACATTGGCACTGCATTTATCAGGATTACTGGAGGGAGAGCAGGGTTTGATCCTCTTCTCCACTGGGAGAGGGAAAAGCTTTATTGTACCTTTTTTAACATCTCACAGTTAGATCAGAACAATACACTGTGTATGTACATACACACCATACGTATGTGCCTAAGGATGATATTCTACTTGGGACACACCCTGTTTTCAAAGCATGGCTGAATTTTTTATAAAGGCCAGATACAGAAAGCCACCAGGCTCTCCCTGGGTCTCCCTTTCCAGCAGACCTTCCCCCCCTCCCCATCCCCTTGCCGGACTTGGATCAGCAGGATTCACTCCTGTCAAACAAATTAGAGCATCTATGAAATGGGGCTATCGACATGTGTGACTTGATCTGTTTTAATAGGGGCCCGGTGGGAGTTTCCTCCCTGCCCCACTGAGCTTTGTATCCTTCACGGAAAGGCAGACGGGGCGCGGGAGGATGCTGTGGACTTTAACCCTTTGCTGCCAGCAGGTTGCCTGCCTCCTGCGTGCAGCCGCTTCCTTTTTGTGCCTGGCCATTGTCTGGGGAGTGCGTGCGGCCTGCCATGCTCTTCATGCTTGTTATCTCACAGGAGACAAGCTCACCCCAGGAGAGGAAGAGAGAGCTGCGTTCTGAAGCAGATCTTTTGATTTCCTTTCTTCCCTCTCCTCTCTCAAATAATTAGAAGTGCTGGTCAAGGTATTAAAAAAAAAAAACAGCCAAAGGGGAGAAAATATATTGTATATTTTATAACCCTGGCATTTTGTTTTTCAAGAGGTGTTGTCGGGCTGCCATTTGACCCTTATGTAATAATTAGCATTTGAGCTGTGGCAGCTAGCAAGTAGGTAAGGGAGAATTGCCTGTTTGGAGGAAGGATCCGACCCCTTTTAAGTAGAAGAGAAGAGGGAATTTGCCTCTGTCAGCATTTCAGATGCACCCCCATGCTATCACTGTCTCCCTGGCCCTCTGTTCCTGACTCAGTTGCTAATGACACAATCTCCCAGCGCCTGCCTCCGCCCATGGCTCACCCCCACACCCATTCACTGTTCAGGTACTTGAGTCCCAGCCACAGAGCTGGAAGGCTGGACAGCAGCTAAGACAAGAGGCAGAGGCCTTGTGCACAGTCCTGTTGCCGAGAAGCGCTTAGCACCCTGCCACCCTCCCTGTACCGCTCTGTAGGGGTGCAGATTCCCACCGAGCCCATGGCCTTACCTGCACCTCTCCCTTAACCTGGGAGTGCTGCGGGCAGAAGTCAGGACCCGCTTTCTTTTCTTGCTCTTCTTTACTCCTTAGCACATAGCACTGGTACACCTCAATTTATAGAACAGACACCTTCCTGAAAAACTGCATGTAAATGCAATTTTTGACAGGTGGAATTTTGTAGCTCATAGATTTACATTGTTTAGAGTCAGTCGAAATGAAGCTGAAAACACAATCATATTCCCTGTACTTACTGGTGTAGGAACCTGAGCACACAGCTCCTTTCGTAAAGTGAGAAATTCTCCAGCGGAGCGTGTAGCCGTACCCTGGTTTACCTGTTCAAGGAGTCCTATGCTGAAGACCACATCTTATGGGCATCGGTGTGCAGTAGGCGCTCAGTCACACCACGCTCATCACTGAGATGTGGAAGGAAAGGGGTTGGTCGGGCCCTTTGCTCTCCTGTGCTGGTGGCCAAGCCCAGGGCTTGGGTTGTAAAACCACAGGCCTGACTGCTTCTCCTTGAATTGTCCTGAACCTTGACCCTTAGCGCCCTCAGGTCGTTGTGTTGTTTGGATTGGTGATTTCATTAGGATTTCTCACCCTTTTCATTTATTTCATTTAGGCCCGAGGCAGAACTTCTGGGAGCTAGCTGATCATCTGTCTTTTAATTTTCCTTTAGGGAGAAGAACTCCACTGGGCTCCATTTCTCCCTCTCATTGCTTGCTGGCACTGGCTCCATGGCCTCTTTGTTGTGTTTTTGTTTTGTGTTTTGTTACCGTCCCCTCTGGCACCAGATCAAGGGGCAGGGAGGGAAACTGGGACGTTTTGGAGGAGGGTTGCCAAAGAGTTGTTGCAGGAAAGAGGCATGGTCAGAAGACCAGTTCAGCAGCTGAGCAGCGACAGGAGCACTTCCAGTTCCTCCAGGGCCTGAGCTCAGAGCGGGGAGGACCATGAGGGGCCGCGGTATGGCGGCGGTGGGGTAGGGAAAGAGCCAGGAGAATGAAGGAAGAGCAGCAGCTTATTTAATTTGGAAAAACAAGGGAAAAGCTCCAGTCCACATACATCTCTTCTTTCTTCCCCTTCCCTGATGCTCATGAATAGCACGTGGAAGGGTTGAGTGTTTCTGCCCCACAGTGTGGCTTCTGCCGGGAGTGGGGGCACACATTCCAGGCTTCTGTGCTGCCTGGGTAGCTCCTTCTCCTGGCCTTTCAGGTCCAGGATTACAGACTCAAACTGTATTCACTGTGGGGGCAGGGTGGGGGGTTCTCCCCTTTTTTTCTCCCATGTCCTAGTCATTTGGTCGCTGCAAAATGATTACAACATGCAGGAGATCTCTTGCCACCTGAACCATTTTTAAATCCTCTCCTGAGTACTAAGCCCAGTTCTTTCCAAATTATTTCCAGCAACTTTCGCCTCATGTGTAGGTTTCTCTGGATTAATCCCCAGTACAATCTTTTCCATCCTCAAAAGTCACAGACATTTTAGTTTTTCTGATTTCATGTCCCACCTTAGGTCAGATCTTTGAGGGGTGGGAGGGTAGGAGGTAAGGAACCACTCCTCATGCAGGATATTAGATTGAGAAACAGAAACCTACAAAAATTCAGCTCCACTTATTTTTAAACTGATGATCATGTCTGAATTAGATCAGAGCAAAAGCAAAGATTAAGGAAAAAGGCCTAGTACAAACTATAGCAAACACAGTGGACCAGTGCTGAACTTTGCTAGCTGTTCTGGGACGCTACAGCTAGGCAGGCTTACGTTAGTGCATAGTCATTCTCTTTTTTTTTTTTTTTTTTTTTTTTTTTGGAGAAATGGAGTCTCTGTCGCCCAAGCTGGAGTGCAGTGGTGCAATCTCAGCTCACTGCAACTTCCACCTCCTGGGTTTAAGCAGTTCTCCTGCCTCAGCCTCGCGAGTAACTGGGACTACAGGTGTGCGTCACGACACCCGGCTAATTGGTGTATTTTTTAGTAGAGACCCTGTTGGGCACGGTGCTCTCAAACTCCTGACTTCAGGTGATCTGCCCGCCTCGTCCTCCCAAAGTGCTGGGATTACAGGTGTGAGCCATTGCGCCTGGCTAGCATAGTCATTCTTAAGGGCATGTTCAGACCAAGTTCCTCTGGCTATTCTTGGAGCGGAGATGTCCTGGCAACTTCATTTCTCTGTCGTCTCTTACAAAACCCCCTTTCTCCAAGTTCTCTTAAAAATGCATCTTTGACTTATATTCTCTCCTGCCTGAGGGGCCTGCCGTTGTCCTCTGTTCCTGGACTTTCACCTCATCCTGCCGTCTAGACCTGGCATCTGTTTTGGTCAGTGCTCTGGATGTTCTTTAAGCAGCACATTCTTGCTGAGCAGAACACGGTGTTCAGCCAGGTTCCATAGCTCCCGTCATCCCCACCGTTGCTACCCAGGCCCTTGGTTGTCCTGCACTCCCGCTAACCCCCAGACTTTCTTAGAATCAAAACTTCCTCCAGTTGGATCACTGGGCTTCTATTCCATAACTCCTTCATTTCCTCTTGCCAAGAATGTTCTTTAGCAATCCGAAGTTATATTTGTTATTAAATATAAGACTTAAAAAAGGCTTGTATTTTTCCCCTGAAATCAGCTTTAATGAATTATGACAAAACTTAACTCATATTGCTAAACATTATATGTAATGGGTGTGCTCTTTCAACTTAGGGAAAAATGGATCCAGAACTGTTGGCAGCCTTTACACGTCTTTCATCGGCCTTTTTCTTTGTGGACCAAAAGAAAGGGCCAAACTTAGCCAAAACCATTGGCCGCTGATACTCTTGTGAAGACTGTGTTTTATTACCACTGCAAGAGTTGGGGGTTGGCCAAAATGATACCCAGACATTTCAGATCTTAATCACAGGTGCTGAAAACAGAGATGTGTTTGATTCTAGACCATTACAAGTGGGAGTTAATTACCACATTTCAATGAACTCTCCGTGTGCCCTCCTGCCATAGCAATTAGCAAGAGAGTGGCCGCTTGTGTGCTTGATGGTGTTTTATGACCATGGATTATATAGGAATTAGGAATGGCTTCGGGAAGCATTTGGTCCTCACAGTTATCCAATACCAGCATGGCCCAACCCCAGATATGTCAAAGCCACAACTGTTGCGTTTGGCAGGCATTCTACAAAATGTACTTGGTCAATACTAAATAGTTTCATTTAGCAGACCAGTTTATTCAAGTGCCTGACAGGAGTTTCCTGGATTCTCACCTCTCCTGAGAGGCCTTCAAGAGCATCGCTGAAGGTTTATCTACAGCTAGGGTAGGTTATGAGTAATGTCTTTTATGAAACTTTGCAAACCAACTGTCGTTCTGTTCAATTCCCAGAGGCAGATTTTTAGGGTTGCTGTGTCCAATACAGTAGCCACTAGCCACCTGTGGCTATTTCAGCTTAATTTAGTTACCATCAAATAAAATTTAAACATCAGTTCCTCAGTGACACACTAGCCAGTTTCAAGAGTACAGTGGTCACTCTTGTCACAGTGGTTATTGTATCAGACGATACAGAACATGTTAATCATCATAGAAAGTTCTGGACAGTGGTGCTCTAGAGTCTCAACATGTCACGTGTTCAGGGGATCACTGGATCTAAAGCCATTCCTTATGGGAAATGTTGGCTTTCTTGAAAATACACCAGAGACCAGAGAAGGTCACCATGTGGAGAAGAGGCAGCCTTCACTCTGCCAAGAATGCTGGCCAGGCTTCTCTGTTTTATATCTCATCACAATGAGGGCCATTCTGGCCCTCCAAAATATGGATACCAACCTTTACGCACTGTCAGAAATGGGCCACAATTCAAAGTGTTCTCTGCTGTTTCTGATGAACTGCCGTTCTCCAGCTCTTCCCTGAAATGGCAAGGAAAAGTGATGTTCCCTCAAGATCTGCCAAGGGAGATACTCCCTCTCTCTGGTAATCGTCGCTGTCTCCTTCCATCAGGTTAGACTACCAGGGAAGTACCTACCTGAATAGCATTAGCGTATCTTCCTCACTAGAATTATCTTTGATAGATCATACTTTAATGTTTATACCTTGGGCTTATTGATAATTTTAAAAAATCAATATGAAGATAAACTTGCATGTGCTGTGAAAGTCATTCATTACTAAAGATGTAGACCATTCAGGTAAAGCACTGCATAATACTCAGGATGTGCTGGTCTCTCTGGAAGAACCGTGGGACCTCCTTCCAATGGAGAATGCAAATGATGTGACCCACTGTTTTACATTTTGCCCCATCTGCCCAGAACTCCAGAGTTCAACTCAGCACTCATTTATATTGACTTGATTAGCCATGGTGGTTAGAAATTGGCTTTCTCTCCCTTAACCAGGTGTTTGATTTTCTGTTTTAGTTTTAATAACCTTATTGTGTATATCTTTTAATTTAATTCTCCTTAAATTGTTTTCTGAAAGAGGCGAAGTATAAACAAATGAATACAAATTTTATTTTCAGGTCCCCACATTTGATATTTTCTGTTTTGAGGTAGTCTCTATGCAAGCCCCAACCCCAGGCCCTGGCATAAATGACAGGAGGGCCCAGGGACCTCCTGGCAGTCTCATTTTTCTTTCATACCCTCCTGAGTATCTAGCACACTGCTAAACATATGCTGCTTAGAGTGATGTAAGGTAGAGAAACACTGTGCCCCGCGTGGGAAGGCATTACAGAATAAACTTAGGAAAGAGGGTCACCTCTCAGATTTAGTCAGATGACAAAGGCAGCACTGGCTTCCCTGGGGTGTAGAGATAGGAAAGAATTTGAATAATTATCATCATTATCATCACCACATTCATTAAACCCCATCTGCACATGGCACTGTGTAAGTCCCCATAGGTTTTTTTCTCTGCCAGTGAGAGAGAATTTTGTCCAGCAGGGAGGCGAATCCTGAGCTCTCCCCAGCTCACCAGTTTCCTCCTCGGGCTGTTCCACTCCACAGCCAGCAGCCTGGCTCATCACTGAGGTTGAGTCCATTGCCTCCTATGTTCTTGGGAGATCTCTGTGGTCCTTGGCTTATAATCATCTTTCACGTTCTAGGACTCTGGACTTTCCCTTTACAGCACTCACCACAGTAGCAATTAAGAACATTGATGCATAATGAATTAGAGATTCTCTTGTAGTACATTTTATCCAACTAGGGGGTCATCTCTGTTCTCTGCACCCCCATATCTCTAGAACCCCCCATTATGTGTGGTATGTAGCCAAGTGCTTGATGCATATTCTTAGCAGTAAATAGCAGGAATGAATGAATGAGTGTGTATCCAATTTGACTTTAGAGTTATTTCCCGACTTACAGCCGTTGAAGTTGCTGTTTCCTCCACGTGTTCAACCTTTGGGATTCACACAATACTTGACAGTCACAGCTCTGCCATGGGGGACATCATTACACAAAGCACTCCTCACCAGTAGTCAGATGGCACTTGATAGCTACAGGCATGTGAATATTCTTTTACTGTCAACTTTTGTTGTGATTTCACCTAAAATGTGATAAGCTCCTTGAGGATAAAGGCTAAGTCTTACTTCTTCGTATTTCTGGTAACCGCTTGTACCAAACACCTGCCAAGCATTGTTGATTGCACCTATGAGGAGGTGAGAAAGTGCCAGGCCGTCATGCCCCTCTATACAAACATGTAACAGTAGACTCTGGTTCATCAGGAGTAAATGACATGATATGTGATAGACCACGTACATTCGTGGCTATAGATAGGTGAGTAACTGTAACCATATCCAATTGTGAGCAAAAGTGTTTTAATTGGTGGTTTTAAACTAATATAAAATTGGCTAAATCATCATTTTTCAGCTTTCGAATCATCTGAAGACCTTTTTTTATTTTTTAATATTTAGTCTTGTTTTATTTATTTATTTTTGAGATGGAATCTTGCTCTGTCACCTAGGCTGGAGTGCAGTGATGCAATCTCAGCTCACTGCAACCTTCACCTCCCAGGTTCAAGCGATTCTCTTGTCTCAGCCTCCTGAGTAGCTGGGACTATAGGCACACACTACCACACCCAGCTAATTTTTGTATTTTTAGTAGAGATGGGGTTTCACCATATTGGTCAGGCTGGTCTCGAACTCCTGACATCAGGTGATCCACCTGCCTCGGCCTCCCAAAGTGCTGGGATTACAGGCGTGAGCCACCATGCCTGCTCTGAAGATCTTTTTTAAAGAACTGATAGATGTCCAGGTATGGTGGCTCACACCTGTGATCCCAGCAACTCGGGAGGCCAAGGTGGGAGGATTGCTTGAGCCTAAAAGTTTGCATCCAGCCTGGGCAACATAGCAAGACCTTGTTTCTAAAAAAAAAAAAAAAAAAAAAAAAAATTATGTAAAAACTTTTTTTTTTCTTTTAAGTACTGGTAGGACTGGATCCTACCACAGGAAAAAAATAATAATCTCTAGGGCTAGGTACCAGACAATGAAATATATTTTTTAAATAACTCACTTTTTAAAAAATTTCCACTTTTATTTTAGATTTAGGGGCTACATGTGCAGGTTTGTTACATGGGTATATTTTGTGATGCTGAGGTTTGGAGTATGAATGATCTCATCAGCCAGGTACTGAGCGCAGTACCCAATAGTTTTTCAACCCTTCCCCTCATCCTTCCCTCTCGCCTCTCATAGACCCCAATGTCTATTGTTGCCATTTTTATGTCCATGTCTACCCAGTGGTTAGCCCCCACTTACAAATGACAGCATTCAGTATTTGGTTTTCTCTTCCTGCGTTAATTCACTTAAGATAATGGCCTCCAGCTGCACTCGTGTTGCTGCAAAGGACGTGATTTTGTTGCTTTTTCTGGCTGCATAGTATTCCATCGTGTATATGTATTACACTGTCTTTATCCAGTCCACCGTTGATGGGCACCTAGGTTGATTCTGTGTCTTCACTCTTGTGAATAGTGCTGTGATGAACAGCTGAGTGCAGGTGTCCTTTATGGTAGACCATTTATTTTCTTTTGGATATATACCCAGTAATGGGATTTCTGGGTCAAATGGTAATTCTGTTTTAAGTTCTTTGAAAAACCTGCAAACTGCTTTCCATAGGCACTGAACTAATTTACCTTCCCACCAGCAGTGTATAAGCATTCCCTTTTCTCTACAGCCTTGCCAGCATCTGTTGTTTTTACTTTTAATAATAGCCATTCTGACTGGTGTGAGATGATAGCGTATTGTGATTTTGATTTGAATTTCTCTGTTGACTAGTGATGTTGAGCATTTTTTCATGTGTTGTATGTCTTCTTTTGAAAAGTGTCTGTGTGTTTTACCCATTTTTAATGGGGTTATTTGTTTTGTGCTTGTTCAGTTGTTTGAGTTCCTTATAGATTCTGGATATTAGACCTTTATCAGATGCATAATTTGCAAATGTTTTCTCCCATTCTGTGGATTGCCTCTTTTCTCTGTTGATAGCTTCTTTTGCTGTGGAGCTCAGATGTTTTTAATGTGCAAACATAGTTGAGAACTACTAACCCAGTCTTCGGGTATTAATCAGCACCAGCTCATTATTCCATCTCTGCCAACACTCAATCACAATTTGCTCTAGTTTGGTAACTGCCCTCGTTCAGATGGAGCAGAGTTGGAATTTTACAGTGTAGGGCTGGCGCCAGTTCCTGTCATTCTCCATCCAATTCCGAGCCAAGTGTCCAGCCTTAGCAGGGATCCCACATGCAATGGAAAAAGGGATGCTTTGTTCTCAGAATGGCTTATTCATTTACTAGATGTGCATTTAGCATCTGTTATGTACACGGTGGAGGAAAAGACAGTTAATTTCTGTGCTGTGCAGTCAAGGTTGGGATAAACGTGGTCAGGATGTCATGGGAGCTTCAAAGAAAGGAAACAGGCCCCTGTGTAGAGTCATCAAAAGAGACTTTCTGAAGGTGATATTAAAACCAAGCCCTGAAAGTTGCATGGAAGCTTGCCGGGATACTCTTTCCCCGTCTTTCACCTGGCTGATGGAAGAGCATGGGCACAGGTATGGAGGTGTGCACGAAGGTGGCTCATTGATCTATAAGTAGAAATTTCTATAAATAGAAATTGTGGTTGAAGCACAGGGCACAAGTGTGGCAAAGCAATGCCTTGGAAGCCATGCGGGCAATGTTGAGAGACAGCCCAAAGAGGTAAGCAGAGGCCAGATCAAAAAAACATGTTTATTTGCCATGGTGGGACAGATTTACCATGAAGCTCTTGAAGCTTAAGCTGCAGGGCCCCTGGGGAGGGGCCACATGTTGGGCTTTGTTCCTTTTTTAATTTGCAAAACTATATATATATATACATATATATATAGTATATATATATATGTATATATATATATATGTATATGTATATATAAATTATATAAGCTTCAGGCTCTACAAAAACCTGGATCTGAAGCTTAAGGACCTTTACTTTTTCCTGAAGGTAATAGGAGTTAATGAAGAAGGGAAGAGATGTGAGTTTTAGCTAGGATTATAATTTATCATTGAAACTGAGATACTTTGAGAGTAAAAGACCATGCTATTAATAGTATACCTACATCCCTCCCCCTCCCCCCCAAAAAATCCAGTAATCAGAACTTTCCTTGGCAAAAAGCAGTGTATGAAGACTTTGATTTTAGCCCACTTGGTTGGTAATCTTAAGATGCAGTTACAGGAGGTTGAGACTGGAGCAGGGAGACCAGTTAGGATGCTGTTACATTCAAAGGAGATGATCAGGGCCAGAATTAAGACAGCATTAAAGAAACTGAAGACAAGCAGTTGGGATCCTCAGGATGGGAAAGCACGGGTAAACGGGCAGGAGACCTCTGGGCGCCATTTCTGAACCGGGCAGCTGGGTAGATAGATGGCGGTGTCTTCCCTTGGCCTGATGGAACAGGGAGGGGGTGGCAGACATTGGGGGGAAGTGGGGATTCCAGCTGAATGTAAGGATGTCGGGAAGTGCCTGTGGAAGAGCCAAGAGAGGACGAGTTTAGTAAGTACTGAGGTTCTGGTGGCAGGTTCATATCCATCGCGGGGCAGTCGGGTTTGCTGTACTGCCACAGATGCCAACCGTCTGCAGATGCCACTTGGAGATGGAAACCACCTAATGCAAGAAGAGGTCAGGTAGCAGCATGGATGGCTCAGTGCAAACCAACCCTTCTATTTAAAACACAGCTAGGCCAGGCATGGTGGCTCACGCCTGTAAGCCTAGCATTTTGGGAAACCAAGGTGGGAGGATCACCTGAGCTCAAGAGTTTGAGACCAGCTTGGCCAACAGGGTGAAACCTCGTCTCTACTAAAAATACAAAAAATTAGCCAGGCGTGGTGGCAGGCATCTGTAATCTCAGCTACTCAGGAGGCTAAGGCATGAGAATCTGCTGAACCGGGGAGGCCAAGGCTGCCGTGAGCTGAGATCGTGCCACTGCACTCCAGCCTGGGCGACAAAGCGAGACTCCATCTCAAAAAAAGGGAAGAAAAAAAAAAAGCCCACAGCTAAAAGCCAGCCCTTCTGTGGTCATAGCAGCCAACATACATGGTAGGGCCTGAATCCATCCCCTTGCCACCTCCCTTAGCAGCCTGAATAGAGGCAGGCGCGTCTCAGATCATGGCAGCTGGTGACTGACGGAGCCCCTGATTCTCTGAGCTGACCATATAAGCTGACCCTGGATTTACTTAAAGTTAATTTTCATCATCATCAGCCTCGCTGTCTCACCAGCCCCACCTAATTCTAAATTTACCTAAGGTTCTTTTTTTTTTTCTTTTTTAAAAGCTTTAGGTCTATATTTTGGACAGAAGATGGTCTTTTAGCTCCTGATCTCATACTTAAATAAAAATGCTCTCATATTCTCCTTGATATATTTGCCTATTGGATTTGTTTAATGAAATATGGATTTATACCATAAATATTGGAGTCGTGTAGTCCATATTTCAATTAATGGATCATTTATATGTCATGCTAACTTTGTAATTACTGAAATGTAGGAATAGAGTGGATTGAAATGAATTTCTGTTCATCTTTCCATTCCTGCCCCCATCCAGGCATGTCTGAGCAGCTTGGATCGCAAAAGGGCAAGATTTACACATGGGGTTTGCAGAGGAAAGGGGTAGGGGGCTCGGAAAGGCGGCCTCCTCTGCGTGTGCCAGGAGAGCTCTATATTGCAGTGTGCTTTCTGGGTTCACCTAGGCAGCGTTACACAGCTGTCCTCAGAGGAGCGGAAAGCTGGGCTCTGGCTGGAGGGCCCGGTCATCAATATGCTGACAGGCCTTCATCATCATTTTCATCTCGGTTGTAAAGCACAGCCTATTTTCCCTCTTTGCCAAATCTCTGCTCCAAATGTACATAACTATAGATTTCTGACTGAGCCCTGCTGCCAGGAATCAACCAGAAAGCTTCACCAGACCTCTAAGACAGAGGACAAGTAAATTGTGTTCTCGGCTCCCGTGAACGGGGCCTGTCACTTTAACTGGTTTCTTCTCAGGCAGTGGGTACAGCCCAGGACACCCTTAGTGAACTTGCCACTGCCCCTGGTTTTCTTTCTCTCTCTTTCCTGCTCTTCCTCTCCTGCCTGCTGTTTGCTGACCAGAAAAATCTGGCTGGAGAGGCCCATGCAGTGAGTGAACATCACATACATAATTCTATCAGAATATATCCAAGGGTGGGGAATCATTGTTCTCGGAACTAGCTGAGCTGAAGCCCGAGCAGAAATACTAAAGTCAGTCGTGCCTTTGAGCTGCCTCTAACAGCGCCCTTTAGAGACCCATTTCATACAAAATTTGAAGCCTGTGTTTATTGCCCATTAAAGCAACCTTTATTTTATGGCAAATGTTGCAGTAATTGCCTTTTACGAAGAGCACTTTGTAACACACATGCACAGTTGAAAGAAAACCACTCTGGTATTGTCTATCGGGACTTAATGGCGCAATTAATTTTACTCCATCTGTTCCTGAGACTTTAAAGGAAAATGGATTTTTTTTTTGAGCGTACTTTAATGAAGAAGATAAAGCGGCCCGGCTGGTGTCCCACAGGCTCGGCGCAGTAAGTTCAGATTATTGCTCAGTCTGTCAGAATGGGCTGCTTCCCTCAGCAGCAGCCACAGCCAGCAACCCGCTCTGGCCCCTCGCCGCGCCATTCCTGATGACAAACTGCCAGCCAGCTCCCACAAAAGCACGATTAAAATGTCAGCACAGGATGACGAAGGGGCCAAGAGGGTCCTCAGAGACAAACTGTGTTCAGTGTGAGTTAATACTTTACAGCAGGGCTGGGGCCCGGCTTGCTGCGGGCTGGCCGGGCTGCTGGCTCGCCTTGAAGAGAACACCAGGGCAGGGGCTGGCGACTGGCGGCGGGGAAGCATGTGCACATGCGTGTCTGCACTGCTGTGTGCGTGTCGGGCATGCTGCTCTGTGCGGGAAGAGGCTCGTTTCAGAGGAAGCGTCCAATGGGCCGTTCAGGTTAGGGAGTTCCGAGACTCTCCATGATTTCTGAACCGTGGGGGACGGGGTGGTCGCAACCTAGAATGTGGGCTGGAGAGCGCTGTCCCAGTGGTGGCCCCGAGGCCACAGGTTCTGTCCCAGATGTTCTCAGCACCATTTTAGCGACAAGGGCAGCTATGAAAATGGCCCAGCTGCAGAAAGTCATTCCTCACGAAGAAATGGGTGTGCAGAGAATACAGTCAGCACCATTTATAGCCCCATGTCCCCAACCTTAGCCTTTGCACGGTTGGCTGGGCCACAGCAAGGGGCTCAGCAGCAAAATATCCTTGAATCAATACTGCTGCTTGACAGCATCTCCAGCCCCGCGCCCGTGTGTGCTAACTTGCTAGGGGGCAGGGCGCACTCTGCCGCTTTGGCTTAGTTCTCCCATGTCCCTTGATTCAGTGGTGTGACCAGAGGGGAGACTGCCTGTGGTGAAAAGGACAAGGAGATTTGCATCTCTGGCCTCCTGTGGAGACCCGATCTGCCGTCCTGGTGGGCAGCAGGTGTGAGCGCCTGCCATTGTCCCTAATGGTTATTACAAGTGATAAGCAGGACAAATGTGAAGTCATCTCTCCTGCTGGCAGGTCAGAGGGGGCTGGATTTAGAGCCCCTAGGAGACTAGGAAATTAGATGGTCAGTACCCACCGTGGAGGTTGTAGCAACTCCAGGCTCCAGAGATCCTGGACAGGGGTGATTCCAGATGTAGACTCATACTTGAAAGGCATCAAGAGCATCCATTGTTAGGACGGAGGTACAGCAGTAATTAGTGCAGAGTGCTAATAGAGGAACAGAAGGTAGGAAGGAGGCCCCAGCGAAAGGCAGCCGGGGGATTCGGTTTCCTCTAGGTCCAGAACCGTGGGCTGAGATTTCACAAAGGAGAAGTGAGGGAAGCCCTGCTGGTTTCTCATTAAGCCCCTTGGCCTTTGCTCATTCTTCGTGGGCTCCAATGGAGGGTGGACCCTGTGGCTTCTTCACTTTGCTCTCTGACCTCTTCAGCCCCTTCTCTGCTCTCTTCTCTGCTTGTCCTAGGACTGCTGTCTGCAGGCACAGATGCCCCCCGTTGAGCCACGCAGGTTTCTGTGAATCTGAGGTTCTAACTCCCTGCTGCCACTCTCTGGCTCCCACGTCTTCCCTGCCTGACACTCCCCTCCCTTCCATCCATCACCCTCCTCTCTCCTAAGAGTGCTCTCTGAATCTTATTGCCTTTTTATGTCTCTCTTGGGTTCTTCCTCCTGCCCTCTCCCTGAGCATGGTTTTCCTTTTTTGGAGCATCCCACAGCTCATGCCATTAATGGAGTCATAATAGCCACGGTTGGCTTTTCCCGAGCAAACAGACTTCTGTGGGCTGCAGAGGACACAGACCCCCACTGGTGGCTCGAAACACCCCTCCTGCAGGCAGTTCACAGGCTGGACCTTTAAGGTTCCCACCAGCCAGGCCACACATTGGTTCCTCCATATTTGTACAAAAAGATGTGAGCCAGGAGCAGTAGGCAAAGCCCTCTACCTTGGGGGGAAAAAAAAAAGTTGGTCTGGAGGATAATGGAAATTCGCATGGGGCGAGGGCTCTGAGAGCAGCATCCATGCCCCATGGGGTAGAGGGCAAGACAGTGACTGTCCGGGGGCCTTTTCAGGGTCGCTTGGTGAAACACACCCTATATGAATGTGTTGGGAGAACCTAAAGCAGAAGGGAGAGACATAGAGCAAAATCAGAGCGAGGGTCCCCCCACCTCTTCACTCTGGCTCTGGGAAGAGACTGCTGGAGGATTCTCCACAGCACAGCTCACTCACCCATCCATTTGCTCACCAAGTACTTACTAAGCTTCTCTCCAGGTAGCTAAAGACACAGAACATGGGCCAGGTGCAGTGGCTCACGCCTGTAAGCCCAGCACTTTGGGAAGCCGAGGTAGGTGGTGAAGTCAGGAGTTCGAGACCAGCCTGGCCAACATGGTGAAACCTGTCTCTACTAAAAATACAAAAATTATCCGGGTGTGGTGGTGGTCATCTGTAATCCCAGCTGCTCGGGAGGCTGAGGCAGGAGAATCACTTGAACCCTGGAGGCGGAGGTTGCAGTGAGCTGAGATCCCACCACTGCACTCTAGCCTGGGCCACAGAGCAAGACTCCGTCTCAAAAAAAAAAAAAAAAAAAGGACAGAACACATGGAATGCCTGATCCTTGATTGGGCCGTAGGTCTAGATTTTTTAAAAGCTTGTATATAGGATATTTGAGGGGACAGCTGGGGAAATTTGAATGTGAACCGTCTATTAAATAATGCCTCAATTGAAATTTCTGGGTGTGGTAATGTTCTTACTCTAGGAAATAATACACTTTCCTAAATTTTAAGATGGTTTAGGAAAAAGAAATACACAAAGAAACACACATTCACAGATAAATGTGGAGAAATGTTCATCATTGTCGGATGCTGGTGAAGGGTGATGGCTGTGTCAGGATTATTCTAGGTACTAGATCCATATCATCAGCATTGATTCTGGGTACTAGATGTATATCATCAGTGCTGATTCTAGGTACTAGATCCATATCATCAGTGCTGATTCTAGGTACTAGATCCATATCATCAGTGCTGATTCTAGGTACGAGAAACATCAGTGAACAAAACCAGCAAAAGGTCCCTGCCCTTGTGGTGCTCACCTTCTAGTGGTGAGAAGAGACAAGGAGAATTAATGAGTAAAATGGGATCTGTTGGAAGGGGGTTGGGAGTGCTGGAGTGGGAAGGCGCCATTTGAAATAGGAGGACAGGAGGCATCTCCCTGTGAAAGGGGCGTGTGAGCCAAGACTTAAAGGGAACAGGAGGCTGTGCGCTGCAGAGCACTCCAGGCAGAGGGAGAAGCCAGCACAAAGAACCTGGGTATAGTGTGCCTGGGGCTTTTATCCAGAATGTCGAGTGTCCTGTGAATTCCACTTTCCAGCGATCCACCTTTCATCCCCCATTTGCTGTTCGGCGGGCCTAGCCTTGGAAATGACCTTGCATGCTTGAGGACACCCTTTGGATTTAAGCTGCACGGGCTGGACCTGTGGCAGCCCTCTAGAGTGCATGCATTCAGAGCTGTTGGCCTGGCTCCGTCACCTTTGTGATTCGGTACATCATTCTCTCCACACACAAGATCTTTCCTGCCCCAGTGTCAAGGGCGATAACCACGATGAGGAGAAAGCACGAGGCTAGGAATAAGACCATGTGCATATGGACCCACATCCTCCATCCCATCTGATTCAGCGGGGTGACCTCAGCCAACCACTTGGCTTTTCTTAGCCTCAGCGTTCCTCCTCTGTAAAATGGGAGTAGGTGCAACTTCCTCCCAGAAAGGTTAAGAAGATGAGATGAAAGTGAGCAAAGGCAGATTGTGAGCTGCACATTGCGGAAACTGTTAGCTCTCTAGACATTCTTGGTCTCTGAGCAGCTTAGTGTTGGGGGCTGGGGTTAGCAGACATGGTCCTTGGTTGCTGGTCTCCTGCTGAGTAACCGGAGCCTTGAAGTGAGTCACAGAGCCTTATACCCCTTCACCATCTGTAAAGAGGGAGTCACCACTTAGTGACGTCTGCTGTGTCATCCACCTCTGAGAGTGGGATTCCAAGAACCAGAGTACCGAGTGCCTTATGAATTCCACTCTGCGAAAAAATTAATAGTACCTTGGGGTCTTTCATGCCACGTTAGAGGTTGGCTTCTGCTGCAGGCTAGCCAGGCATTGCTCGACAGGGCATCTTGTTTGAGCTCCTCTTCATGTCTGAACCACAAAGGCACAAGCCCTTTCAAGGACATGACATTCAGATGTGCCTCTCCTGTGTGTCCTCTCAACTTTGTGACTTACCCCCTTGGCTGCCAGTGAGGCCTTCTGAACATTGTGAAGGCAGAGAGGGCTTTATAGCAATCAGGCTACTCTTTGGAAATTGTGCTGCCTTTTAGTGGAGATAGGTTAGCTCCTGCAAATCCTCGAGGCCATGGTGAGCAGCCAGCCCCTCCCCACAGCCCGTCCCAGGCCTTGAAGGGCTTCATCTGAGGACCCGAAGGCCTGGGTTCCTAAGCTCTCCCTGAGCACCATTTGGGCAAGTCATACACAGAGAGGGAGAGGAAACGAGTTTTAGGAGTTCTTAGCTGGGTTGTTCCCATCTCTAGGTGGCCTGGCAGTGGGAAGGAGAGAGGTGAGAAGAGCATTGTTTATCAGGTACTGTCAGAGGACTATTCCTGGAAAACACTGCTGAATCTTCTAGAAGGGGTGATTTGTGTTCTTTCCATATTGGCAGGTTTTCATTTCCCTGCTTAACATGACTAAGGACTGCAGGACCTGTGCATGCTGTTAGGTAACTCTGGCCCCAAGATGGACCCTAGGAGAGACTTTGACACACAATTGATGATGTGCCAGGTGGATAGAAGTGGAAGTGCAGAGCACCCAGGCACTTTCAGCCAATTAGTCTGGAAATGACATCCAAGAGGCAGAGAGGTACTGGCTGTGCTGCCTCCATTCGTGTGTTTGCCTCTGGAGCAAAATCAGGCTGGGCTGCTCTCTGTAGGGATCATGCCAAGGATTTGGCAGCTCTCTGGAAGAAGGAGTGATTTGGCCAAGTAGATGTGGGCCTCTTATGTCTCCGGCAGGTCTTCAGACTCAAATTCTTAAGAGACCAAATGACATCTTGCCTAGGCTATCAGGCAGCACCATTGCAGAGAGGCATGGATGAAGCTGTGTCACGAGGAGTGGCCCGGGCAAGGTGTGAGATGGTGGCTTCACTTCCTTTCACAAACTCTAAGGCAGCATGTTCTCCAGGTGTGGTCCCTCACCAGCAGCATCGCCACCTGGGAACTAAATCAGAAACTCTGGGAGTGGGGCCCAGAGAGCTGTGTTGCAGCCAGTCCTCTAGGTGATGTTGGTGTGCTTTCAGAACCACTACTCTAAGCAATACCTTCATATTGACCACTATTAAGACAGATCACTTCCACTGACAGAGTAGTTGCTTATGGCAGCCATGGCAAGGTGGAAACCGTAGGTATCAGGAGACCTGCGTTCAAGTCCCCCTCTTATGGATACATTTTGTGGGACCTTAGAAAAAACACGGAACTTTTTTGAGCCAGTTTATTAATTTATAAAGTGGGAATAATCATACATCATCTCCGTGGATTTTGTGAGGATTAAGTTAAATTGATGGCCTACAAAAATACATTTTTTTTTTTTTTTGAGACAGAGTCTCACTCTGTCTCCCAGGCTGGAGTGCAGTTGTGTGATCATAGCTTACTGCAGCCTCAAACTCCTGGGCTCAAGGGATCCTCCCACCTCAGCCTCCCCAAGATCTGAGACTACAGGCATGCACTACCATGCCCAAGTAATTTTTTTTTTAAGAGATGGGGGTCTTGCTATGTTGCCCAGGCTAGTCTTGAACTCGTGGCCTCAAGTGATCCTCCCACCTTAGCCTTCCAAAGTGCTGGGATTATAGGCGTGAGCCACCACACCTGTCCAGAAAGTGCTTTTTAACTTCCAGTATTTTGCATGTAAGATGGCATTGTTATGTTTATCGAACACCTGCCAGTTTCCAGGCAAACGTGATCCTTATGTGTTATGTCAGGTAGGTTGTCTTTTTATCCCCAATTTTACACAAGATAAAACTGAGGCTCAGGCTTTAAACTTGGTAGAGCAGGACATTTAGCCTGGTTCAGCCTGATTCCATGTTGGCCTTGGAGTTTCACTGGGAGTCCATGTTCTTAACCATTATGCTTTTTAAAAGTTCTCATCCTGGCTTAACCATCATCTGTGACACTTTCAAAAATACTGAGATTGAGGCCACTGGTTTGATGTGGGGCTCGGCCACTGAGTTTCTTTAAAACCTTCCTGGATGTTTGGAATATGTAGATAGGGTTGAAACCATAGTACGTTGCGTATATACCACCACCCTTCCATCTCAGAACAGATGCTGCAAATCCAGAGTTACATAAATTCAAAGTAAGGGACACAGAGCTTTAGCAAACCATGGGCAGTCAATAAGTGCTTATTAGATTTGTGAATTAAGAAGTTTTAAAATAGCATTCACTGCAATTTTAATAAATCAGATAACAGGTGTTCATTTTGGGCAAGTCGAAGAGTCCAGGAAACTGGAGGAATATAATGTTACCCACAATTTGAGAACCCCTTTTTGTGAGGCCTCAGGAGGTAGGAAGAGGTAGGCGTTGTTCTTCCCACATTAGAGCAAGAAAAGCAGCCCCAGGAAGGCTCAGCGATTTCCCTAAGTAGGGGTATTTTGGGGGTTGGTTTTTATAGATGGTGGGCAAGGGGATAATAGTGTAAATTTTGTACTTTGAGCTTTTGGGTAAATAGGCAGATTCTGAAACCATTGTGTTGTATCTACTGATTACTATAAAGGCACAGATCCAGGCTCTTTGTTAACTCCCTGGCAGACTGAGTGCTTCCAAGTGCAATTTCCCTCCCCTCCTTTCTTTAGAAATTACCTCGAGCTGCAAAGTGAGTTGGGCTCAGGTTGGCATGCAGGCATTTTCCATTCCAAGGGACAGGAAGTGGCTGTGAATCTTGTAACCTGTATTCCTTCTTTGAGAGTCTATAGAGTTGGAAATAAAGACACAGAAGTCTCCTGAGTGCCCTGGCAGTGCTTCCCTGGATGAAGGGTTTGGGGAGAACTTCTAGAGAGCCAGACTTTCATTACCGAAACTCCCCATCTTTCTCCCCAAACCCAAAGTAGCAGTGAGACCTGCTGATCACCTTCATGTAAAAGAATAGTAATAATCCCCCCGAATCCTGTCCAAACCACAGAACCCTGCAGGTTTTGGACGAGTCCCGCCATAAAACCACTTTCCCATGACTTCCCGAACAGTAAACCCCAGCTTGGGTACCAGGGAATGGCGCTTTCAGTTTTTAATGGACTGCAGCTGAAGCAAGTTCAAAAGTGCGAGGATTGTAAACTTGAGAGCAACTCTGCAGATGCCGCACACCGTGGCAGAATGATTCAGGGGGCCAAACTTTGCCTCATCAAGTCAGAGAATTTTCTGCAAATGAACTTTTCAAGAATTATGCCGTCGTTGGCATTACAGTATTACACACATGCCTGTTCCCGATCACTCACTGGAACTTATTTTGTAGTTAACCTCCATAAAGGACTGTGCGAGCGAGCACAGGCCTGTCACACACACATTATTTAGAAGCCCTTATTATTATTTTATTGCCAGTCCTTGACAGCTGAGGAAAAGCCAAGCGCTTTAATCTTTTTTTCCCTTTAGTTTACAGTGTAAGAGCTGCATGTAAGATGGATTTGATTAATATGTAACAGAGATGCAATTCTCTGTAAAATGTGCTGTACTTTAGCACCCTGGAAAACAAACTGCATCACAATGGCTTAAATCTCGGTCCATTGTATTATATAGACATCATAAATAATAGAGAGCAGGCAGATATTGCTGCAGGCTTCATCTGCATAACACATCTGAGCTCTCTATAATGTGTTCAACTTGTCACTTTTAGTACAGAAGAGAGGTAATAAAGCTAACAGCTGACTAACACACATCAGCCCTACTTCTACTTCCAGGGGGGTGAATGCTCATTAAGCCATCTTAGCCCTGACTTTTAAAATCCATAACTCTTACAAATGTAAAAAAGTTGCCGCAAAAGATTAAGCGCATAATATATGTCAAAGTATAATGTTTTATGCATCTCCCCCAACTACCACTCCCCGCTGCCGCCGCCACCACCACACCAAAAGTCTGGTTTCTTTTATAGCCTTCTCACTAGACGAAAGAAAATAAAAAATCTGGTTCTCAGATAAAACCAAATGAAATATTATTTTCCCAGCATCACTAAGGGACTAGGTAATTGCTTTTGAGTTTGAAGCACATGAGCTGACCCCAAGAAGGTTGAAGATTGAAACCTTTCCCCCTCTCCTCTAAGACCAGCTCAAAGGAAACAGGGAGCTTGGGCCCAGGAGTTTGAGACCAGCCTGGGCAACATAGGAACACCCTATCTTTACCCACCAATAAATAAGCCAGGCAGGTGTGTGGTGCGTGCCTGTGGTCTCAGCTACTGGGGGGGTGGTGAGGCAGGAGGATTGCTTAACCTGGGAGGTTGAGGCTGCAGTGAGCTATGATTACACCACCGCACTCCAGCCTGGGTGATAGAGCGAGACCCTGTCTCAAAAAAAAAAAAAAAAAAAATAGGGAATCAGTCATCCCCACTGGGACCTTGCAGACAGGCCACTAGATCAGTCTTAGCTGCCTTAAGCACGCCCTTACATTTACTTGCCTCAGTTTCCCTATTGGAAACCAGAAGGGAGTAAACCCCTCCATTTTCTTTCTGAGGGGACTATAAGGCCGAGTTCAGCACTGCTTGTCATTTACTTGCCTCAGTTTCCCTATCAGAAGTCAGAAGAGAGGAAACCCCTCCATTCCCTCTCTGAGAGGACTACAAGGCTGAGTTCAGCACTGCTTGTGCAATCACAGTTGACAGAGGTTTCAGAGTCTCTGTTGTGCTCTTCTGATTAGCAGTCTTGTGTTTTAGAGGAAAATTTGAAAACATTACGGTATGTCATTTTCTGTAATGATGGCTGAGCCTTTTTAGGGATTAAGGCTGTCAGGCAGAAAAGAGAAAAGGATGTTTATACTCTTAACTCAGAGCAGATTTAATCCTATGGGATGCATTTTGGTGGGCTAGGGGAGCATTGTGGTCTCTTTCTCGGGGAGGCTGTGATGTATACAGTACACGGATGTGCATGTCTCATGACATTCATCTCTTTCGAAAATATACTTTAGAACATTTCTCTTGGAGCTCCTAAGAAAAATAAATGGTTGGTGGTGGCCCGGATGGTAGGAAGACAGGTTAGGATGAAACAGGAAATTTTTCTTAGTAGTTATAAATCTCTCAAGGGGAAAAGTTAGAGCCCCAACACTTGACTCATTTAGAACAAGTTGAACCAACCTCTGAAAAATAAACTCACAGGGGGAAAAAAAAAAAAAAAAAAAAACCATAAAAAATCCTGCATGAGGTCAGGGGACTGGCATGCTAGGCTAATAGAAACTGGAAGTCAGCGCAGACATCCCAGGATGCACTAGAATAACATACTGTTTACTTCTGTGATTAGCTCAGAACTAATGGTGTGTGTGTGTGTGTGTGTGTAAGTGTGTAAGAGACCAACTGAGACACAGGGGCTTTCATTGATACCAGTGGTGCTTGTGGGCGGGGATTGAAAGACGGCTTGGTTCCCTTGGCTAGGAGTGTGGGCCTAGAACAGTAACACACTTTTCCACTGGTCACAATGACAGTTTGTTTTTGGAGAAAGCCATCATTAAACTGTGATGTGGGCCGTAGCACTGCTACCTCAGAATTCTGTTGCTGTCCACCAGGCAGGCCCTGAAAGCTCAGCTTTCCGTTGCTAGAGCCCACGCCGTCATCCCTTCTTGCCCATATTCCTGCAGCAGCTTCCAGTCTCATCTCCCAGCCTCCCGGGCTTCTGATCTCCCCCGTTCCACATGGCAGCCAGTGTGGCCACATCATTTCTCACCTCCCAGGCCTGCCATTCAAAGTCATCCACAGTTGCTTCTTTTTCTCTCTCATTGGTCTAATCCCTCACCCAGCTTCCAGCCACACTAGTCCACCCGGCTCCAGCCATGCTGGTCCATTAGATGTTTCTAGTTATGCTCAGTACTTTCCCATCTGCATTCAAGCTGTTCCTCTGGCTCAGAACACTCTTTATCTTTGTAAATTGAAGTCCTATTCCCATCTTTGAAGAGTCACCATGAACCCTACCCTTCAGGAAGACTCACTAGACCCCTACTTGAAATAGGTCTTTCGCCAGGCGCGGTGGCTCATGCCTGTAATCCCAGCACTTTGGGAGGCCAAGGCAGGCGGATCACAAGGTCAGGAGATCAAGACCATCCTGGCTAACACGGTGAAACCCCATCTCTACTAAAAATACAAAAAAAAAATAGCCGGGCATGGCGGTCAGCACCTGTAGTCCCAGCTACTCGGGAGACTGAGGCAGGAGAATGGCGTGAACCCGGGAGGCAGAGCTTGCAGTGAGCGGAGATCGCACCACTGCACTCCAGCCTGGGCAACAGAGCGAGACTCCATCTCAAAAAAAAGAAAAAAGAAATAGGTCTTTCATAAATCTGTGAGCTCACCAGTTAACTAAGTTAACTAAGGTAATCAGGTTCCTTAGTTCAGAACACACTGTCATCCTGGATCCATGGGAGGCCGCCCTTAGTTTTCCCCACTATCCTGGCCTGCTCCCCAATTCTCAGACACCCAGCCTCATGTGCCTGATATGTAACCTTGTCAAGTAGATAGTGTTCTTCTGTGTGGGTGTTTTGTTTACATAAGTGATGATATGCTATAAATCTTAGTTCTGTTTCTTGTCACTCCACATAACATTTTTAGAATCTGGCCTTGCTGGTGGTTGCACATGTGTTTGTTGCTTCTCAATAATACCGAATATTCTATAGTGCACATTCCCCTAGTATCAGATAGCTAAGGTTGCCCTCAACTTCTCCCATGAAATTAGCACCACAATCAAGCACACACTGTCACCATAACCATCCTTGTAATGTGTCTATTTATGGAATTCTGCAATCTACCTGCGGTGCATGTAAGTTCTAATTTCCAGATGTCCTTGCCCACACTTGCTGTTATTCACCTTTCTAGCTTTTGCCATCTTGATAGTATAAAGTATTATAAGGAGTTGACCATTTTTCTGAGTTTCTGATTTCTTGTTGATTTGCATTTTTGGTATAATTTAACTATGGGTCATTGGCTATTATTTTGGACACTCAAGTATCTTCTTCAAATCTGTTGCCCATTAGCTAACTGTAGTGACCTTGATGTTAAGAGATCTTTACTTTTGCTATAGTGAAACAAATACATATTTTGGCCTCACTTAATGTTCTGGGAGTATCTGGTTTAATAAGTCTTTTTCTATCCTTCGTGCACAGATATCATTTCACGTGTTCTTTTATTAGCTTCATAGTTTTATTTTTCACTTTTAGGTCTTTGTTTCACCCCATAATACTTTGTACCATTTCCTAGAGTTTGCCTTGAATTTATTTCCAATTGTGTCCTCAACCAGGTGTAAAGTCTTAGAAGAACTATGTTGCATTCTCCATCCAAGCCTCAGCTTTGCCGAGCCTTAACCTGACTGACCTACTTCCCTGTGTCCATACTGATGACATTCCTTCCCTACATTCTCAGTGGAAGACATATCACTCCTCTTGTCTCAGGTCAACTTTTTGTGCATCTGAGTATCTCCTTCCATTCCATCCTCCTCAGTGACTTCTCTTCTGTCTTCTAAGCTCTCTCGCTGTCAGCACATAAACATGCGTGTCAACTCCCCTTCTCGTGCATCTTCCTCTGGCTCCTTGTCTCTTGACCCCATTCACTTGTCATTCCTTCACAGCAACTGGCTTTGCCTCTGCCCGTTGATGGCACTGACCCATCCTCATAGAAGCTTCAGTCATTTCCACTTGCCAGGTGAAGGAGTCCCTGCATTCATCAGGCCCACCCTGAAGGGCATGTGAAATGTTACGACCACCCTTCTTGATTTTTGATTTTTTAAATGTTTTTGGTTTTGTGATATTCCCGTCTCCTCATCTTCATTTTGTCTCTCTAACAATTCTCAGATCATTTTCAGTGATTCCTCAGCCTCCACAGATTCCAAGATTATGTCCACTCTGATGGCTCTCGCCACTTTTGCATGACAATGATACTGGACTATGTCTCCATCCCAGGTCTTGCCCTTAGCTTCGGACCCATATTTTCCATAGCCAACAAGATGGCCAGGTGTCTTGTGGACACGGAACATTAAAAATGTGCCTAATCTAGGCCAGGCGTGGTGGCTCACGCCCGTAATCCCAGCACTCTGGGAGGCCGAGGTGGGCAGATCATGAAGTCAAGAGATCGAGACCATCCTGGCCAACAGGGTGAAACCCCGTCTCTACTAAAAATACAAAAATTAGCTGGGCATGGTGGTGCGTGCCTGTAATCCCAGCTACCCAGGAGGCTGCAGGAGGAGAATCGCTTGAACCTAGGAGGCTGAGGTTGCAGTGAGCTGGGATTACGCCACTGCACTCCAGTCTGGCAACAGAGCGAGACTCCGTCTAAAAAAAATAAAATAAAGTAAAAGTGTGACAAACCTAAGTTATCTTTCCTCAACCTCTGTGTCCTCTGCTGATTTTCTGATTTTTAAGTGGATCCTAAGACAGGTCTCTGGGAATTTTTCTAGACTGCCTTTTAAATCAAAGAAACAAACTTTATTATCATGTACTAATTGAATGTATCATCTCTGATCTCTCTCTTTCCCCAACCCTGTCCAAACCTGTTCCTGTATTCCCATACCCACAATTCAGCCAGTTACCAAAGCCCCACATCAGCAAGTCTCCCCAGACTCTTCCTTTGCTGAGTGCTATGTATTTTACCTCTCAAAAGACTGGCTCAGTCCATCCCTCCCTTTCCACCAAGACAGCCTCTGCTATGACGTCCTGGCTCGCCCCACCTACCATATCTGTGCTGCAGTAGACCTGGGGTACGGCCTGAGAATTTGCTTTCCTGACCAGTTCCTTGGTGATGCTGAGGCTGCTGGTCTAGACGACACTTTGGGAACTACTGCTTCCGTTGATTTTTCCCATCCATCAATTGGCTCATTCAACAAGTAGTTATTGAGTACCAGTGTCAAGTTCTGGAATTCAACAATGAAGAAAACAAGGTCATCTATTGAAAAGGTTGTGGAGGGAACAAACAAAGAATAAATTCATCTATAATGTGATGTGTAAGTGATACATGCTAACAATGGTTAGCATTTATAAATGGTTGAAGGGACGGAGGAGTGGTGATGGAGAGGGAGTCGTCAGGGAAGACTTGCTATTTAGGAAAATTTTGAGCAGATACCTAGAGGGAAGAGCATTCCAAACAGAGGGAACTGCACGTTCTTGTGCTTTAACCATCCTAAAACACAGTCCCGACTCTATCACTTCCCTCGCGGGGTCAACAGCAGCCACGTTTGACTGCCATTCTGCGCTCTCCACGAACTGTCTCCCACACCCTTTTCCACACATCGTCTCGCACCCAGACTGACCTGACTTCTCCCAGGTCTCTCTGCTGACATTTCACTTGCCTCCCCTGGGGCACTTATTTGTGCTATTCACCCCCACCCCTCCTACCTTCCAGCAAATGCCCTTCTTGTGTGTTTGCCTCATGCCAGATCCTGTAATTCATTCAACGTTTGCTTCCATTTCCACCTCCTCCATGAAGCCTTCCAGAATCATCCCCTTTGAAAGTGCCCTCTTCCTCCTCATTCCAGAAACATTTATCCCCAGAAGTGCTGCATAACCCTTGTGGCATCTCACCCTTGTATATTCCTCACCTGGCCCAACTCTGTAGTCCAGCAAATGCGTAGTAGACCTTGGGTGAAGGATGGCCCAGAAGTGTTTCTCCTGCTCCTTGACCTCTCCAAGAGGCGGGCCTCTGGTATTTCCTAAACGCTGGTGGCTTTACTGTTGAATCAGAGCAAAAGGAGAAAGGAAAGGCCATGGCCTAAAATGGAGTATTGGAATGATCTCTGGGTTTCTCTGTTTATCCCAGCTTTCTTTCTGTGCTATTACCAAGATAATTGAGTTGGAAATACTAGTAGCATTTCCTTCATCTTCCTTCAGGCTCACAAGCGTTCTTCACCCAAAGGGAGGGAGATTAATTGACTTCTTTTATCTTCCATTCAAATGAGGCTTTCATGTGAATCGCTCCCACCCTCCCGCCCCCTCAGCCCTCCCAACCTCCCCTCATTCATTAGGAGCTGGACATGAAAAGGAGAGCATCTAAAACTCTGCAGAGTCCCTGGATCTCCCCAGACCCCTCTCTTCCCTCATTCCCCGCCAAACATTTCTGACCTGGCATCACAACAGTTCACGTGAGAAGTGTCACGGTGGGGCAGAGCAGATCCAACCGGAAGCTGCACCAGCCACTGAACTCTCTCCACACCACCAGATGGTCTGGTGCTGCAGCAGCCTTTCAGAATTAATAACTCTCCCTCCAGAGGGGCAGCTTCATTCAGGAACCGTTTCACATTTTCCAGCTAAGTGTGGTTTTTTCCCATAGAGTTTTCTGGCCGCTCTGTTCTGGGCAGACCATGGGGCCTGCTCACGAAGGCAAGAGATGTATCTTGCCTTCCCTCCACCTTTCTTTGCCTTTGGCTTCTGACAGCGCAGCTTTTAATCTGGAAATTATGGTAACTTGTATGTGCATTTTGAGAGTATATCATTGCTGCATTTAATTAACGGTTATTAGTGTTAGCGTACTGTGCTGTATTCTATGTCACAAATCATCAAGTCTCCCAGAGCAGTTACAGCAATTAAGAACTCCATCACACCTTCTGTATAGTCATTTGGTACTTTTCCAGGTCTTTTCAAAACTGGAAATTACTAATCAAATCATTTCTGCTGTGTGCCTCAGTATCGTTTATTCCATTCCTAATGATGTGCGACTTTTTTTTCTTTGGCCGTTAACAGAGGCATCCGTGCGTCTAACCCATTTCACACCACCGTCATGCTTTAGCGAGGCGATAATGAACTTGCAGAAGGAAATGCAGGCTTTGGTTCTCTTTTCAGAGCAGTGTCTTTCCTCTCCTGCTGTTGGGTGATTGAATTTTGAAACTGTAAAATGCATCGACAGACCTACAAACCTGACTTGCCAGAGCCACAGCCATCACAGTTGAGCTTCAATTCAGAGCTCAGTGCGACTCCTGCCTGATCAATTTGTCATCCCTCTAAATGGAAACTAATTACTTCCCAGGGAAAGATTGCAGGCAAATATCAGCCTTTGCATCAGCAGCCCTCTGCAGTGAGGTTAAGGCAGAGTCCATGGGGTTTCACCAGAGGGGCCATTTCCCTCTCTGCCTCCGTCATGTCAGGAAGAATTTTTATTATTTAGAGCAGCAGTGAGCTTGCCGTCACATCCACTAAGGTCAGCCGTCAAGCGTGCATCTCACTTAATAGGTCACCTGGACGGTCCCAAGTCAAATGTCAGAGGCCATTCAACTGCCAGGTTGCAACAAAAACACCCTGGCAGGCTTTTGATGGTGTTTAGATGGGGATGAGCCAGCCCGCTGGAGGGGAGCCCACCGCCTCTGGCCCCCCAAGGGGATTCTCTTTTTCTTTATGCCCAAGAACACTGCCCTGGAAGCATCCCCGGAATGACTGAATCATTGCCATTTGTGCGGCATCGAACAGACTGTGCCGCTGACAGCTGTAGGCAAGATTGACTCCGATGCAGTGCCAGGAGATCTAGGCCATGCAAGGCGGCTGCTCAAGGCCCGCTCTAGTGCGAGGGCCCTGGCTCAGGGCAGCAGGGCTGGCCCAGAAGCTGGGGCCAGGACCGGGCCAGCCAGCTCAGAGGCTGTTGAACAATCTGATCAGAGGAGGGCCTTGCCAGTTCCCTACCTTTGCCCATTTTGGATGCTGTTCTGCTCTGGCCTTGCTGCTCATCATTCCAGGCTGGCTGAGCAGTTTCAAACTCAGGGCTGATCCTGCCACCTCTGTGTCTGGGCTGAGCTGCAAGGTCTTTAGCCCAGCATTGCTCAGTCTTGGACATTCTCCCAGCAGAAGTCAGACAAGACCCAGGAGAGAAGTTTGTTTTGTTCAGCAGCTGATTGGATCCGCTCACTGTTGACTTGTGTTCCATGTTGGAGAATGCGTTCTGGTCCCCCTGAGCTGATATAAAGGAGCCCAAACTCAAATCTGTGCCCATTCCACGTTTCCCCTCTACTCCAGGATGGAGAGTTTTTCCTCTCATTCTTATCCACACAGCGAAAAACACTAGACACAGTGAGAAACGCTGGACGGCTCTGGGGGCCGTGGGAGCTGGGATGAGCACTGAACTTCTCTAGGCCTCAGCCCACTTCGCTCTGCAAGCCCTGAATGTGCCTGGACAAGATGACCGGTAAAGGCCATTCCAGCTCTCTGTGCTTTGTAGCCTGAGTCCCTGTGAGGAGTGGTTTGCTTTGAAACACAATATAATCCAGAAAAAACAGCTATCTTAACTTGGCCAGCTCTGCTTTTAAGCAAGAAATAAAGTGATGGTTTCTTGAAAATGATGCTGGCCTTTATAATGCCTTCTCCCTTAATCTCCCCACAAACTGAGACAAGGCATCCTGGGTCACACCCTGGCTCGTCTCCTGTGTGATGTGTTTTCTGGGACTTGCACTTTGGTAACCAGAGGAGACTGCCAACTGGGTATCATACCTGTCTCTCAACCCCTCTTCTGCCCACCACCCTCTCTCAGCCTCCCTATTCCCTGAAGCTAGCATGCCAGGGAGGCAGGTGGCATACGTGGTACAAGGACTGCATGCGCACATTTTGGAATGAAACAGTGGCCTTTCTTTGGAACTCAGACCATCCAGTGTGCTCTGGCTAAAGACAGGATTGTAGATCTAAGAAGTCCATTGTACTGATTAGTTTCATCTCAGTTTAAGCCACTGACCTACCAAGAGTATCCATTCAGGAAATGTCACCCCATGGCCTGATGTAGTGGTAGGAGACTGGAAATAGCTGAGTGATGACGGCATGTACACTCAGCATTGCTTAGCCTTGGGCAGGTACCGAACCTTTCTTTGCCTCGGTTTCTCATTTATAACATGGGAATAATGATAGTACTTACCTCTTCAGGGTTCTGGTGAGGGTTCCATGAACTAAAACACATGAAGAGTCTAGAATTGTTCCTGTGCTGTCCTAGGCCCAGGATGAATGTGAGCTGCTGTGGTTACAGCTAGTGTCATAGTACTCCGCCCCCCTCCACCACCAGACTACCACAGTTTCCTGCATTCTGTGATGCCGTCAGCTCACTGAGTCACCTTCACCAACACCTTTCACGCCTCTGGACTTCAGCTTTCTCATCTGCAGCACGAGGGAGAGGAATGGGCTGAGGCTTGCCATGGTGCTTTCAGGGACAGGCGTGGGAGCATCTGTGGTGAGTTTGCAGTTCTGTGTTGTATATGTCTGCACCAATGAGAGTTTCATGATCTTGAATTTATACATTCATATCATGAAGCACAACCTAGTAGCATGTTTAGATGTAGAAACACGATATAAAAACAAAACAGAATTTGTTTTGGTTTTTGGTTTTTTGTTTTGTTTCGTTTTGTTTTTTGAGACAGTCTCACTTTGTCACCCAGGCTGGAGTGCAGTGGCGTAATCTTGGCTCACTGCGACCTCCGCCTCCCCCTTTCAAGCAATTCTCCTGTCTCAGCCTCCCAAGTAGCTGGGATTGCAGGCATGCACTACCACGCTCAGCTAATTTTTTTTTAAATTTTTGGTAGAGACAGGGCTTCACCATGTTGGCCAAGCTGGTCTCGAACTCCTTACCTCAAATGATCTGCCTGCCTTGGCCTCCTAAAATGCTGAGATTACAGATATGAGCCACCGCGCCCAGCCCTGGAAGGAACCTTTGTTAAGAGTTCATAGTAACAGGGTGCTAAAATGAGTTTATTAAAATAATCCCAGTAGATGAAAGATTAGGAGATCTCTTTTGAGGAAATTAGAGAGTTTAGATCTGTTTTGAAATTAGGGAATGCCTTTTCCTATTGACCTAAGTCTCTGATTATATATGTCAACCTCAGCTTACGGAAAGAAGCTGACATGTCAAAATAAGAAGAATAGGCTGGATATGGTGGCTCATGCCTGTAATCCCAGCACTTTGGAGGCTGAGGCAGGTGGATTGCTTTAGCTCAGAAGTTTGAGACCTTTAGATTAGAAGTTTGAGACCTTTAGATTAGAAGTTTGAGACCAGCCTGGGCAACATCACGAAACCCCATGGAGCATGTCTGTGGTCTCAGCTACTTGGGTGTTTGAGGTGGAAGGATTACTGGACCGCAGGAGGTGGAGGTGGCAATGAGCCAAGATCATGCCCCTGCACTCTGGCCTGGCAGAGTGAGACCCTGTCTCAAAAAAAATAAAAAAGTAAGATGAATAAACAATGGTTAATAGAAACATAAGTGGTGGGACATGGGGGTCAGGATTTAATCTCAGAGTGTCCCAGTGGTGATTTATTTTATTTATTTATTTATTTATTTATTTATTTATTTATTTATTTTTTGAGACGGAGTCTCGCACTGTCACCCGGGCTGGAGTGCAGTAGTGCGATCTTGGCTTGCTGCAGCCTCTGCCTCCTGGGTTCAAACGATTTTCTTGCCTCAGCCTCCCAAGCAGCCAGGATTACAGGTGCCCACCACCATGCCCAGCTAATTTTTTGTATTTTTAGTAGAGATGGGCCTTCACCATGTTGGCCAGGCTGGTCTTGAATTCTGGACCTCGTGATTCACCCGCCTCGGTGTCCAAAGTGCTGGGATTATAGGCGTGAGCCACCGCACCCGGCCCCAGTGGTGATTTTGTAGGTCAGCAGAGATGATCTGTGTGCCACATTTCCTTGTAGCTTAACAATGGGCCTCAATCATGTGGTGCTTGGGTTCTTAGAATGTGGACAGCCAAGACATTCCAGCCACAAGTAACAGAACAAAATGGCTTCAACCATGGCAGGGGGGCGGGTGTGAGTAGTGTTTCTAAATGGGACTGGTTAAGTATTTTGGGGCACGGATTGGCTTCTCTGCCATTCTCTTAGCTTTCTCCTCATGATTTCAAGATGGCCGCCATAGTTATCAGACACTATTTCCTCAGGAAGCCACACTCACAGACAGGAAGGAAAGGTGTTCTTCCTCACGTACCTCTTTTTATCAGGAGGAAATTCTTTTCTAGAGACCCCATAGCAAACTTCCCCTCAGGTTTCACTGGCCAGAACTGGGTTACATACCGTCTCCTAAAACAGTCACCGTCCAAGAATAATGGGATTGCCAAGGGTGGCCTGAGCCTCCTGTAACAGGGGAAGACCACCTGCCCACAGCATGGCGCCATGCAGTACCTGAACAAAACCTGGGTTCAGTGAACTTGAGGGCTCTTGCCTGGGCAACCAACAGGGTCTGTCTGGGACCTTAAAGTCACTGATTCTGACTTAGCACTTAGGAATCAGGCATGTGGTTTAATCTCTCTGAATGTCAAAGAATGTGAGCTGGTCAAGAGCAGATCTAGAACTAGAATCTCTTTTCTCTTACTGTGACTCTCATCCCCACTCAGCTTTCTTCCTGGAATTATTTTTACTTTCAAATGTGTGAAGTCAGACATACAACAATTGTGCATTTCACTTGAAACTAGTATCTCGTTGATTGCTACCAAGAATGTTGTTTAAAATTGAGAAGTACATACATTTACCTCTACATATCTCCAGTGAACTTCTGTGACCATTAACTGTCAATTTTATCAGATTCATTTTACACGCAAAGCAAACACATCTACACCCTTGTCTCAAGAAGTTTCCAGGCTAGATGAAAAAACTGTTCCTGTACCCATGACAGTTAGACATAAATTAATAGTGCCAACTAATTGATTGATGACCAGAGTTCAAATCAGGGGAAGAAAGGATCACGTTGAGGGCATGGCTGAGGCCCAAGAGAATGATTTCAATGGACAGAGAGGAAGGAGGAGGAAGTCCGAATGGGATGAAGATAATGTTGATAGTAATGATCAACATTACAGTTATGAGCACTTGCTGATATGAGTAATGATCAACTACAGTTATTGAGCACTTGCTGTTTGAGATAAAGTTCTAAGCACTTTACATGTCTTAACTTATTTCATCCTCACAAAAGCTATTATGAGATGGGATTATTGTCTTCTCATTATTTCCGCTATATAGATAAGGATCATGACATACAAAGAAGTTAAATAAGGTACCCAGTGCCCTAGAGTTAGTAAATGGTAAAGCTGGACCCAGGTAATGTGGCTTCATAGCCTGCCCCCTCTCTGGTGCTCAGCCTCATTTACTGTAGCAAACTCACGAAACTGGGAAACCCAGGGTTTTGTGAGGCGACTTCTGTACAGGTGTTCCTTAACTTACATTGGGGTTACATCCCGATAAACCCTTCATACGTGGAAAATATTTTAAGTCAAAAATGCATTTAATACACTTAACCTACTGAGCATTGTAGCTTAGCCCAGCCCCCCTTAAACACGCTCAAAACACTTACATTAGCCTACCATCGGGCAGAATCAACTAACATAAGCCTGTTTCATAATAAAGTGTTGAGGATCTCATGTAATTTATTGAATACTGTACTGAAAGTGAAAAACAAGATGGTTGTATGGGTACCTGAAGTGCAGTTTCTACTGAGTGCATATTGCTTTCATACCAGCATAAAGTCGAAAAATCGTAAGCTGAGCCATCGGAAGTTAGGGACCATCTGTATGTTGATTTAGCTGAAGGGAGGATTTATAGGCAAAATAGTGAGATAAAAGGTAGGGAAAGTTTTCACTGAATTCAGAAGTATTTGGAACTGGGGCTGGTCATCTGGATCCCAGAAAACACTGGCAAACACACGCACAGAAATGCACAGAAAAAGAATACCCCAACATTGAACACCAAAGGCCCTCAGACTTTGGCGCCTCCATTTTGAAGGTGAGGGATGTTTCTATGTGTCTGTAAGCAGTGAAGACATCACCGGATTATGATCACATCATACATTGCACACGCCGTCACGGTTGCACGTTGCTCTAATCCCATGTATATTACTGTGTCTATTTGGAAAGCTGCAAGAGCCATTTATTTATGAGTGACTAAGTGGTAGTTGACTGCCTTCAACTCCTCATGTTTTACAAAGTAGGAATCCACAGAGAATAGCAGTAACCAATACACCAAACCACCTTCATTTTGAGATGAATACTGAGAAGTCTTTCATTACTCTGCAGTATAAAGTGTTTACTAAACAGAATTAAGCCACAGCATAATACCCTGCCTTCCTTCTTCTCTATTTGATTCGTCCTACTTAACACCAGCAAAAGTACTTCTGCCATTTTTTTTTTAGGGTTAGACAATTTATGCCATTTAAAGTGTAAAAATGGAATTTACTTGGCAGTTAGAGGGAAAAGAATTGACATTATCTAGACACAAGGAGTTCATGGGTATAAAGTCTCAGATCATCATTTCTGCTAAAGATCAAGTACCTAAGTAAATGTAAAAGACTACACTGAGAGAGACATCCCCAGTTGGAAAATGTGCCAAGTCATAGAAAATTGTGGTAGCCCTGAATTTTCAAGAATGGTTTTGGCCAGATGTGGTGGCGTGCGCCTGTAGTCTCAGCTACTCGAGAGGCTGAGGCAGGAGGATCATTTGAACCCAGGAGTTTGAGTTCAGCCTGGGCAACATAGCAAGACCCTGTGTCTTACTTTTTTAAAAAAAGAATGGTTTTATTGGTGTATTTTGATTATTGTAAACTAATTGTAGACTCTAATTTACTCTTGGATATTGAGATCTGTTTTGACTCTTGGCAATGGTGGTGTTTTTTGGTGATTGGTTGATGTTTTATCTGGCCTGATATCCAGATTCTTTTTTGTAATGTACATACTCTTTCCTGATATCGTTTATATGACAATCCTCCCCTCCCCTTATTTAAATAGAGGTTTAAAAGTTTAACAAGCCCAGGTGTGGTGGCTCATGCCTATAATCCCAGCACTTTGGGAGGTCAAGAGAGGAGGATCACTTGAGCCCAGGAATTCAAGACCAGCCTGGGCAACATAGGAAGACTCTATCTCTACAAAAAAATAAAAAATCAACCAGGCATGGTGGTACACACCTGCAGTCCTACCTACTCAGGAGGCTGAGACAGGAGGATTGCTTTCGAGGCTGCATGAGCTATGATCATGCCACTGCACTCCAGCTTGGGCAATAGAGTGAGACCTTGTCTCAAAAAAAAATTAATAACCCTATCTCTCATACTTTTATATTTTCTCTTTGGAAACCTAACCCTCAATATATTTCAAATGCCTTGTAAATGGCTTTTGAAGAATGCTTCACACTGGATACCTGGGTTCTAATCCTAATTCTAATACTTAACTGTGAACACGGATGAAGTATGTCAGTCTCTGTGATCCTTACGCCCTAGACTTCCCTTCCCCAAGTGGTTTGCCACCATTACCAATTAAAATCCTATACCTCTCTGAGATCCAGTTCAAATGCTACTTCTTGAAGCTCTTTTTGATACTGCTTTCTCACTTTCCTCAAGAGGCCATTATGTCCTGTCCTTTTGAAGGGCATGTTTCTCAAAAGCCAAGGTTGTACCTTTAGTTTCTTGAGAGCCAAGGTTGCATCTTTAGTATCTTCAGTCATCTTTGCACCCCAGAATGTTTAGCACAGAGCTTGCCCATGATGGCTACTCAAATGCTGAAAGGATGAATGACTAAATAAATCTTGAGATCAGTTGTATTTTTTTCTTTAAAATAACTGGCTACAGTCACTGGCTCTCAACCCTGGTGTTGGGCTCATGGGGACATTGTAATCAGTTGTAAGCGGGTTGAAGTGATTTGTTATGAATGATTGTTAGGTTTTGGAAGTTTGCAAACTATGTACTGTTTGTATAAATTAGAATGTTTCCCTTCAGTAATATTCTTTAATGATAATATCATCATCCTGCAGTGTTAATACTTCAGTGTGACACTCTCCCTTGCATTGTGATTTGTCTTAAATGGAAGAAAAAAGGATGGACTTAGAGTCAGGACCCAGGAAATTGTATGTTAATCCACAGCCTATCTTTTCTGTGCCAAAGCCCATAATAAGCCAGAAATCACTGCTAATGGTTATGGAACTATGGAAATATGATAGTCCTCTACTACTGTACGAGATGTGGGGGCCTTGTCAAAATGAACATTATCTGTCAATTTAGAGAAAAGAATAACCATTACTCTAAACCAGGGGTCAGCAAACTTTTACAGTAAAGGTCTAGATAGTAAATATTTGAGGGCTTTTGAGGGCCATACAGTCTCTGTAGCAACTACCCAACTTCGCTATTGTAATGCAAAAAAGCTATTGTAATACATAAATGGATGGACATCACTATGTTCCAATAAAACTTTATTTACAAAAATAAGACGGAGGTCACATTGGGCTTAATGAGCTGCTCTAAGCCATAGAGTACATGGGAATGTAAACCATACTGCTTATTTTTTTTAATTGTATTAATGGCATTTATTCTACTTCCTTTGTAATAGCTAAGGAGTTCCTGCAAAGAAAGAAAAATTAGGGGTTAGTAAATTTGTTACTTATTTGCAAGAATATTCAGTATATATTTCAGGGTTAATATTCTCTAGACTTTCTCAGCATAAGAAATGAGATGAAATTCTGTTGATGTTGTAAATACCACTATTGAGGCTAATTCGTGAAAGAAAGGTGACTACGGTATTTGATGAAGTACCTTGTCTTCCAAGAAGTTTGCTTTTGTGGTATTATCTGTGGCACGTTATTTTCTGTCTTGGTACTTTCTCTCAGTGGGATATTTAGGCTCTACTTTCCTGCTTGGCACTTTTGTTAATAATGACTTTAAAAATCCTCACTTCTCTTTTTAAATTGCTGCATGGAGTAATAGCCTCTCTCCTTGACAGTCAAAAGGCCAAGAAGTGCAACTATGTGAAATAAACTTTTAAAACAAGGCCCCAAGTGCACTGCAAGTTGACTTGAAATAATTAGTCCCTGGAGTTTGGACACCCACAAAGTATCTTTCGGAACTCGGATTCAGAAATGTCTCAGTGACAGCCTGTGGCGGGAAGCCATCACAGCAGCAGGGCCCATTGCTCTTGGGACATCCCACACTGTAGAGTTACTTTGGCAGTGCCTGGAAGCAGCGGCCCCTGCCCACATGGCTTTTCCACTGTCTCACAGCCAAGAACCATGACAGGCCCCTCAGAACTTGGGCCCTCTCCAGTCCTTGAGCCAGTGTTCACCCTCACAGGAAGAGTGTTTCCCTGTTTTATCAGCAAGTAACAGAAAACCCAGATGACTGCAGCTTACAAAGTAAAGACATTTCTCTCCCATTACAAGAAGCGTGGAGAAAGCATGTTGTAGAGGCTCAGTGTTGTCACAGAGGACCTAGGACCCTTCCACCTTCCTATGCTGCCATCTCAGTGTTGGGGGATGACTTCCCTCATGGATGCAAGAAGGTTACTGAAACGCCAAGTATAATGTCACTACCTCATGTGGCACCGTGCTTTACGGTAAGGGGGTGAGCATAAACAGAGGGGATTCCAAGTGCTGTTCTGTTTGAGCAGGGGACATTTTTCCCAGAAGCCCCTGGTGGTTTTCTTCTTGGGACCTGCTTGCTTGAACAGCATCACCTGCCTCTGGCATAGGGGAAAGAGATTGCCGTTATTGGCTTAGACCAATCACTACCTTCCCTGGCACTGGACACATGCCACATCAGGGTTCTACTGGAAGACAAGAGAAAGGGATGGCTACTGGGGGAGCAGCCAACCCAGGTCTGCCACACCCAGCTGAACCCCCTAGACAGTGGTCAGAGCACCTTTTGCTTTGACCGAGGAATCCCAAGCCTTGCCAAGAATCTATGGCCAGTCCTCTGGGATTATTGCCAGCAGTTTTTTCTGTTTGTTGATCATCTGCAGACACCTGATTCCCTGTCAGTGCTTTTTCTGTTTGACAGGACTTCTTGATGCCCACCAGGATCGAGCTTGCCGAGTCTTTTGGATGTTGTGTGTTATCCACCCAGCCAAGTCTTTTTGGGGAATATTTATGGAAATATTTATATATAAATAAATAATATTTATATTTCCAGAGGTGCTCTGTACCTCTGTCTATCCCTTTTGGGGGATAGGTAAGCCACTTTGGGGCCCTCAATCCCTTAACAAAAATAATTTCATTTTTCTTAGTAAAATCATATAATGTCTGCATTTTTCCTTTGCAGTACAGAAATACATGATTGGTATTTTTTAATAGATTACTTTTCTGGAACAGATATTATTTTGAAAATTTAAAATAAATTTGAAGAGTTCTCTTCTACCAGTCTTAATTTCATGGAATAGTTTAAATATTATTTAATTCCATGGTCTAAACTATTGGCTCTTATTGTCTTTTTTTTTAATATTATGTATATAAAATTAGGAACTCATTTAAGAACAGCAAGAATTGATTTAATCTGTGAGATGCCAAATGGAGCTAATCCTGAAATACTTTCTATCTGTAGAGATTGATAGTTTACAAAGCACTTTCATACATATTATTTCAGTACTTTCCATAACTATTATCTGCATTTGACGGATGAAGAAATAAGGGTATAAGAGCTGAGGTGACTTGGCCAGGATCCTACCAGCCTTCACAGAGTTGGCACTGGAGCCTGGGCCTTCACAGCCTGCCTCTGAGACACTGTCCTGTTTCTAGCACTTAAGTTCCAGTGTCTATGGCAGCATGCAATAGGATTACAGGAGGACATCGTAGCCACAGATAACCCGGCCATGTTACCTGTTCATTTCAACCTCTGCGACTAGGCCCAGATTTCTCAGGACATTTCCTTCCCCATGAGCTGAATTTTAACATGCAAATGTCACTCACATCCTACAAGCTAAGGTGTATGGGTTTATGCTGGGACTAGGTCATATCTGTATTTTAAAAATCCCAGAACAACCCCAGCAGTGGTTTTAGAGATGAGGAAGAGAGGAGACAGAACAAGTTCTGCTGGTTACCCTGCTCTTGGACTTCTCAGGTGCTTCATTAATATCATCTCTGATGGCATTTTGATGCCATTTTTCTGATGGCATTTTGCAGCTTGCCTCAAGTGTCCCTTCTGGTTTTCTAATGTAGGACAAAGCCCAAGGATGAGTGGCTGCGGTTGCCAGTCAGCATTCTCTGCAGATGTCTTTGGTGTGTGTAGCTGGGGTTAACCCGCCGTCTTAATGTCTGCCTACTCGGTTTTGCATGCAAGGATACATTATACAAGAAAATTCCATCGAGATCATGTACAAGTAAAATCAGCTTATTTTTTCCGAAGAGGCAGGGGAGCTACTTCTTAGCAGAGTGAGCTGTAGAGTCTCTCTGGAATGCAAAACACAGACCTTTGTATTAGAAGTGAAATATTTAGATAGGGATCATTATGGAGCTCTTTTTATAGCAAGGCAGGCCTGAAAAACAGAGAGAGAGCTGGGAAAGGAAGCACAAAGGAGGTAATAATATCTGATTAGCTAAGCAGCTGGATAACTGAAGGAGAATTTGTTAAAAACCTATCAAGACATCAAAGCTAGATGTGAGTTGCTCTGTTAGCCCAGGCCACTTGTGGAGCCATCTCTGGAATATTACTGAGCATCTAATTTGCTGCTATTTTTTCCCCTAGCGTCACTCCTTCACTAAGGGATCTGAGCTGTAACCTGACCTGTAGCTGTCATCAGGGCTTTTTTTCCATCCCTGTCATGGCATGGGATCCCAGTATGGAGAAGCTTAGTTGGTATTCAAGTCATCCGCATCGTACTTGACCACGTGTGAACAAGTAACCTCATGTTTCTGGGGACAGGCAGGGAGAAACTTGAGAACTTGATCCCCTTGGGGGCCCTTGGAGGATTGCTTCCACCAAGCCCTGGGTTTTGCAAGTGACTCGTTTCCCAATCTATGGCACATCCAAGCCTCTTTGGTTTTCTTTTTCCCTGTTCACACGGATATATTTGAGGCACCATACTCTATCTGCCCAAGAAAGGAAGAGGGGCAAGGAAAACCGTGTAAGTCATGCTTGTTTAAATATTTTGGCTTCTGCCAAAGCAGATATGAGAACAATTGGACTATAATGAGAGTTTTCCATTGGCCTCAACTATCCTGGACAGTTGAACGCCAAGCCTAGTTTGATAGGTACCTACTATGGACCTGGTGGAGCTCCTTCTTAAAATTAGACAGTGTGTACTGGCCAGAATGTCTCAGCTTGCAGCCTGAGGATGATTATGCTGATCCTGGAGGCCCTGGGGAACTGTCTAGGGCACTAGGGGTGCCTGTGCTAACAGCAAAAGACCACTCCCCCCCAACACCACACTTGCACATGCCTCATGCACAGAGGAAGTAGGTGCCAGGTCTTTTCAGAGAAGAGCTTCAAAGCCCTGCTGCCACCTACGAGAGCCTTTGATCCATCTCTCGGCTGAATCCAGCCCCTCACGGGGCTGATCCGCTTTGAAACCAGAGCCAGCAGCCCCTCTACAACTCCCTCTGAGTTACCTCACACAGACAAGAGCACAGGCTTCTGGGGGGCTTCTTTTTATCTTCCCTAAATTGCGAGAGGTACTTCTTTCAGCGTTGTCCTATAGGATTCTTAAGAACTGCCGGGGAGATGTCTTAGGGCCAACACAAAGAATTGCAAACAACAGCCCAGTGTCTTGGAAACTTTCTCTACAGTTTAGTACGGATAAACCACATGCAGATAGAAAATAGGAAGAAAAGGAAATTCATGGTAAGCCTGCGTATTTTCTTATTTCGGGTGCGAGGGGAGTGGAGAAATCCGTCATGGATAAAATCCAACTTTAATGACAGTCTGAAGCCCTGAAGCACAGACATATTGCAGAGCTAATGTATTATTTTGTTTTTGTTTATTCTGCAGAAATGGGGAAATTTCATTTTTTAGTAGAATTACAAGCTCCCCTTTTACTATTCACAAGCCCTAACATGCATGGCATCCTGAGCCAGAGAGCCTTCCGTGATTTTAATACCAGCTTCTTTGTGAATCTAAACTGGTTTTCCAGTCCACTCCCTGGCGGGCCACGGGGGTTGTTGGAGTGGTGTTACACATACTTAGCTTTCTTTGGGTGCTTGACCACCGCCTGTTCTCAGGGGGGACAAGGAGCCTTGCTGTGGGCATTACCAGTGGGAGGTAGGCATGGACAGTGAGGTTCGGCACCTGACCTCTGAATTCCCGCGGCCCTTGCAGGATATCACGCCCACGACTGGCGGTCCTCAGCCTGAACTGCGCGTTGGAATCACCTGGGAAGCTTTAAACATACTAAACCTGGGCCCTGCTAAATGACACCCGTATTCTGATATAATGGGTCTGGGTGTGGCCTGGATATTAAGATTTCTGACTTTCCCCTCCCACCTAGGTGATTCCATGTGCGGTCCGGGCTGAGAGCCACTGTCCCGCAGCCTCATCATACAGCTTGCCTAGGTTCCACGGCTGTGTCACTTCCTGGCCATGTGACCCCGGGCATGTTAACTGAGCTCAGCTTCCTTGTTTGTAACATAGGGGAATCACTGCAAGATTCATTACACCTATCTCCTAGAGATTATTGCAGGGGTTCAAGTTATGGACATTACTGGGAGGATACCATGGACCAGACACTGTTGTGGGACCTGGAACTGTTATGGCTGGGAAAAAAAGAGATCAGAGTCCCTGCCTTTGTGGCGCTTCTTTATTTTCTAGTCATGGATATGGTGGATAAACAAACAAACTTGCATATACATAGTGTAATGTCAAATCGTGGGCAGTACTGTGAAGGGAAAATATGGCCAAGGGGAAGGGTGGCAAGTGGCAGGAGAGAGTGCATGCACATAAAGGGCACATGCAGTCCCGGGCTGTCAGAAATGCAGGCAACTGGCTGGGCATGGTGGCTCATGCCTGTAATCTCAGCACTTTTGGGAGGCCAAGGCAGGTGGATCATTTGAGGTCTGGAGTTCAAGACCAGCCTGGCCAACATGGTGAAACCCCATCTCTACTAAAAATACAAAAATTAGCCAGGCATGGTGATGCATGCCTGTAGTCCCAGCTACTCTGGAGGCTGAGGCAGGAGAATCACTTGAAACCAGGAGGCAGAGGTTGCAGTGAGCCAAGACTGCACCACTGTACTCCAGCCTGAGCAAGAGAGTGAGACTCTGTCTCAAAAAAAAAAAGAAAAGAAAAAAAGGAAAGAAAGAAAGAAATGCAGGCAACTGTGCATGGCATCCTTGGCAGGGTCTACAGTGTTGCAGTTCCTACCACTTCACCCTGGGTCAATGAGATCTCAGTGTGATGTCTTTCTCTAAACAGATTATAGACACTCCCTCAAGACAGACCTCAGACTCTGTGCAAGCCCAGGGCCCGGTCGCCATCTGTGTGATGAATCCAGGCACCTAGCTCCGTGCACAGCTTCTCAAAGTGAGCGTAGATTTGGAGAGAAGAAGGGATAATCAGATGTTTCATTTACCCAGGTACAACAGATACGTATTGAAGGCCTGCAGATGGCAAGACCTGGTTCAAGCACAATGGGGCAGAATATGAGGAAGGCCCACCCCTTCCTTTGTCTCTTCCCCCACAGCCACTACAGTTCCTTCCACCAGTGTCAACCACCACCGTGGCAGAGCATTTCCCGTGAGACAGGCCGCAGGCTACATACATTATGTGCATCCTGTCGTCATGTCCTCACCAGGGGAAGTAGCTGTTGGTTTATTCAACCCCATTTTACATGGGAAGGCTCTGGGGCTTTGTCATGCTATCGTTTGTTCATGTCACCCCAGGCCACACAGCAGCTAAGTTGGAAAGTGTTTGCTGTTAGCCTGCATTGTTGTCCTTCCATGAGGGACCTAACGTGCATACTAAAGGCCTACTATGTGCCAGAGCCTGGCATTTCACCATTAAGTCACTGAATCCCCATAACACTGTGCAGATGGAACCTTCTCAGCTTTCCTGACCATCCCTTATCTTGGGCTAGCCCTCATGACACATGTCACACCCTGCAATTACCTTCTTTATTCATTTGTTGACTTTTATTTGTCTTTCTCCCCTACTAGAACATCAGCACAGACAGTGGACTGTTATCATTCACTCCAGAGCCGGCATTTGAATGGAGATTAGCTGGCATTCTAGATGCCGCCTAATTACCTGACAGGAGAAAGAAGACCAGGACAGAAGCAGCTGAAATTCCAGGCAGAACATAGGTTGTTTCAGAAGAAACACAAACTCTCCCTGGCGGCGTCTGAGGCCATCTTCTTCAGGAAGGTGTTTCTTGGATGCACTTCAAAGCGTAGGGGGCTTCACAGGTAGAATTAGGTTGCAGGAATGAGGGGAAGGTAGTCCCCTGGAAAATGTGAAAATGAGGGTTGAGATGCAGGCAGGAAAATTCAGGAGGACTGTTGAGTGAATAGTCGCTCCCTGTGGCAGGTGACCAGGGTGGGAGGAGGGTGGCAGTGTGAGGACATCCTGAAACACACACGCTTTGGACTCAGATCTTGCTGTTGTAGCTCCGCTACCTGATCAGTCTGTGACCTTGGGCAACTTCCTTAGCTTTATCTGTGAAATGGGAATAATAGTGTCTTCCCTTCAGTGAGAACCAAATGAGACAGTACTTTCTGTACATCGAATGCTGGTGTAGAGCAGTTAGAACAAATCTGTAGATCTGTAGATCGATGCTGGTGTAGAGCAGTTAGAACAAATCTGTAGATCTGTAGATCGATGCTGGTGTAGAGCAGTTAGAACAAATGAGTCTGGGGAGGTGGACCCAGGCTGTGTTGCACGAGCAGGGCCTCTGCACAGGCCCAGCACTGACCTCAGGTTTAACCTTTTACTTGAGGTACGGGAATGGCTTTTTGGATACTGTTGTTTGAAGAAAAAAAAAAGGTCATGAATAAAACTTAGAATACTAACAACCACCCAGAAAGCCAGTCCCATCTCTGCCCAGTAACGCCTTCCTTTCCTGCAGGAAGGTTGGAACCTTCCACAGTTCCACCAGGTATTGGCCTGGTGGACCAGATTGAAAGGGTGAGCAGACAATGGGGGGGCAGACACCTGAAGCCAGAGATGTGGGCCAGGTGGGGGCTGTCGGCCCTTCCCACAGGCCCAGGCAGCTGCGCTGACACAGCTGTCCCTTTGAAAGTTGGCCCCGAGTGGGAAGCTCTGCATTATTCTCCCAGCCCACTGCAGAATGCCTTCTGCCCATTGCACAGTGGCAGCGTGCTTTGGGCAGCTTGATGCTGGGGCTGCATGGAGGGCCTCAGAAAAGTAGGTAGACTCGTAAGACGGGCTTTATCCTGGAACAGGCACCACCACCCTGCCCTTTCCAGAGCCAAGCTATGGACATGGGTCCTGGAGAGGCAGAAATGTCTTAAGGGAAGGAAAGGGAAATCCTAATTACTACCTGGGAAACAGTCCTCATTTCCAAACCCAGCAGGTGACCTGCAGGATAATGTGTGGGCAGTGATTCATTAGAAGCTGTAATCCCCAGTGTTCAAGCGAGAGTTGTAACTGTATCTAGGGCCTGAGAGAGAGAAACGGGCTTCATGAATTACTCCTCTGGCACCGTTGCCTACATACCTAGGCCTGTAGCAATTTATCCCAAATGAGGAAATAATAATGTCATTTTCCTCCAGCCTTTCCCTGGGAGGAAGTTCTCTAATAGAGGGTAGGCAGGTGTTAAGAAGAAATCTTTCTGGGCCACACCTCATTACAAGATTGGGATAAGTGAGCTCTTTTTCAGCTTCTGCCTCTCCTGTCCTTGCCTTGTCAGCAGCAGGGTTGGGAGTTAGGCACAGGGCATGGTGGGAAAGAAGTCTTGCTGGGTTCTCAGTCATTGCAGTTGGTTGTTTTAGGTAAAGTAAATTGATGTTGTGTTTCTTTTCCCTAAATATTGACTGTTGAACCTAGTTGTGGAAGAAAAGATACCTGTATTTTGCTCTTATTACTTGCTATTCACTGCTACTCTTCATCTGGAGGTCACTAGCAATTTTTAAACACTTATCCCCATTTTACAGATAGAAGATAGTAAGTTCTATGGAGGAATGAAAGGCCTTTTTACAGAGTAACTGAGGTTCCATATGTTGAACTAGAATAAAGTTTAAGCTCCTGACCAGGTGCGATGGCTCACGCCTGTAATCCCAGCACTTTGGGAGGCCGAGGCAGGCGGATCACTTGAGGCCAGGAGTTTGAGACCAGCCTGGCCAACATGATGAAACCCCGTCTCTACTAAAAATACAAAAATTAGCCAGGCATGGTGGTACACACCTGTAATCCCAGCTACTTGGAAGGCTGAGGCAGGAGAATTGCTTGAATTCTGCCAGGAGGCAGAGATTGCAGCAAGCTGAGATCATGCAACTACACTCCAGCCTGGGCAACAGCGGGACTCTGTCTTTTAAAAAAGAAAAGAAAAGAATAAAGTGAGCTCCTATAGCAAGTGGAGCCCCACAGGAAGAAAGGCTTCAATGGAACGGACGTTGACTTCTCGTCCATCCGACAGTCTTATGGATCTTGCTGGTTGGCCCTGACTCCCCTTACAGTGTCTTAGGGACCCCGTTCTTTTCATCTCGTGGCTTTGCCATCTCGTAAGCCTCTTACTTTCTATATCCACCCAATCATGGGGAGGAAGACTCAGAATTGACACTTAGCACCTCTGCCATTGCCAAGAACTAGTCATGTGACCTTAACTACTAGTGAAAGGCAGGGGTGGCCCGGAAATGGAGTCCTTCACCAGACAGTTGCTTACCTGAGACAACATGCATGTACCTGTGAAATGCGTATACTGTAGAAGGATCATGAGTTTGGCACATAATTAGTGGATAATAATCACTACCACGTCTCAGAATGAGTGTCAGATAATTAGTGGACCATAATCACTACCACATCTCAGAATGAGTGTATTTGCTAATAGAAATGTGGTTTTGGCTTAAGTCACATTGTCAGTGGTGAATGCAGCCTAAAATTGAACTCAAATACCCAGGCCATAGTTGTTTTCTGACTCCACCAAGGCAGAAATGAAATTGTTGAGTTTGAGAGTAAGTAGATGGGGCCAGCCAAAGCAAGATGGACAGAATGACATTCCTTTACTGTCCTTATTGACAATTTATGGTTCATGCAATAGAAAAGAATCTTAAAAGTCTCTCTTTAATATACAAGAAGAGAAAGACCCCTGGAAACTTGTCTTTTCATCATTCGAAACCTACCTTATCCCTTCAGTCAAATGCAGTGGTACCTGTAAAGCTCACACACAGTTTTGCATCAAATGATTATGTGGTCAGCCATGTAATAAGTGGATTCAAAGAAACGTATATTTAAGGTGGCCACTTGCCCCTGGGGTAAATGGCAGCTGTTGGACTCTGTGGGATTTTGTGTTGTTGTTGAACTTGTAAAGTGATGAAACCTCATAATTTCTCTCCTCTTTTAGTTCCCTCTCTGTCTGAGCAGCTGTACTGAAGTTTGTCAAACATGCCCATTAGCTTTCACATGTAAAGATGGCCTTTTTATATTCAAATTTTAGTAATATATTATTTAATCATTAGGCAGTTTACTAAGGGTATATTTGTGGCCATTGTTCTTTCTGAATGCCTAATCACTAAAGGAAAACATTTTGGAAACAAGCACTTTCTTCCAGAAACTGTGGTTTCCAGGAGAGAGAGTCACTGGGAAGATTGGGAAGCCATCAGTGGCATGGCACAGAGACACCATGGATGCTGCTGCTAGACCAGCCCTGACCCAGTAGTAAGGCCTAGCCAAGGACACATTGAACTCCTTGAAATTGCTGATATTTGGTCAGGCACGGTGCCCCGCGCCTGTAATCCCAACACCTTGGGAGGCCGAGCTGGGAGGTTTGCTTGAGGACAGGAGGTCAAGGCCAGCCTGGGCAACATAGCAAGATCCCCGTCTCTACCAAAAATATAAAAAATTAGCCAGGCGTAGTGATGCACACCTGTAGTCCTAGCTACTCAGGAGGCTGAGGCAGAAGGATCGCTTGAGCCCAAGAATTGAAGGTTGTGTTGAGCTCTGATTGCACCACTGCACTCCAGCCTGAGCGACAGAGAGAGACCCTGTCTCAAAAGAAAGAGAAAAAAAAATGCTTATATTCAACAATTTTTGTCCTTCCAAACAACAATTTCATCATATTCAAACTAATACAAAACTGGCTTCCCAAGGAGGTGTTTGTTTATAAGGCTACAGGGCACCATTTTCCTACCACTTCTAACATTGTCTTATAGGAGGTTCTCTGAAATGAGAAATGCAGATCTTTTTTTTCTTCTTCTCCTAAGACAGGGTCTCGTTCTGTTGCCCAGGTTGGAGTGCAGTGGTGTGATCATGGCTCACTATAGCCTCAACCTCCTGGGCGTAAGTGATCCTCCCGCCTCAGTCTCCTGAGTAGCCGAGACTACAGGCACACATCACCATGACCAGCTGTTTATTTATTTATCTATTTATCTATTTATTTATTTATTTATTTATTTATTTTTGTAGAGGTAGAATCTCACTGTGTTGATCAGCCTTGTCTGAAGTCCTGGGCTCAAGTGATCTTCCCGCCTCGGCCTCCCAAAGTATTGGGATTACAGGCATGAGCCACCACACCCAGGCAGAAACACAAATCTTTAGTGAGGTAGCATTCCATTTAGCTACAGAAGCACTCAGCATGCAGTTGACCTTTAAACAACTCGGGTTTGAAATGCATGGATTTTAGATGTGGGGCTTTTTAAACCAAACTTGGATCAAAAATATGGTATTCACAGGATACAAAAACCACATATACAGAGGGCTGAATTTTTGTATGCATGTATTCTGCCGGGCCAACTGTGGGACTTGAGTATGCACAGATTTTACTATACTCAAGTGTCCTGGAACCAATTCTTCACATATACCAAGGGACAACTGTAATGTGAACACAAACCCATAAACAGTGCAACATTACCAGCTTTCCCAGGATGCATGTGGCTGACAGAGGAGTCAGCATCAAGAAGGGCTCCACTGGCGGCTGGGGGCCTCTGAGCTGGAGCTTACTGACAAGTGGAAGATGCCCAGATGATAAGGTGCCGTGACAGATTGTGGTGGTAGCATTGTGAGCTGGTTGACAACACAGAACTCTGGAATCAGATGGCCTGGATTCAAATCCTGGACTCACCCCTTATTGGCTGTGTGAGCTAAGGCAAGTTACTTGCCCTCTCTGTGCCCCAATTTCTTCATCTGCAAAATGGGAATAATGATAATGGCATTATGGTTTACTGAAAGGATTAAAAGAGTTAATATGTTTAAGTACTTGGAACAGCATCCAGCACGACACTAAGTGATATGGAGGTATTTGCTATTTTTATACAGAGCTTAGTGGCATGAAGAAGTTAGACAAGCAATGAGGAATTCAAGGTGGTGTCCTGGAGTAGAAGAGAAATCGGTTCTGGAAGGGAGACTTAGATTACAGGACAGACAGAGATTTGGGTGTTGTTTCCACGACTGGAAGAAGGCGACAGTTGGCAAATACCCACCTATGTAGTGATGTCCAGCAGAAACTGTCCTGAGACCCATCTAACTTTGTCATTCCACTATCTCTCTGTCTCTGTGCTTTCTCCTGCCCTTCTTCCTGTCTCAAAACCTCTAGTCCTTTTAATTATAGGAAATGTTCACGTTTTCCCACCACATTTTTTTTTATATATGTCTGGGTGTAGGAAATTTCTGTGCACCCCCAAGGACACCTGCAGCTCCTCTCTCTTTGAGTTTGGTGTATGCCGGGAGGGTAGTCAGAAAACAGCCATAGCCCCCTCCTTTGCAACTGTTTCTGCTATAGTCTTTTTGATGGTGCAAGGTGTACCCTAGGGCTGATTGTGTTCCTGGGAGCTGGAAGCTGTTACTGCAGGGTTAAATCAGCAACAGGAGAGCATCACTCCCAGCAACCTCAGAAAGAATAGAGAATGATGTTGTTGAAGGGAGCAGGGAGCTGTGTTCCTAGTGCCGTCTTCTTAAAAAAAAAAAAAAAAAAAGTTTCCTTCCCCCCTCTTCTCTCTGCCTTTCCACAACACACCTTGTACTAAATACATTTTTCAGACCTGACTTTGTGCAAACACAGTGTTGTTCGGCAAGCATTAAAAGGCAATTTAGTACTCAAAGGATTAAAAGCTCATGTTAAATTGAAGACTACACTTGGCATAAACATTAAAAATTGACAGAACACCCCGCACATTAACTGCACCAGGGCTTCGTAATTAGCATTTAAAAGTAAAACATCATTTCCTTACTGTTTCCTACTTACTCATTTATAATGCATTTATTATAATACAGATGTGAGCAAGAGGCTTTCTCCCATCATCAGCAGATGAAAAATATACCTGTGCTGAGAAAGAAACTGGGATTTATTAATCCAGCCCAAAAAGCAAAACCAATAAAGAAATCTCTCACTGGGCTGATTTGAGAGATTCAAACTACCCCTTGGAAGATTGACACAAGGCCCCCAAAGAAATCGCCTTCACACTTCTTTTCCTTTTCTTAGCCTTTCACTAACAAATACTGGGAAGAAAATCCAAGTAAGCTTCAGCCAGGCACACACTTGCGTTTAAAACTGATCAACTGGCAGGTTACCAAAGGAATGTGGAAAAGAGCTTGTTGGCCCATTGCTGATGCTTCTTCAAAACTTTGGTAAGACTGGGATCCAATTTTCTAACTCAGGGAAATTCTGCTGACTTAACACAGATGGCTGAATTTGTAAATGAGGACACCTGTTCATGACACCTTTGGGCTCCTGCTTAAAATCAGGGTTTAGTTTTTAGCATTACCAAATTTGTAAAATCTGAATGCAGTCCAAATCTGATTTTATGTTCTTCCTCCAGAGTTAATCCTAAATGTGCCACCATTGCGGTCTTTGGACCTAATTCTCGGCCCCTTCTTAGTATGGTAGGTAGTAATTCCCAAACTCTAGCATGCATCACGATCACTGGGGGTCTCCCTAAAATGCACATTCTGCCTGAGCAGGTCCAGGGTGGAGCATGAGATTCTGCATTTCTTTTTTCACCTAGGCTGGATGGAGTGCAGTGGCACAATCTCAGCTCACTGCAGCCTCCACCTCCTGCGTCCAAGTGGTTGTCCTGCCTCAGCCTCCCACGTAGGTGGGACTTTAGGTGTGTGCCACCACGCCCAACTAATTTTTGTACTTTTAGTAGAGATGGGTTTCACCATGTTGGCTAGGCTGGTCTTGAACTCCGGACCTCAGATGATCTGCCTGCGTCAGCCTCCCAAAGTGCTGGGATTACAGGCATGAGCCACCGCGCCCAGCCAGATTCTGCATTTCTAAAAAGCTCCCAGGCAGTGCCAGTGCTGCTGGCCCCAGGACCACATCTTTGAGTGGCAACGTTGCACAGAAGACTCTCATCAGTTATCAGTCAGTGGATTCAGCTCATCAAATGTGAAAGACCCCCAAATTGCCAGCTCCCTGTGGTAAACCCATGGCAATGACTAAGACAACCAAACACAGTGCTTGCCCTGAATGAACTTATTCTAGAAATATCTGAGACCTTGTTATCTTTCTCAGGCCTCTCCTACTGGACCTCGTTTGTCATGTGTGATTGCGAACACCTTTCCCTGATGTTATCTAGAGATCCTGACAGGCATGTTCTGCTAAAACAGACCTCCCAGGCTGTCCCCAAGTGGCCTCAAATTCCCCAGCTGGGGCACCTTAAGTTTATCACGTTAGGCAGTTAACAGGACAAATATAATTTCTGGGCCACAAGGCCAGTCTGGGTGAACGCATGACATAAGGGTGTTAAAAGTGGAGGGGAATTCCGAAAATAGACTTTACTCTTGTCAGAATGGTGCCAGGGGCTGGCCCAGCCTGTGGAATGCCTCAGCGCTAGAGGGCTTGGGCAGTAAGGCACGCTTCCCTGGGGAGGGTGGTGGTGGCTGGGGAGAGGAGAGCCAGGTTCCCAAGAAAGTAATTTGGCACCTGCTCTATGGCAATCCCTTACAGGCGAAGAGAGAAAAAGGAGGCTTTGGGACAGATAGGGGAATTTTCTGATACAAGCAGTCCCCTTGTATTTTCTTTTCATTGTCGTAATGATTTGTAAAATTCCAGAAATGTATTCGTGCCCCTACATGACTTGAAAATGCCGCTGTCTCACTAAGAGCCATGGGCTAAAACACACCCGAACAGCGGTCAGAAGTGAGGCTCGCTGTCTCTGAGGTGAGGACAACAGCCTGGATTCCCGAGTCAGGCTCACATCTAAGCCTGGCAGGGCCTGGAGGGCGGCAACGTGTGGTTTGCAGGTTCGTTCATTACCCCAGTGTTTTTTATGGGAAGATGCTTGGGTGTGTTTGTGGGAACAGAACCCTGATTTTAATTACATCCCTTCTGGTTATTCAGATTATAGACTTCTAAGGATCTTGTTTCTCTGGCTTTCTTCTGCCCTACAGAGGGACACAAGGGTTCAGCAGAGAAAGTGCCTGTGCTCTGTGTTGACACATAGAAGCAGAGAATTTTAGAGCAGAAAGGGACTTCAGTGCATTTAGTCCAGCACCCTCGAATTATAGGTGAGGGAACTGAGGCTCAGAGAGATTGAAATGACCTGCCTAAGGTCACACAAGTAGGATTAAAACCCAGGTCTCGTAAACCTCTCTATTTTGTACATCATGCTGTCTGCACATAATTATTTCTTTTCAGATATTTAATAAAAGTCACAATCAGAGTTAGTCCATTTCTTGTCTCTCCTTTGAGAGTTGAAGTCATCGTGTGAATAGCCATAATTACTGCATTTTCTGTGCGTTTCTTATTTGATTCTTCTTTGGCACAAGGGCTCTGAGGATGCTTCAGCATTGTACCAGGCAGAAAAACGAACACAATTAGCAGATTCAAACAGATGCACATCGCATCTCACACAGGTTAATAGGGAATGTGCCTTTCTAAAGCGAAGGAGCCAGGGTTAAACAGGGCATGGAAGAATTCAAAGGGTAAAATGAATATGATTCACATACTTGTAGAGTGGCCAAGGAGGGCCTTATTTTTTACTCTTCAACAAAACAGAGGTTTGGCGCTAAAACCACAAAGTAACGTTCACTGTAGGCGCACCTCAGGCACACCCCGTCCCTGCTACGCTACACGCTGCCTGGTCTCTGTAGACTGTTACTGTCTGAGGACCTCCTCTCACAAACACTTATTTAACAATGGCACTTTGGCTTTTTAATATTTTATTTGATTTCTGTTTTATGGTATTTTTAATTGAACCCTGTTTTAATTGCCTTTTCTGCACACCAAGAGCCTAGGTGGGGAAGGAAGGCTTACAAATGAAATGATTATTGTTATTACTTCCTTTCTTTCTGCAGCGTCTTAGTCAAATTATAAATTGATTCCATCCACATATTAGCCCCGATCCTCATATGCATGTGTCAGAAAACAGAAAGTGTTGAATAAGGAGGCTGAAAATTTTCATCTAGCTGAGAATAAGATTTGTCAGCATTATTACAGAGTGAGGAAAGGAAATTGGGGCTAAGTTCTTGCCGTCGAGTTGAGCAGAGTACTTGGTTCCGGGTGACACAGCCCACAGGTGGGCAAGGTTTCATAAACTGAGAGCTAGAAGTGGCCTAGAAAAGACATTTAGTCGCTCCCTCGTGTCCAGTCATAGCCCAGGGCAGACATAGTTTATCCTGCACAGCCTTGGCTGACACCTCCATAAATAAGGGGACCTTCCTTTACAGCTTTTCAGAGTCTCAAGGGCAGCTACACAGTTGCCCTTAGGATAAAAGAATAAACAACCCTCATCCCCTTAAACTTCTGCCCCTCTTTACCCAGTGCCCCCGCATCCTGTTTTTTGGAATTTGACCTATTTATGCCCAGGCACTGACTGCAGGGTTGACAGTAGCCACCCTGAAGGGGCCTTGGTAGGGAGTAACAAAACAGGCGGGGTGCGGTGGCTCACGCATGTAGTCCCAGCATTTTGGGAGGCCGAGGCGGGCGGATCACTTGAGGTCAGGAGTTCAAGACCAGCCTGGCCAACATGGTGAAATCCCATCTCTAATAAAAATACAAAAATTAGCTAGGTGTGGTGGCGCACGCCTGTGATCCCAGCTACTCGGGAGGCTGAGGCAGGATAATTGCTTGAACCTGGTGGGGGGATGGGGACACGGAGGTAGCAGTGAGCCAGGATTGCACCACTGCACTCCAGCCTGGGTGACAGAGCGAGACTCCGTCTCAAAAAACAAACAAACAAAAACAAACAACAAAAACCCAGATCTGGCACACACAGAAATGGCTTCTGGCCTTATTACACCCGCTGCCTCCCCAGCTGGGTATTCAGTGGGCAGCCACTCATAGCCTTCATAAAATGACTTAGATTTGATGCTTGAAATGAAAGCTTGTCAATCCTGGGTAACCGCTTGAAGAAAGGAACATTATCCCTTAAAAGGATAGCCCTAGCCCCTAGAATATCTTTCTCACCTTGGGACTTGCTAAAATAGAATTCCTTATTTCAAAGGCAGTAAAATGTTTTGAGTTCCTACTATGTGTAGTATGCTAGGCTAGGCACTACAGGCCAAGCAAGGCAAATAAAACTAGCCTCTTTCCCTATTCCCCTGCATTTCAGAAAAGACAACACATTTCAAGGCTCTGCTTTGCAAGAGACCAGGCACCACAGTTTCCTCCTATCAGCCTGGGCATGGCAAGTAATAACCCCCCCTATGAATGAAGAGGTTGCTGTGTTCAAAGAGGTTAATAAAGTGTCCAAGACCGTACAGTGTCAGTGAGGCAGGGAAGAAATCTGAAAGCTGGTCCCTGGCTAACCTGTCTCTTTGCGTTGTCAACCTGGAAGGAAGTGTCAGATGGTTTGGCGCAGAGCTCTGTCCTTGGGCCTGGCCTGTTTGCAACCTTTGCTTAGGTGAAAAGTGAGAGTGGAAGACACTAGATTGGAAGAAGACAATCAGGATACCAAAAAATATCCCAGCAGACTGAGGACCAGAACGAAAGCCGTGGCAGTGAGAGTGGAAGGGAGGAAATGAGCAAGAGGCACAGGGAAGACAGAGCAGCCTGAGGATTCGGTGAACTGGGTTTGGAGTTAGGGAGGGTGATGGCCTAGGTAAGACCACTGACAATCAGGAGGAAATCCCAATGAGGTCATCTGTAGATTGTTGATTTTTAAAGTGCCAATGGACAATCAGTGCCACACTCCACCAAATGAGTTGGAGATACAGAAGTGTAAGGCAGGAGGAGCTGGAGTCTTGGGAGCCCCCTACTTGGAAATTACAGCGGAAGCTGGGGAACTGGTGAGAGAGAGTCCCCCACTTCCTCCTTTCTAGACATTGAAGGGATACCTGAAGAATCTCAATATTAAAGGATAAGAGAATCCAAAGAAGGCAATATTACTTGAGAAACAAGAGAATAATAATAGTATTTTGTCACGGAAGCCCAGTAACAAAGGGAGAGACAGTCTGCCACTTCTGCAGAAAGAGACAGAAAGGGCCACTGTGTTTGTTAATTAGGAGGTCCTCGGCCAGAGACCTGCTAAGCTCATAAACGTTAAAGGCCAGAGTTACTCTCTTTGGGTGGAACAGCTCCAGGGCAGCTGAATAGATAATAGTCACTGCTTCCTCGAAAGGGTAGGACACATGATTTCTTTTTCTTTTTTTTTCTTTTTTTGAGACGGAATCTCACTCTGTCACCAGGCTGGAGTGTAATGGCGCAATCTCAGCTCGCTGCAACCTCCACCTCCCAGGTTCAAGCAGTTCTCCTGCCTCAGCCTCCCAAGTAGCTGGAACTACAGGTGCCCGCCACCACACCCAGCTCAATTTTGTATTTTTAGTAGAGACGGGGTTTCACCATGTTGGCCAGGATGGTCTCAATCTCCTGACCTCGTGATCTGCCTGCCTCGGCCTCCCAAAGTGCTGGGATTAGAGGTGTGAGCCACCATGTCCGGCCAGGACACGTGATTTTAAAAGCAGGGGAAGCTCCCATGCTAGTCAAAACAACCCTACTACAGCATTCATAGAAGAATAAGATAGAAAATGAGATGGGAGCTTAGCTGGTGACACAGCAGGGCACTTGCTTGCTTGGGTCAGCCCAGCCTAGAAAGTCAGAGGTGACGGCACTAATCAGACTTCAGGGAAACTGGCTGGCTGGTAACACAAATCTTCTGTTTACAGTGAGGAGTATAACCAGCAACCCAACGCGAGTGACCTACATGCAGTAGTTGGCCCATATGCCCCCCAGGGACAATCCCTAAGGAATCCAAATTATAATCAGAAAGTCACTTGCTGACCAGGGATTATAGGAATAAGGGACCTGGGCAGAACTGCCCACTCTCTCCTGTTTTAGTATTGGTGAAACTCTAGTACTGTGCAGGGACTTTTGGTACTCACTTGTAACACTTGATTGTCTTTTTTTTTCTTTTCTTTTTTTTTTTAAGACAGGGTCTCTCTTTGTCTCCCAGGCTGGAGTGCAGTGGCACCATCTCAGCTCACTGCAACCTTCACCTCCAGGGATCAAGCGATTCTCATGCCTCAGCCTCCCAAGTAGCTGGGACTACAGGTGTGCACCACCACGCCCAGCTGATTTTTATTTTATTTTATTTTTTAGTAGAGATAGGGTTTCACCATGTTGTCCAGGCTGGTCTTGAACTCCAGGCCTCAGGTAATCCACCTGCCTTGGCCTCTCAAGGTGCTGGGATTACAGATGAGAGCCACCATGCCTGGCCGGATTGTACTCTTTTGATCCTACCTGTTTCCCAGTGCTGGATTGTGAGCTCTCTGAGAGCAGAGCCTGGGTCTTACTCATCTTTATATCCTGGTGCCAAGTATTCTGTGTTGGTCACAGAATCATCTACTTCTATTTGGAATCATCTACTATTTCTAGAAGACCTTAGTAGAGATAATGGTATTAGTAAGTGCTTCTGTGTTTGGGGTGCCTACTCTATGCCTGCAGGCACATTAGATAAAGATATCTTTAGAGCTAATAGATGCCATGAGGCGTATCCTACAGATAGGATCCTGAGCTTCAGAGATGACAGATCTCATGTAATCAAGCCGGCTTTATGAGGTAGGAGGGGATCTGAACCTGGTCTGCCTCACTCCAGAGCACATGCTCTTCCCACTGGGCCGCATTACCTGGAGTCACTAAGGCCTGTTTCACAGGCCCCTTGACTGGGCAGCTCCCGGCTCTGCTCCGTGGATGTGCTGTGTGCTAAAGGGGCGGTGGGGGAGGGGGGCCCTGAGAAAGGAATGTTCAGGCATTGGTTAAAATAGGTGTCCTAGCCTCTTGTCATGCCTTCATATTCACAAATGTTCATTTCTTTCTTTCTCTTTTTTAAAAAAATTCTTCCTAGGGATGATGACTGACAGATTAATATATGTCTAACTACATGTCTCAGAAATCAAAAGGAAGGTGCTGTCAGAATCACTTGTCAGAAAATGAGATTAGGCGCACTTGTCATTTGCTGAGGATTGCAGTCTTTCAGAGATAAGGTTTCATTTAATGAGGGTAAAAAGCCTCCTTTTAAAAAAAGAAGAGGGAGCGAGGGAGTGAGGGTGGGGTAGGCGAGGAGTGATGATTCTTTTTTCTGGTGTCAGCCAAGTGTTTTATCACCTAACGCGATCCCGCGGCACCTGGTAGCCACTGATAATGGCAACCTGGCCTTCTCCACCTCCTCTGCCGCTGCACCACTTCAAAAGCAGCTGCTTGTTACCTGCTTTTACCTCTCCTTGAAGCTGAAGCTCCTTCTCCTGTGGGAAGAGGGAGCTAAGCATGTACTCTAGATTTAAAAGCAGGCTCAAGAAAGCATGCAGTAGAAAGGAAACGTACAGTCACATTTCCCAACAAACTGGAAAGAATCCACAATGGATTTCAGTGAGATATGGAGCCTGTCTGAGTAGTGAAGGGTAACTAATGAGGAACAGAGCTAGATCCCATTGCAACCAATTGTGTTTTGTTATGGAAAATATTTATCAAGTTCTTTTGCATTTGTTGATTCTCTTACAAGTGACATAGTAAGAGCTCCTGGCATGTGACTTGATGCACCTCCTGCACCCTGCGATTCAGGCTGGCAATTTCTATCCCTTTATTAAGCTTCTCTCTACCTCAGGTGTGGCCTGTGCTCCAGAAGTATTTCAAATTAATCCTCCCCCCCCTCAACTCCCTACCTCCAATCGTAGAAAACTGCCTCTGAAATGAACAACTTTATTGTGGAGAATGCCGGTGATAAAGCAGAAAATCCGTATTTCAGAAATGTTTGGTGACCAGGCGCAGTGGCTCACGCCTGTAATCCCAGCACCTTGGGAGGCCAAGGTGGGTGGATGGCTTGAGATCAGGAGTTTGAGACCAGCCTGGCCAACATGGTGAAACCCCGTTTCTGCTAAAATTATAAAAATTAGCCAGGTGTGGTGGTGCATGCCTGTAATCCCAGCTACTCAGGAGGCTGAGGCAGGAGAATTGCTTGATGAGCCCAGGAGGTGGAGGTTGCAGTGAGCCAAGATCGTGCCACTGCACTCCAGCCTGGGCGACAGAGCAAGACTCTGTCTAAAAGAAAGAAAAAGAAACGTTTGTTCCAGTTCTCTACTCCAAAACTTACTGGTGTAAAGCAGTACCCTTTTCTTCTGTTCCTGGATTTGGTGGGTCAGAAATTCAGACAGGGCCAAGCAGAGAAGCAGTTTGTCTCTGCTCCACCATGACTGGTGGTGACATGAATGGCTGGGGACTGGAATCCCCTGGAAAAGTCTTCACTCATGCATGAGGCACTTGGCAGGGACAAAAGCACCTCTGCAAGCCTTGTCCATGTAGCATGGGCTTCTCACAGAACGGCGTCTGGGTTGTGGGAGGAGTTGCCGGAGGGGTTGCTACCAGAAAGCAAGTATCCCAAGAGCTTGAGGCAGAAGCAGCGAGACTTCTGACCTGGCCTTGGAAAGTCACATGGAGCCACTTCTGCCATTGAGCTGAAGCACTGACAAGCCCACCAGGCTGAAGGAAAGAAGATGGGGACCGCTCCATGGGGCAGTGTCAAAGGATGTGCAGCTGTGCTTTAAAATGATCATCATGCTGTAAAGGTTTCTTTCTACCTGTGTTTCTTCACATCTCACGAACGAAATGGCCTAGGAATGTAAAGTAAATGACATTTGGATGGTTACTGACTTGGTATAAAAGGTTATTCCTCTTCATTAAAAAGAAGAAGAAGAAGAATAAGATATAGGCCAGATGTGGTGGCTCATGCCTATGATCCCAACACTTTGGGAGGCCAAGATGGGAGGATCACTTGAGGCCAGGAGTTCGAGACCAGCCTGGGCAACATGGAAAACCCCATGTCTACCAAAAATTAGCCTGGTGGGGTGGTGCGTACCTGTAGCCCCAACTACTGAGGAGGCTGAGGTGGGAAGATGGCTTGAGCCCTTGAGGTCGAGGCTGCAGTGAGTCATGATGGCATCACTGCACTCCAGTCTGGGCGACAGAGCCAGACCCTGTCTCAAAAAATAAAGAGAGAGAGAGAGAGAGAAAAGATGTAGACAGAGAGAGTGAGCCCAACCACATTAATGGCCCAGGGAGTCTGAGGGGTGGAGTGTCCTGTTCCTGCTCTCTGTTGCTAATGGTTTAAAACAGACTCAGACTTCACTTAAATGGGCACCTTTCTGGCCGGGTGCGCTGGCTTATGCCTGTAATACCAGCACTTTGGGAAGCCAAGGCAGGTGGATCACTTGAGGTCAGGAGTTTGAGACCAGCCTGGGCAACATGGTGAAACCCCATCTCTACTAAAAATACAAAAATTAGCCAGGCGTGGTGGCATGCACCCATAATCCTAGCTACTCAGGAGGCTGAGGCAGAAGAATCACTTGAACCCAGGAGGTGGAGGTTGCAGTGAGCTGAGATTATGCCATTGCACTCCAGCCTGGGCGACAAGAGTGAGATTCCATCTCAAAAAAAAAAGTTCACCTTTCTGTTTCTTTCCAGTCCTTCTCTGTTACACTCTTCAAAAATCGTCTGTACATACTTGCCTCTATGTTCTTACAACTTTGTTTAGAACTTAACATTTAATATGTAACCTAGCTTCAACCCCATTTTCTAACAATTCTCCTGCTATTCACCAGAGACCTCCTAAATCAGCGATCCACCTGTCTTTTCTCAGTCCTTCTCCTCCAGCACCTCTAACACATCTGCCATTTTTGAGTTCTCCTCCTCCTGGAAATCCCTTCTTGTCATTCAACTCTGTCTGTGACTCCTTCCCCAGCGCAGTAAACGTGGACACTGTCCAGGTGTAGTCCTTGGTTGTGTTTTCTTTTCACGCCACGACATTCCCTCATCTCTTTGCAGAAGACATTTGCAACTTATCTGCAAATCCGAGCTCTCTTTCTGATGTTCCACTCCCAAATTTCTGACCGTGGCTAGGCTTTCCTCACGGTCTTCTAAATTCATCTCGTCCCAAGCAAAGTCTCTATATTCCCCTGAAAGCCTCCACATGCTTCTGTGTTCCTGATGTTAACCAGTTCCCCAGCCTTTACATCTTAGCATCGCCCTTTGTGTTGCATCACTGCCACACACTCGTGCGTTCCTTGAGGTTCTGCCTCCTAAGTGTGTTTTCTCACCTTAGCTTTGCCCCGTGTCTCCTGCCATTTTCCTCGAGTCACTTTTCCTTTTTTCTTTTTGTAGAGGCAGGGTCTTGCTTTGTCTCCCAGGCTGGTCTCGAACTTCTGGCTTCAAGTGATCCTCCTGCCTCGGCCTCCCAAGGTTCTGGGATTATAGGCATGAGCCACTGCAGCCCACCTCGGGTGACTTTTCTTAATGCTTCCCTGGATACCTATCAGGTTCTACCTTATAAAATTTTTATAATTTTAGTAGGTTCTGGCCAGGCGCGGTGGCTGACGCCTATAATCCCAGCACTTTGGGAGGCCGAGGCGGGTGGATCACAAGGTCAGGAGATCGAGACCGTCCTGGCTAACACCATGAAACCCCGTCTCTACTAAAAATACAAAAAATTAGCCAGGCGTGGTGGCGGGCCCTGTAGTCCCAGCTACTTGGGAGGCTGAGGCAGGAGAATGGCGTGAACCCGGGAGGCGGAGCTTGCAGTGAGCCGAGATGGTGCCACTGCACTCCAGCCTGGGCGACAGAGCGAGATTCTGCCTCAAAAAAAATTAATAAATAATAATAATAATAATTTTAGTAGGTTCTACCTTCCCCACGTGTAGTTGTCCTCTCTCCCTCCTAAATTATAAGTTTCCTAAGGGCAGATAACATGTTTTGTTCTTCTTTTTTTTGTACATAGTTCATACTTAGTAAAAGTATCCATACTGAATGAATGGCTCTTACTTATACTGTAAAGAAATAAGGCATACAGCGGAAGTGTGTATGCTTAATACACATACAATACACAAACTGTTGGATTTAAGGAAAGATTTTGATGACATGAAGAGGCTAACACTGCCGAACGTACTTCCAAATATTGCCTTGCCCCTCAACTCTCCTTGGAGTGGTACTGGGGGGAGCAAGACACATAAGCAACAATAATAACAAGAATCATAATAGATATATTTATTGAGCACTTACTTTGCAGTTGATGCTCTTCTAGCTAAGGTAATCTTCACAACCCTGGTCTTTTCAAGACACACTTTGAGAGACAGGTACAGTATGTTTTCCATTCTAGAGATAAAGAAACTGACAGAAAAATCAAATACTACTTTTTTTATTAGTTGGGTGAATGCTTAGTACCACCAAACAAACCTCTTTTTGCAATCCGTGCTAAAGCAAGTAAGTGCCTTAGGCTCACCACCAAAGCAGGCCTTCCTTTTTCCCTTAGTCTAAATTTTATTGTGGGTTGACCACGAAGCTCAGAGCAACTTCCAAGGGGCCCCTAGCTGAGCTTAGTCATCACCAGTCCTGAAGGCAACAGAAGGCAGAAGAGAGGCCCAAGTGTGTGCAGGACTTTTTAAATTCAAAGCTGTGGTTTTTCGAAGCACAGGGACCCTGTCCACTGGCAAACCTGGCCCAATCAGAGTCTTATATGCTAATACTCGGATTGGCAACCATGAGGAAAGCTGGGAGAGTTTCCTTTCCCTCACACAAACCCTAAATGAGTAGATGAATAAATAGACCCTGCATGGTATATGTAATCATATACCAAGCATAATGAGAGACAAAGGAAATGTGGCAAAATGTTATCAATGGAGGAAGTCAAGCAAAGAGTTTTTGGGTGTTATTCTCACCATCTATCATTATTTTTTCCTGTTAGAAATTTTTCAAAATACACACTTAGGCAAAACTTTAAAAGACATCTAAAACAAACAAAAATGAGTAACTGTAAAGGTAGGAGTCAACAATAAATACACGGGAAAGGAATCTGAAGCCAGGAACGTTGTGGCCCATCCAAGGGGGAAGTGCCCAGAGAGAAGGGAAGAGGTAGAACTGGAGACAGCTGGTGCTTCTTAGGGAGATGCTCAGCCTGCCCAAGAGGCTAATTTAAAACTAAATCTTATCCCTGGATCCCACAGCCCTTAATGTGACCCAAACTTTCCATTACCAAATTCTGGGGTTTTAAATCCTGATATTGTGTGCTTGAATCTGGAATCTGTCTCATCCATTAAAGATCTGACCTATTGAGGCCACATGTGTCTATGCAATAAGTTCTTTTCAAGCCAAACTTTCATGTTAAAAAAAAAAAAAAATCCTGAGAGGAAATACATGTGGTCCCTGTCCGCTTCTAGCCCACTTCAGGCTATTTATTGTTTTATTTGATTGTTGAGAAGTCAGAAATGACTAAATTGGTTCTCAATGTGGCCTGCACATTTCCTTGGCTAGGAATGGTCTGATTAAGGCAAAGCCCAACTTAGAATTTAGCAGTGTTCTGATCTGTGTGGGTTTGGGGGAAGGCATGTGTATTTTGTTCTTTCGTTCTGAAGTCCTTCCCTTGTGGATTTCAGACTAAAGTGGGTGTGATGACACATTTACCCTTTTGGTTTTGTTTTTAAAACACAAAGCTGACAAATGTGTTTAATGGCCCCGTAGTACCAACTGACAGCGGCACGGAGCCCAGGAGGCTCACTTGTACCTTGACTGTCTCAGTGAGGAAGCTGAATTTTACTCACCACTTAGAAGGATTAAATGCAGACCATAGCATACTTCTGACATTTCATTGGCTTATCAGGAAATTCCATGAGAGTGGGGAGGAGGGTGGAAGCAGAAGAGGTACATACATTGAATGGTATATCCTACTTAGAAATTATAAACTCTAAGAAAATATTAATAGAAGGAGGAAAATATTTATTTTTCAGCACAGAGACTATTCTCTGTTTATACATTAGGTACCAGATCATAAAGAATCACAGAGAGAGAGAGATTATTCATCCCAACTGGTGTGCATTTTAATGGTGAAGAAATAGTTACCTGACTTACCCAAAGTCATAACTAGTTGGGACTGGACCTGTTGTAAAATCCAGGGCTTCTGACCTTTCTAATCCAGTACAGTATTCATTCAGCACCTCATCTTCCCTGTCATGGTCTACAATAGCCCTGCAAACAGTCTTCTAAAACTCATCAGAGTTGGCTGCTCATGTGATCCGGTCCAGGTCGGTTCTCTAATCTGCCTACAGGTCAGTTCTTTGAAATCATTTCCATGCCTCCTCATGCACCCCCAAACTCAGCTGGTCATTTTGCAAATGCAGGTTGTCAGCTGTGAGTGAGCACTGGTAACAGAAAGAAAATCCATCACCACGAGTGCTGATGGAAAAACAACTGGGAACGTACTGCCTAGTAGAATGTTGTTTGTGGCCCGATCTTTGTATAAGAAGGAAAACATCATAAATTAAAAGAAAAGCTACCAGCCAACAACTGTATTTTTACCAGCCTCCTCTTCTTCCAGAAAACTCATTGCGAGGAAAATAAATAGCATTCTTTCCCAGCAGCACAACCGAAAGTCTTGTTAGTTATAGGCGAGTGGCTATTTGAAAGCCTGGCTACAATTTTCCTGTTTTACTAACACTTGTAATTAAATCCATCAACTCCCTCTAAGATTCTGTGTAAATACCAGATGCTCCCTACATTTTTTTCTCTCCTGGAGAATATGAAAAGTTGTACATTAGCAGTAGAGGAACTTCAAAGGAGGCACAGACCTGAGTGAAAGTGAAGTTCTGAAGATCCACACTCGCTTCCCTGTGAATTTCTTAGAGTGTTCCAGGGAGGGCAGCCCACCACACTTGGCCAGCACAGGCCCATCCCATCTCTCACCCGAGTGGCGGATGTTAAGTTGACATCCGTGCCCCAGTTCAGGAGCAGATGGCTCTGCGTGGGGCATGGTGGTTTGGGAGAATCCACCCGGGCCTGGCGGGAATCCTGTTGTTGAGGGAGGAGTAGGGCCCTGCCTCCCGCTCCCCGAGGGTTTGCAGCCCGCTTTTCATGTGCTATTGATGCTGCCCCCACCCGCTGTCACTTGGAGTCATTCAGTCAATCACATGGAGAATCAGAGGAGAGGCTTGGGATGGCTCTGGATAAATCCTCCCTCGCTACTGGGGGTGAGAAAATCCTCTTCAGAGCACATGCACTCCTCAGAGGGCATCAGTGTACATATATATATATATATTTTTTTTTTCTTCTGTATGCAAAGAAGAGTAACTTGTTCCCCCAAGGTGAAGGATTTCAGCGGTAGGCAAAGCAACACCACTACCACCCCAACCCGCCCACTTTGCTTTTCCAGAATTAAACGTAGTTGCCTAGAGCTGTCATGACCTACAGAGAAAGCTGAGGAAGTGTTAAGTGAATCATGAAAGCAAATCAACAGACCTGCTGGTATTTAAATTTTAGTGTATTCCAGTGTGGATTTCTTGGTATTTGTAATGCAAAAACTGGGAACGGGGGCTCCACCTCCTCTCCCAGCAGATCCAACCCTATGTTCCAACTTAGTCCCAGCATATTCGACCCCATGTTTTGTGTGAATTTACTTTAAAGTCTTTCACACTCCCGAGGCCGTCAGCAAAGCACTCATATCTTATGGGCAACCCCCAGCCCTCTTCGCTTATAAACTAACTGTCCGTGGCTTTGGGGTTGTTCCCTACCAGTTTTATTGGGCAGGTTGTTAGCTAAGGGATTCATTCTAGAACCAGAGGTTTGAGGCAGACCTCTAAGATCCTCTTGACTCTGAGTGTGTGGAGGAGAGTGAGGGAAAGGACAGAACCCATGGCCCGCGCCACCTCAGCTTCTTTCAGTTTCTATTTGAAACTGAAATCACAGAAGAGCTGTCAGATGGCAGCTGTGCATTTGGTGGAAATGAGAATTCCAGATTTTATGCTAATTCAGTTTCAGGTTCCTTTGAACCTGCAGTTTATGGGGCCGTGCTGAAAACTGCAATCTGTTTTGGATAAAAGAAGGGATTACTAAAGACTTTTTAGTTGTACAAACATTCCCAGCCTCCAAAAGGAAAGGGGGGAGACCAGATTTATTCTTTCATTAAAATTGTCATGTTAAGTTTTCTTCTGCTTTATCAAATAGAAAACTTTTCCTTATTTTGGCAATGATTTTTCTTATTTCAAGTTTTTTTGTTGTTGCCGTGATTTATTTTCATTTCAGTAGCACTCTTTCTCGAACTTCAAAGTCCTTGTCACTTCCTCCCAGAGGCAGGAACACAAAGGTGGTGCCCATGGATGTATCTCATCCTGGCATGTGCTCACCTTCTTCCATTCTCGCAGTGTTGATTGAGGCTGACCCAGATGGTTGTTTCACTTACCTATTATTGCTTTGTAACAAACCACGAATTTGGAGCCTGGAAATACAATGCTGCCATTAGGGCAGGGCTCTGCAGAGAAGCTTCCTCTCTGTTCCACATGGCATCTGCTAAGGCAAGTTCAGCTGGAGCTGGCGGAGCCACACCCAAGATGGCTTCTTCACGTGGCTGGCAAGTTGTCAGGGGCTGTTGGCTGGGAACTCAGCTAGCCCTGTGGTCCCAAGGCCTCAGCTTACTTCCATGTGGTACTGCTTGGGCATCCTTACTATATGGTAACTGTGTTACAAGCTTAAATAACCAGAAGCTGCTGGGCCCAAACTCTGAATCTCCAGCATATCACTTCCTCCTCATTCTATTCATCAAAACAGTCACACGTCAGTCACAAGGACATAAGTTTCACCTTCTAATGGGAGGCATGACATGCACATACAGAATTATTTGGGAGCCATATTTGGAGATGAGCAACCACAATGGTTAATGATATATTTTTTAGAATTTTGATTTTCAGGAGAATGTACCCACGCTCTGTTGTTAGCCATATGGGTTTCTATATTCTGTGAAATCCCAAACTGTTGGCAATTCGTGGAAAGGACTTTGCAGTTTAGTTTTATGTTTGAGATAATGTCTTCATTCTCTTCTGTTTTAGTTGGCAGAGATCTGGTCATTTATTTATTTACTCATTGATCTGACCACTGCGTATCAACCCATCTCTTACATGTGATGCATGAGAATACTGTACTAGATGTTAAGGGCAATGGTGGTGTGTAAGAGTACATCACAGTCCTGGTCCTTGAGTGATTGAATCTACAGACTGCTCTCCAAAGCAGTATCTTGTTCCCAGTGAGGATACGTGTGCCCCTAAAGGAATGGCAGTGTCCAGAGGTGAGCCGAGAAACAACTACATGTTATATATTGTCTTAGATCTATGTTTCCATTAGGAAGCATTCAAGAAAAGCTGTAGTTTGGAGCAGAAGAAGAAATTTCTGGTGTAATTCATTTGCAATACAGATCTGTAAATGGAAATTACATAGGACCAGAGAGGAGCTGGCGGGTCTTTGTAGGCACACAGGCTTGCCCTGACCCTATGTAACAGCGGCATATGATCATAATAACTGGCATTTCTGTAACAGTTAACCATCTACAAACTGTGCTAATTTGATTGATAAAGCCCCAGAGATGGAGGCTATTGGAATGGCCATAGTAGGGTTTCCCATTCCATTCTGATAGCATGGAAGAGACAGAGAGAAAAACTAAGGCCAGAGCAAGAGGGAAAATCAGAAACCTTGCTCAATAAGAATGCTTTCAGGAAATCGAAACTAAGGGAATTCTACGACATTCTAGCTCCTCAGCTACTACCCCAGCAAGTGTATGATTCCCCAAACCAGTAGAAGCAAATATTTTGTCCTCAGCCAACAAGAATTCCTGCAAGTCAATATTTGGACCATCAGGATGCTTAATAATAAGGCTAGGGAAAAAAAAAAAAAGCTTTGTTAGATCATTGTATATTAGCATAGATGCAGGAGTCAAATTTTCAGTACCCTAAAGATTATTAATACTTTCAGGTAACGTTTCCAGGAGGAGATAGCAAAGCCTTTGAGTAGAAGGATGGACTAACATGCGGTTGGCCACCATTCTCAGGATGTCAGTAATCTTTCAAACCACAAAACCTGGGAAGGTAAACTACTTGTATATCCCAGGAATAGTCACGTGACTTATAGACAGCCTTACCATGACCCTTCAGATCTTAAAACCTCTCTAGAGTTTAGACAGCAGAATGATTTTGTCTTAGACATCTGGCCAGTGGAGGGAGAAACTGAGATTTACCCAGCAGTGGGGATAGGATGGTGTGGTGTGGTATGGTGTGGCGTGATGTGGTGTGGTGTGGCGTGGCGTGGCGTGTTGTGGCGTGGTATGGTGTGGCGTGGCATGTTGTGGTATGGTGTGTGTGGTGTGGTATGGTGTGGCGTGGTATGGTGTGGGGTGGTGTGGCGTGGCGTGTGGTGTGGTATGGTGTGTTGTGGTATGGTGGGGATGGACAGTGGGAGCATGGTATTAGGGAAGGAATGTGACATGCCTGCTGGCACCATGCTATAATCCTCATTCCTTCACTGCAGAGGACCTCCTTACACTCCTGTATCCATTTCCTTATCTAAAATAAGGAAGAAACTCTCCGTTACTCTCTTTGCCTCACAAGATTGATGTAAGAGCAAACGACATTATAATTGTAGCATTCTGGAAAAATATGTGTTACTCTAGGGCATTTTTGGCAGCGTCCTTTGGAGAGGCTGAATCTTAGAACCAGTAAATGGCACCGTCACATATAATTTATGGCTCATGCTCTTTTTTCAGTCTAGGGTTCACTTCTTGGTTGGTTGATTTCTCCCTCCCTTCCATTTCAAGGCACTGAAATGAAGACTAGAATCATATTTTGAGCTTGACTCAGTCCTAGAATAGCAGCAGTCTTTCCCTGGGACTAACCAAAGCTAGAAATGAGGGTCCTCAGATCAGATACAGAAAAGTAGTTCTTGGCTGGGTACAGTGGCTCACACCTGTAACCCCAGCACTTTGGGAGGCTGAGGTAGGTGGATCACTTGAGGTCGGGAGTTCGAGACCAGCCTGGCCAACACGGTGAAATCCCGCCTCTACTAAAAATACAAAAATTAGCCAGGCATGGTGATGCACCCCTGTAGACCCAGCTTCTCAGGAGGCTGAGGCAGGAGAATAGCCTGAACCAGGGAGGCGGAGGTTGCAGTGAGCAGAAATCGCACCACCACACCCCAGCCTGAGTGACAGAGCAAGACTCTGTCTCAAAAAAAAAAAAAAAAAAAAAGAAGAAGAAAAAAGAGAAATAGTTCTCCCTCAGTAGTCCTCCCTCAAACTGAGCTGAAATGATAATAACATATGTGGTATGACTTGTTGAATGGTAAACATGGTCGGAGAACTCCCAAAAAGGTAGTATTTCTTTCAATATTCATATTAGTCATTCCAGCATCCAACTGAGGAACATCTAAGGTGGTTTCAGGGCCCTCTTTTACCCTGAATTGTTTTTTAAAAAAAGAAAAAACTGCGGAGAGCTCAGCCTAAAATGGCTAAAATGCCTCTTACCTAGAGAACTGGAAAACGCGATCAGTTCACCAGCAGTTCCCCGTTTCCCACAGTGGTTGTTTCTAACATTGCCACTTAGTGCATCTGCTGAAACACAGATGGTCGCATCCCTACCAGCAATTGCAGAGACTCCCTTCCCACCCTCCCAGAAGCTGCACCCATGCCCGGGAGCCCATGGCTACAGCTCTTAATTTATACATGGGTGCAATGACAGCCACTGTTTGCTGAGCAAGCCCCCGCCCCAGCACCATCTCCCCCAGCTCAGTCCTTCTTCTTTCATAGTAAGCTCCTGTCTGGGATCCTCACCTGTCAACAGACCTTACAGCAAGGCTGCCTTTGTCAGGCTACCATATGTCCTGTCCCCTTAGGGGACTGGGTGCTTGACAACCTTCATTTATAAAACTAAGAGGGGCTGCTAGAAGTCAGCTTTCCTGAAACTATAAGAATGTCTACTCCTAGGTGACTTGTCACTAATGATGAAGGTAAGTTGCTGTTCCAAGTGCTTTACATACATGAATTCATTTAACCCTAACAACAGTTGCAGCAAAGTAGGTGATGTTATGGCCATACTTTCTAGATGTGGAAACTGAGGTACAGAGATGCAAAGTCCTCTCTCCACCATCACACAGTAAGTGGGAGTGGAGGATAAGCTAGGATTTGAACCCATTGGTTCTTTCATGAGTGGCTAAGCTTTTAACCACTAGACCAACTACCTCTTAGTTGTCCCCAAACATAGAAATGGCTGGCACCTGTTTAAAGGCCCTTTTTGTTTTGTTTTTGTTTTTGGAGACAGAGTCTTGCTGTATCCCCCTGGCTGGAGTGCAGTGGCGCAATCTCAGCTTACTGCAACCTCCCGGGTTCAAGCGATTCTCCTGCCTCAGCCTCCCCCGAGAAGCTGGGATTATAGGCACCTGCCACTATGCCCGGTTAATTTTTGTACTTTTAGTAGAGATGGGGTTTTACCATGTTGGCCAGGCTGGTCTCAAACTCCTGACCTCAGGTGATCTGCCCACCTCGGTCTCCCAAAGTGCTAGGACCACGCACACGTGAGCCACTGCGCCAGACCCGAAAGCATCTTTTCATTCATTCATTTATTTGTTTTTAAATCCAATCGAATTTAGCAGTGGGGAGTTGTCTTAAGTGTCTTCTTTTCCGCTGAACACATTATTTTCCTCAATCTGTCATCTCTGATGACTGACTTACACATTGTGTTCTACGCCGATCCGTCCTTTCAGCTCATGCAGACATTTTGTATACATTTTCATTTTAATTACCACCCCCCAACTCTGCCCCATGTTCATATGGAAATAGAGGAGCCAGGTGTTGGATACATGAGCCGGTAACTAAGGCAGGATGCGTACCTGGACTTAGTAGGGTCCCCCAGGGAGCATGGACTCAATATGAAATGCAGGTCGCTAGACCCCAAGTTTCAAACACCCATCAATATGACATGATGTGAGAAAGAGCAAACCAAGTCCAGACGGAAACGAGACAGCCATGACCAGGGGAGGCAGAGAGGCCTCACAGTTCTCATCACATGCACTGCTGTAAAAAGTAAGATGAGATACCTACAGCCAATTGGGTGACACGAGCAGGGATTGGATTTATTTGTATTTTTCATTGCCTTTCTTTGCAGGGTTGTCAGATTCTGAATATTAATACCTTAATGTAGATTTGGTGGTTAAGTAAGATATATTTTATGGATTTTTTAATACTTTTTCCCCTTTGTAGTTTATAGTACATTGTGAAGTTTGAAAGTAAAATTCCTTTCCTTGACTTCTACACTCGGAAAATATTTATTCCCCCCTGTGTCTCAATGGTATGCATCATAAACTAATCCAGTTCAGTTTATTTACTTCCCTCTTGTTGCAGATCCATGATCAATTGTAGCAACACGGGCATATAATGGCAGAGGTTTTTACTTTACAGCAGTACGAGCATGAGCTATTGCACTCTCCTTTCAGGGTGATAAGGAAGGAAGCTTCCATTTTCAGAATCACCCATTCAGAAGGGGTTGGGGGGCACTGAGCAGAGGAACTGGGGGCCACCTGACGTTGATTAGCCCTGAATCGCTAAGGAAGACATCCCAATCCATAGTTTCAAATGAATCAGCCTACACAGAAGAAATCCCTGGGAACCAGAAAGAGTTTTAATCTCCTGGGCTGAACAGTGTGGAAGGCAGAATATTAGGAATTAGCAGAGGTGACAAGTAGGACAACCTCGGCCTGCCTCCCAGTGGCGGGCAACCTGTTGACTCCAGTTCTCCATCCTAGGACCCTTGCTTGACTGCCATGAGTAAGAGCAGTGGGCACCGAAGTCAAAATGCAGATCCCTCCAGGCTTCTCAGTAGCTGTTGTCTGCCCTGAGCATTCTCCCAACCTTATCAGTTACCCAGACACTTGTTGGGAGCCCTCAGACTAACTAGCATGCTGGGACAATTTCCACCGTGTCTTCATTCCTCTCATCATGGGTATGTTGAGCAAGGCCTCCTAACTCTGTGCTGGGTACAAATTCCAAGATGTGGACAAATTCTAAGATGTGAATTCTATCCACAAGAAACCAGGTGAGTTCAGAAGGCATGGCTCGGGGCATACAGGAGGATTTATCATCACAAACAGATAATAAAGTGTTGTCTCCAGACACACATCTGTTATTTATACTGCTGCTGTGGCATGGACAAAGACAAGCAAGACACAGTCCTTGGATAGTCACATTTAAAGCCAAATTGAGGTGGTGGGTCCTCCATACAGAGAAAATAAACAAAAAAAACAAATCATGGCCGGGTGCAGTGACTCATGCCTCTAATCCCAGCACTTTGGAAGGCCAAGG